>NC_000003.12:66676666-66979696 GCF_000001405.40 Homo sapiens | reverse complement strand
CATATTTATTGAGCGCTCACTGCATTCCAGACACTGTGCTAAGTACTTGTAGAGGTATTAATAAAAACGAAACAAAATCAGAGTAGGACATAGTTCCTCATCTGAAAATAAACATCTGAATCCTATTGGGGATGAGGAAGGGGTAGGAGCAGGACACTGTTAAGGAAGCCTTTGTTTTGAATCTACCTTTACAAATAGGTATATAAATGTGTGTGTGTGTGTGTGTGTGTGTGTGTGTCTGTGTGTGTGTGTTAAAATCACCTTTCACCTAAGACAGCCAAAAGGAATATTATCACTTTATTCATTGTGCTCATACTATGTTTAGCACATTAAAAAGCAGTTAGAGAGGCCGGGCGCAGTGGTTCATGCCTGTAATCCCAGCAATTTGGAAGGCCGAGGCAGGCGGATCACTTGAGGTCAGGAGTTTGAGACCAGCCTAGCCAACATGATGAAACCTCGTCTCTACTAATAATACAAAAATTAGCCAGGCATGGTGGTGTGTGCCTGTAATCCCAGCTACTCAGGAGGCTGAAGCAGGAGAATCGCTTGAACCCAGGAGGCGGAGGTTGCAGTGAGCCGAGATCGCACCACTGAACTCCAGCCTGGGTGACAGAGTAAGACTATGTCTCAAAAAAAAAAATCATTTAGAGAAATATAGTATCTGTCTACAAGAACTCATAAGAATTTGAGTGAAATAATGAATATTTTTACATGTGTAGGGATGAGGACCTAGTTGGGGGATAAATTTCCTGTGTCTCATATTTGAATCCTTTATTACATCTTGGTTGGTCTCTGTCCTTTTTTTGCTATGATTGTTTACGTTTTTATTCCCCAAATGGACAGAGTGTAATTCTAAGATTCTTAAATTCCCTTGTAATAAGAGGGAGAGAAGAATGTTCACAGTCTCGCCTAGGCTTCCCACCAGGTGCCAAAACCCAAACCTTCAATTAATGTTGACATAAAACTAGACCGAGACACCCACTAGTCAAATACCATAATGTAAACTTTGCCAGTGCTTTAAATCAGTCTGCAAATTTTTAAATCCTAACATAGTTTCCTTTCCTTCATTTATTACTGAGTCCTTCTGTATTCATAGACCTTCTCTTAATAAAAACAGCTAACACGTGCCAGACGTTTGCTGCATGCCAGGATCTTCGTAAAGCACCTTCTATACATTACGTAACTTGTAATCCTTACCAAATTACTAAGAAGGAGGCACCATTAAATAAATGGGAAATTCATTGTCTAGGGCAGCATGACAATAGTAATAGGGCACATACCCAGGGAGGTGGCAAAGTCTATCATTTTGAAATTATGTAACAATAAAATATAAAGTTTCACTTTATGTACATCTGAAGTCACAACAACCTGGCTTGCAGTAGACAGGGTATCATTCTGCTAAGATGCCCTCCTTCAGGCCTTATTTACCCACTTGCTGGGAGTAAAATGGGCTGACTGATCTCAGGTCAGTGTCTCTCCAGATTTTGCATCAGCTGAAGAGAGCTGCCCTGCTGCAGACCATACCTCCTTCCCTTCAAGAACTGGAAGAACTGGTCAAAATGGGTATGAAAACCCAGTGCCTTTGCCTTAACATTGGACATCCTAAAAGAGATATCTCAGCTTCAGAGCATCCTTCAGGGTTGACTGGAGCCTTTGTTTTAACTGCATCCTTTTCCCTACCTGTAAATATCCCAACACCACTCCTTAATAAGCTTTTTTTTTTTTTTTTTTTTTAAAGAGGGAATCTCACTCAGTCACCCAGGCTGGAGTGCAGTGGGGCAATCTCTGCTCACTGCAACCTCTGCCTCCCGGGTTCAGGTGATTCTCCTGCTTCATCCTCCCAAGTAGCTGGGATTACAGGTGCACGCCACCACACCCAGCTAATTTTTTGTATTTTTAGTAGAGACAGGGTTTCACCATGTTGGCCAGGCTCGTCTCAAATTCCTGACCTCAAGTGATCCACCAGCCTCTTCCTCCCAAAGTGCGAAGATTACAGGAGTGAGCCACGTGCCCAGCCCTTAAGCCTCTTGAATGCTCATCTCTACGTAGTATCTGCTTCCCAGGAACCCAAGCAAACCCAGCCAGGAATCCAAAATTTGTCAAGAATCATGTAATTTCAAAGCTTGGTTAGCTAAGTGTTTATAAACTATGTGAATGAATGAGTGATTGAATCAGTGAACTGTCTACAAGGAAGTCTGTCTTTAGCCAGTAAATGAAACATATTTCATCCTTTGCCTGGGTCAGTCTTAGAGTATCTAAGGGCTTTAGGAACATACTTCTTGCATAAAATGTGTTCACAGTGTTAGGAGTTTACATACATTATCTCATTTTATTCTTATAACAATCCTATGAGGAAGGTACTGTTTTTCCTCCATTTTGCACGTAAAGAAACTGAGGCTAAGAGAGGTTAATATCTTATCAAAGATAAGAAAGTGAAATCCAGAGCTGGAATTTGAACTCTAGTCATTTTGGCCTTACAATCCTTGCTTTAAAACCACCATGCTAGGCCCAGTGTGGTAGCTCACACCTGTAATCCCGGCATTTTGGGAGACCAAGACAGGAGGATTGCTTGAGGCCAGGAGTTCAAGGCCAGCCTGGGCAACATAGAAAGACCCTGTCTGTATAATTTTTTTTAAAATTAGCCAGGTGTGGTGGCACACACTTATAGTTCCAGCTATTTGGGAGGCTGAGGCAGGAGAATTACTTGAGCCCAGGAGTCTGAGGCTGAAGCAATCCATAATTGCACCACTGCACTCCATCCTGAGCAACAAAGCTAGACCCTATCTCAAATAAAACAAACAAACAAGCAAAACAACAAAAGCAAACCAAAAAACCCACCATGCTATGTTATCTCACAGATTAATATATCCTGGCTTCTTCCACAATCCTGTACATATAGAAATAAATATACATGCTCCTTGACTTATGATGGGGTTACGTCCTGACAAACCCATCAAAAAAAATATTGTAAATCAAAAATGCATTAAATACACCTAACCTACTGAACATCATAGCATAGCATAGCTTACCTTAAACATGCTCAGAACCCTTACAGTAGCCTACAGTTGGGCAAAATCATCTAAGACAAAGCCAATTTTATAATAAAATATTGAATATCTCATATAATTTATTGACTACAGCAATGATGTAAAAAGTCAGAATGGTTGTGTGGGTACACAAAGTATAGTTTATACATAATGTTGCTGACTTTTACACCGTTGTAAAGTCAAAAAATTGTAAGCCAAACCATTATAAGTTAGGGTCTGTGTGTAAATGCTTTTTACTTGATTCATTGACTTGACAGTGCCTGTATAAGTTCATTCACACGTTGCTATAAAGAAATACCTGAGACTGGGTAACGTATAATGAAAAGAGGTTTAATTGGCTCATGGTTCTGCAGGCTGGATAGGAAGCATGGTGCTGGCATCTGCTCAGCCTCAGGAAGCTTACAATCATGGTGGAAGGTGACGAGAAGCAGGCAAGTCACATGGCTGCAGCAGGATCAAGAGGGAGAGCCAATGGGCGGTGCAACACACTTTTTAACAGCCAGATCTCACGAGAACTCAGTCACTATTATGAGAACAGCACCACGTGGAGGGTGCTAAACCATTCATGAAAAACGCATCCATGATCGAATCACCTCCCTCCAGGCCCCATCTCCAACATTGGGGATTATAATTCAACATGAGATTTGGTTGGCATACTGATCCAAACCATATCAGTGCCTAAAACAAACTTTTCCCGTAAGCATTCAAAAATGACCTTAGGCCAACTGGAACCCTGCATGGAAACTCTACCAATTGCTCTCCTTTACCTGAGATACAGGTACAGTCGAGGTTCCATGGGAACCTGTATCTCAGGCCCAGAAAGGGAAGAGAACATCATACTACAAAGCATTTACTGGTCAATTGAGTGGGTAAGAACAGTTTTTTCAATTAGAAATGTTCATGGAAAAGAGAAGAACACTTTCTTACATTTACAGAGGATTATTTTGTGTGTAGATTTCCCAATCAATATTTTAAAGATTGACTTTCCATGTCATCAGAAGAATAATTACTAGACACACTGACACCTGATGTTCAATTTTGAACCGAGATGAATTGTAAATGTCAATTAATATTGTATTGTATAGAATCACAAGCTTTCAACTTAATTCAATACATATTGAGCTTATATAAGACATAATGGAGATAAGATGGTGAAGACCCAATCTTGACATTGAGGAGATTATATTGTAAGATGATGAGGACACTCACATATATTTTTAACACAGATACAGTGTGATAAACAGAGAGGGCAGATATAAACCAAGGACTGTGGAAGGAACAATGCAGAAGAGACTTATTGGGCAAGGATGAGAGACAAAACCTTTGTTTTGTAGGCTGATTGCCTGAAACACACTTCTGAATAGTCACTCCTCACCTCAAAAACTTTCAAGAGCTTCCTATTGCCTACAAATACAGCCTCAACCCCCTCACATGGCCTTCAAGACCCTTGTCTGTTGAGCCACAATTCTTGAAGCATAGTGATATAGTTTGTATATTTGTCCCCGCCCAAATTTTATGTTAAAATGTAATCCCCAGTGTTGGAGGTGGGGCCTGGTGGGAAGTGATTGGGTCATGGGGGCAGATCCCTCATGAATGGCTTAGTGCTGTCCTCATGGTAGTGATAGTGAGTTCTCAGGAGATCAGGTCATTTAAAAGTGTGTGGCACCTCCCCCACCCCACTCTCTCCTTTTCTCACCGTGTAATGTGCCTGCCCCCACTTTGCCTTCCGCCATGAATACTAGTGCCCTGAGGTCTCCCCAGAAGCTAAGCAATTTTGGTGCTATGCTTTTACAGCTTGCAGAACTGTGGGCCAATTAAACTACTTCTTCTTTTTTTAAAATAAATTATCCAGTCTCGGGTATTTCTTTATAGCAACACAAGAAAGGCCTAATGCATGTAGGGTGATCATCTTATCCTCCTTTTCCCAAGACTTCCCCAGTTTTTGCTGACCGGAAGTTCTGCTTCCCCAGAAAACCCTTCAGTCCCAGGTAAAGCAAGACAAGTGATTGTTCTAACTACACATTTTAGTGTGTGATGAGGCCAGACTGAGCCTAGCCAGAGTAAGCCACCCTCTGTTCATTCTGACTTTGCCTTCTTTCTCACTTCTGAGCTGTCCTTCCTGCCTCATCTCCTTCCCCCAGCCCTGTATTGAAATCCTACTCATAACTCAAGAACCATTCAATGCCACCAGCACCAAGACTTGGTGACAAGATTAGCTATATTAACATTATTACTATGAATAAGAGCTAACCTTTATTGAAACTTCTGTCACATTTTAAGTGGATTTCTGTATGTAACGATCACTTCACCCTCCATCATGTACACTCTACAATTATCTCTGTTTTACAGATGTAGAAACTGAGGCTCAGAGAGAATATTATAAATTATCCAGGCCGGGTGCGGTGGCTCAAGCCTGTAATCCCAGCACTTTGGGAGGCCGAGGCGGACAGATCACGAGGTCAAGAGATCAAGACCATCCTGGCTAACGCGCCAGGCACGGTGGCTCAAGCCTATAATCCCAGCACTTTGGGAAGCTGAGGTGGGCCGGTCACCTGAGGTCAGGAGTTTCAGAGACCAGCCTGGCCAACACGGTGAAACCCCGTCTCTACTAAAAATACAAAAAATTAGCCAGGCATGCTGGTGGGCGCCTGTAGTCCCAGCTACTCGGGAGGCTGAGGCAGGAGAATGGCGTGAACCCGGGAGGCGGAGCTTGCAGTGAGCCGAGATTGCGCCACTGCACTCCAGCCTGGGCAACAGAGCGAGACTCCATCTCAAAAAAATAAACAAATGAATTATCCAAAGATATTTAAAAAGCAAGAGGTAAAGCTGAGATTTAACCCCAGATCTCCGTAACCCAAAACTTCATGCTGCTAACTGTAATAGTATATGGTACACATTGTCTCCCTTCCTAGATTCTCCTCATGTTAAATTAACACCTTTTTTTTTTTTTTTTTTAGAGATGGAGTCTTGCTCTGTCGCCCAGGCGAGAGTGTAGTGGCGTGATCTTGGCTCACTGCAACCTCCACCACCTGGGTTCAAGCGATTCTCCCGTCTCAGCTTCCTGAGTAGCTGGGATTACAGGCATGCACCACCACACCCAGCTAATTTTTGTATTTTTAGTAGAGACGGGTTTCACCATGTTGGCCAGGCTGGTCTCTGAAACTCCTGACCTCAGGTGACCCGCCCACCTCAGCCTCCCAAAGTGCTGGGATTATAGGCGTGAGCCACCGCGCCTGGCCAAATTAACACCATCTTTAAAATAAATGCCTGTTAGGCCACTTAGCACTCTACACTGCATTAAAAACTTTATACACCTGACTGACTTATTTCTGCTGCCAGACACTCAGCTCCTTGATTTCAGGAACTATGTCAAATTCATTTCTTAATCCCCCAGAGTATGAAGGAGACACAAGAATATGTGTTGCATGAGAGAACGGACATATAGACAGATAGACATTTTTAAAGTGAGCCTTTAAAGAAAGCAGCTTTAGATGGGGAGGTTACGCCAGGCAAAGTTAATAGTGATACGAATACTACTAATTGCAGCTAACATTTGGTGAATTCTTCCTCTGCACCTGACAGTACACCATCTCATTTTCATAAATTACCTGTGGAGAAAAGTCTTATTACTTTCCTAGTTTTTCAGATGGAGAAACAGAGGCTCAGAAAGGTGGCAATTTGCCTAAAATTGCATAGCTGGTAAATGGCTAAGAGGCAGTTTTCAGACCCACCTTTATCTGATTGCATAGCATAAAGCTGTGGACGCTATGCTTTACATACTGAAGAAACGGGAGAAATTCCAGGATGTGCTTGCAGAAACACCGAGTCTACCGGCTGAGAGGAAGCATAGAGGGTGCGAGGAGAGTGGGCATGAGGCTGCTCTTTATTTTACAGAACCTTCCCATTCCCTGTCTCATTCGGCAGGGGTAATAATGATAGCTAACATTTGAGTATTTTTTTGAGAAAGCACCATACAGAGCACTTTTCATGGGTCAGCAATCTCATTCACTCCTCACAACCCTTTAAATAGATGCTGTTATTAACCTCATTTTTGTAACAGAAAATGAGGCTTAATGGGCATGGGTGGATACTGAAGCTAGACTTCTTCAAAACCTCTTCTTTGAGGTTTGCAAACACTAAGGAGAGTTGATCATGGCAATAGCATCCGACCAGACATCTCCTCGGAGTCTCGCCCCCACGTGGAGCTCGAATGAAGCTCGCGGGCTGTTTCAGCTGAAACCTCTTCCTGCGGGCGCGCCAGAAAGACAGGCGCCATCTCAGAGCTTCCTGCAGGACTCAGCATCTGTAAGTAGTTCAACACTTGGCACCCCCAGCGTGTTTCTTATATTAATTTGGGGTTATATTTTGACATGTGATCTCCTAACCTGAAGAACAGGGTTGTATATTTAGGCCCCTTCAATGTGGGCTTAATTCCACCAGTTAACTAAGCTGCACTTAAAGGTTTGAAAGAGCGGTATGTGTTCAGCTCACAGCAGTTTCCCCTGTAAGGAAGAGGCCGTCGGGACGGCCTCAAGGCTTCTCTTTGACACCAGAGAGAAGGTGAAAGTGAGAGCAGCCAGGCGTTAGCGTCAACCACAGCTGTCCAGGACAGCCTGGACGCATAGGCGACTCTCCTCTGCCACCTAGCGCTGAAAAGAAAGGTCTCCTCTTTCTGACATTCTCAACAACCGTTTCTCTTGTGTGGACAAGGAATCTAGTTGTCCTTTGCAAGGGGTAATTTTGTGGTATAGAAAAGGTTATTCATCCTCGGCTGCTTTTCTCTTTTTTTGAAATTTGGAGCATCTTGATCTTTTGGAAAATGAGTTTTGATATTTTGATGTGTGGGGAAATAAAACTAAACCGAGGTGGATCTTGTATATTTATGTGAATGTGCACTTCATGGAATCAATTTCAATCTCAGAGTCGGCCCTTTGACAATATAATGCAGGTTTCTTCTCACCCGTGCTCCCTATCGTCTGGCTTTTCAGAAATTGGTCCTTTTATACAATAAGCATGAGGTTGGACAAAAATGAAGTCTGAAAGCTCCAGAGCAATTTTTGAACTGTGACGTTTAGTTTAGAAATCTAAGTTTAGTGAGCCTTTTTAGGGGAAAGATGACATGCTGTACTTCAGAACTTCCTTAGGGGAAATAAGGAGACTATTGCTCTTCCTGTTTACAGATGCAGAACAGCCCCTGACTTGCCCTTTCCATCTTACTGCAGTGCCCTTGAGCTTCTGAATGTTGTGGGTGTCACTTAAGTCTCTAAAGTCTTGTTTCCTTGACCTCCGAGCCTTGCAAAGGAAAGAGTTTATGTCTATGTAATTATTATGATGATTCGTGTTACATATTTATATTTATTTGGGAACTAAATTTTATTTATCCTAGGTGTGCTAAATCTTTAGCACACCTGAAATTTATTTGGGAAATAAATTTTATTTATTTTAGGTGCGCTAAGTTTTTAGCTCACCTAAAAATGTTATAAATGTGTTGAAACCAAATAAAAACAGCAAAAACCCTGTGTAAATCCCTACCTTTTGAATCCATTTTTCAGATAGTAATTTTAAATTGGTAAAATTAAATCACTAACTACTATAACTGTCTTCTGCACAAACCTACATGTACAGAAGCGCTAAAAAGAAGTTATCTTTGGAACTTTTAAACTCATTTTCTTGTATTGACACTAAACTCCGTGAGATATGGTGGGGCCTTTTCTTATTATCCCGTAGAGCTCAGTGGATTTGGCGTAGCTATGTGGATGACGGTTGAAACAAAAAACCATGATAGGCTATGGATCTTCTAATATTCACAAAATTTTATTGAACAACTTTGTTGAAATAGATGATTATCTGCTGTTTATCGGGGAGAAGAAAAGCTTTTCAAATTATTACATTTTGATGTTGAAGAAAAATTTTAAATCACATGCAGATGCCTGTCCAGAAAGGTTAATTTTAAAATGATAGCCTTTGCAGATTCTACTAGGGCCGGCAACAATCACAGTTTCAAGAAGAATTCAGGCAGGTTATGCTAACTACTACATAAATGGCTAAAACTGGAAATGATATTCAATCTTCTATGTCAGGGGAAACCACATTCTATTTCTTTTCCTATAGCTATATTGTTTTTGTATATTATGTGCATATAGGAATTGTGAAAACAATAATTTTAAATTTCTATGTACATTTAAAGAATTAAATTGTTTTTTAAAATCATTCAATATGGGCCAGGCGCGGTGGCTCACGCCTGTAATCCCAGCACTTTGGGAGGCCGAGGCGGGCGGATCACGAGGTCAGGAGATACAGACCATCCTGGCTGGCATGGTGAAACCCCGTCTCTACTAAAAATACAAAAAAAATTAGCCGGGCGTGGTGGCGAGCACCTGTAGTCCCAGCTACTCTGGAGGCTGAGGCAGGAGAATGGCCTGAACCCAGGAGGCGGAGTTTGCAGTGAGCTGAGATGGGGCCACTGCACTCCAGCCTGGGCAACTGAGCAAGACTCCTTCTCAAAAAAAAAAAAAAAATCATTCAATATGCTTGTATTAAAAGACAATGTTTATGAACATAAAATGTGTTTGTCTGTTTGCTCTATGGGATTATGGTACATTGACTCTATTTGTAGTATAGCCATAAAGAAACAACTTCAAAATGAATGAAGAAATGATGATGATGATGATGATGATAAAAAGTTTTTTAGATGCATGGCACTATCCCACAGTGTGTACATGTATTATCTCATTTGAATTGCACCCAATTCTATAAGGTGGTACTGTTGTTCTCTATTTCACAGACGAAGACTGAGTCTTTCTGAGTTAAGTACTTGCATATGGTCTTGAAACTCTGAAGGTCTAGAGAGAACATTCTGACCCGCACTTTCTGGCTTCTAAAGCTGTGCTATTCCACCTTCATGCGACTTTCTATTTTCACCCTGTGGTTAGTAAATGCAGTTAATTAGAGCAAGTGATAATGAGCCAGTCACTGACTGAATCCCTAAGTAGTTTTTTAAATTTCTGTTTTCATGAGTTTATCAAGATACAGAGTTTTATGCTTTTCTTGAAAGAATTAATTAAGACCTGGCAACACTGGTGCTGAATTTCCTCAGGCAACAATCAGCTCCCTGGATTAGATGGGGCTGTGCTCTCCAGTTCATAGAAGTCCTCACTGTCTTCAGCTGTCTTACCTCCTTGGTCCCTGTTGTCGCTTGCTTTGGGACTCCTGCTTTATTTAAAGACCTGCAGAAAAGTAAGTTAATTTAGCAGCAAAGAACTATGAATTGGAAGTCTCCAATGTGTTAACATTTGGTATATAACACGTTTAGTTGTTTGTGTGGTTTATTGCTTTGTTGTCTTTAAAACAGTTAAAAGGATATAGAATAAGATATTTTAAAAGTTTGCATGGAATGCTGAAAACAGATGCATGAACCCTAAAACATGGATTCAAAATTTTGAAATAAATAATAAAGTTCTCCCTCACACCCCTCAGTAAAGCAGATATTCTCAAGTGTTTTGTTTGCATGCAATTTCCAGAAGAAATAGAGAAACACAAGATTGTATGCACAGGTGCAGACCCCAACTCACCCAGCTACCCCTAGACTTTTCCCACACCTTAAGAGCCACCCCCACATCTGAACCACAGACTGAGCCCCGGTCCTGACTCTGATATTGACTTGAAATAGAACCTTAAGTCTCCCAACTTTTCTCATTAATATAATAAGGGAATTGGTCTAAGTTACTTTTTTTTAAGTCTCCTTCTTGCTCCAAGATCCTATTATTCTGAAGTTACACTATCTGTTCTCTTTCTTTACATCTCAAGAAGAAAAGGTAGCAGAATCCTCTTTCTTATCAGAATTTTAGATCACAAGCAAAAATCCTAAACCTTCTTCCAAGGAAAGTCAGATTAAATTGAAATATAACAAATTAAAGTGCTCAGAGTTAAGCCTATAGGGTTTAAATGAGCACCAGCAGTACCTGAAGAAATATAAGGAATAGGGTTGTCATGGTCCATAATGTTACCCACAAGATTAAGTCTTCTACTTAACGTCTTAAAAATATAGTTGAAAGAAAACTCTGGAAAATTTTGAATATACATGAACCTTCTAATGAAGATTAACATTTTGTTTTACCCAACAACCCTAGTAAGCAAAAAAAAAAAAAAGTTGTTGTAAACTACTTGTAATTTCCTTAACTGTATTAGCTTTGTTCAAATTTAAATTGATTGCATAGACCTAAATAATTTTAATTTCATAAACTTGATTTTCTTATACTTAAGAGGAAAAAGTGCAGAATATATTTGCTTTATTCTTAGCTTTCTGTGGGTTTTGTTGTTTTGAATATAAAATCTCATTGTCCCTAAGATAATGAAAATATTATTCTTTTAAAAAAAATGCTTTCTATTGTGAGAAAATTGGATGAACATCCAGAATAGATTAGGAACTTGATAACAAAATTCAATATATACTTATTCTCAGTATAGATAACCCTTTCATTAACTAAGAAAATTATTTTAGCTTTAGCTTTCAACTGAATTTTTATTACATTTTCTTAAATTTAATAGAGGAAAAGAGCTTTTCACTGCCAAGTTTTTGTTATCTTGTTTTATATTAATGGAAAATAAGGGATAGGGAATGCAAATAAGGGAGAAAAAAGGAATTATTTGAATACCTATTAATTGTCAGGCCTCCTCCAGACATCATCCCAGGTAATGGTAAGTATGGTAGGTATCACAGTCCCTATTTTGCTGAAATGAGGAGACCAAAATGTGATCACTACCTCACATCTAGGCAGGATCTGATTTTAGGTTTGCATGTTTCTAAAGCTTGAGAGCTTTCTATTTTATCATCGTGTATATAGGAAATATATTTCTGCCTGTGCACTGTGGCTCACGCCTGTAATCCCAGCACTTTGGGAGGCTGAGGCAGGCAGATCACTTGAGCCCAGGAGTTTGAGACCAGCCTGGGCAACATGGTGAAACCCCATCTTTACTAAAAATACAAAAATTAGCTAGGTAGGGTTGTGTGCGCCTGTAATCCCAGCTACTTGAGAGGCTGAGGCAGAAAAATCACTTGAACCCAGGAGGCGGAGGTTGCAGTGAGCCAAGATCGCGCCACTGCACTCCAGCCTGACAACAGAGCGAGACTTCCATCTCAAAAAAAAAAAAGAAAGAAAGAAAGAAAAAAAAAAAGAAAAGAAAAGATTTCCGTGCAAGTATTGTTTCCTACTTGTCTTCCCTGTTAGACTGTAAGCCCTGTGAGAGCAGAGATTGAATTTGCCCTGTTGGCTACTCTGCTCTCTGTCCTAGCAGGTTTCTTGGATACTAACTACTCCAGAAATATGACCTGCGTGAACAAACCAATGAAATAATGAACTAGAAACATAAATAATTGAAACTAGATACAATGAAATGGAAACTTATTTCACTTTCCATGTTTTGAAACACTTATTTTCAGGCTACTAAAGAGGATGGTTGGAGAAGTTTGGTGTTAAGTTCAAGACTGATGTTAGTGAATATACTGAAAGGAATATGTGACTTGTGACTTGCATTTAAAATAATTATCTTACTTTTAGATCCTTTATTGTGAAAGTGGAAAACACATGTTACAACATCTATTTAAAAGAATTGCAAATAAGATATTTTGAACCACAGTCTGTTCTAGATGGATGTCAAGTAAACTCCTAATAAAGTAATTTGCAATAGACTGTCTTCCCAAAATAGAGCATTAACTACATGATGACAGTTTTGTTTGCATTATCCCGAAAAACAAAGTCTCCAGTTTAGTCTTAGCGATCAAAATCAGCAACCAGTGATTACTCCCTGTCTTGAACACATTTATTTTAAAATCTTTGCACATATGCCAATGCCTTAGAGTCAGAAACTGTTCTTTACACAAAGGTTCTTGAACTGTCTTTGGATAAAACACTTTCACATCTTCTTTTATATATTCCAAGCTCATTCATTTTATGGTAATTAGCTTGGGGACTTCGTGTCTCAGTAAAAGTATGCCTTTTTTATACTTGGTTACTTTTAAGAAAAAAAAGTCTTGAAATGAACTACTTAAATATATGCAAGTTAAAATAATCCTCCTGTACTCTTTACTGATTAAGTGCAGAATAACTTTACAAATGATTACTTTGAAGTTCTTTTGTAAATAGAACTTATTTTGTGATCAACAGCATTCCCTTGTTCTAACTTTTAGACCATTGACCACAAACTTCTGAAATAGACAATTCAGTCTTTTCTGAGAATTGTTGATTTCTATTTCATGCTTAATCAGTGGAAAAACAGTACTGAATTTCAAATATAATATCCTTCTGTTACCACTTAATGTCTTCATTTGATATTAAATAGCTTTTCACTGTCATAGTGTTTCATACAAATGTACACAGAGAAAACTGAGGAATTTTATTAAAACTGTTGTTCTTGTTGTATTGAGGAGAGTAAATATGTTTTACTCTATTCCTCAGAAGAAAGAAAATTATATTTCACATCTCTCAAGTGAGATCTTCCTAAACTTCATATTTCTAATACATAGCTGTTAAAATAGTTTATTTTCATTTTTCCTTTTTAATCCTAAATTAGAACACTGAAAATAACAATTCCAGACCATAATTGTGTTCCTTTTTGCTGATTTTATTACTTTCAGTCACTATTCAGATATTATACACTAAAGACACTAGAATCCACTTTGAGAATTCCTGTTAGAGCTTTAGAGTTTTCGAGTCACCTTTGATCTTAAATGGTTAATCTTTCTTTTAGTATTTTGTTTTCATAAGTCTACCGTATTTATTTTCTCTTATCCTTTTACTTATATAAAAGTAATTCATCATTGCTGCTAAGTCCTTTTTAACTTTAATTCTATGTTCTGAGTTAATTTTGGAAAATTGAGTTCAGATCTCGTGGAGAACCATAAGACATGATGCACATTTGGGTCACTTTTTAAGATACTGTTGCCATTAAATGTTTATTTTTCATTGACATTTTAGCAAATCTTTTATTCTCAGTTTTATATACATATGGCATACCTCATTATTTGGCATTCTTAGATAGAATTGTATATGGTTAGAAACTTTCCTGCCAGGCAAAGCATAAATCTTTACATTTCAGGTATATCAAAAGGTAGTGGTGGGACAATCTATAGTTCTAAGATTTATTTTTATTCCTTCCTTCCTTTTTACTGTATCTCATATTGGTAGAGCGTCATATATTTACCAGACTCTGTGTAACAACTAAGGACCAGAGGTGAATAATATCCCTTTGGTCCTGGTTCTCAAAAAAACCGACTGCAATTAGTAATGATGGATGGGCACAAATGCAGGTAATGAGGAGACCATGTGATAAAAGCAGTGACAGAAAGGTGTTGAAAGTGCTATGGGGTCCAGGGGCAAGAAGGGACCAACCCTGTATACTGTAGCCATGGAAGAGTTCAGAGGAAATGAAAATCCAGGTTTTTCTTTAAGGAAGCAGAAGGTTCTAACCAGGTGGTGAAGGTGGAAAAGAACATTCAGGTTGGGAGCTCTTCACCACCAATAACTCTGAGGCTTGGAGATCAGATCATGTCAGGAAGACAGGGCCCAGGTCAGCTTCCTCTCCACCACTTAGTGGTTCTAACCCTTGCTTAAGCCTCTTAAGGTGCTTGAGCATCAGCCTCCTTATCGGCTGGATGGATTAAATGAGATCAATGCCAAGCTTAGTACAGTAGGGGATACAGCATAGATGCTCATTAACATTAGTTTCTTCTATTACTTGAGTGTTCAGGGATGAACAATAGCTCCATGAAGTTAGAATATAAGGAGATTACTGGAGAGGAAGGACAGCGAGTGACCAAAGGTAAAGTCAGAAAGATAGGCTGGGGACAAGATTGTGAAGACTCTTCTATTTCATACTTGTGTTTTATCTCATAATCAATAGAAAGCCAAGGAAGTAGCAGAAGAGTGACATGATCAAATCCACAGTTACAATTGGATTTCTTGGGGCATTCCGGAAGATGGACTGGAAGAGAATACTGCATGTCCTTCCAGTCCATCTGGAATCTATTGAAAACTCATTTTGGTTGTCTGGGCCAGAGAGGATGAGAAATGGATTCTAGCTACTGGAAAGTTAAGAAACGATGCCAGGTCTGCCTGTGGTGGTGACCTGAGGCACAGTGTATCCCCAGAGCTGCGAATAGCTGTGGGATGGTCTCTGAGGCCTAAGGAGCCTTAGCAAAGGAGCTCTTGGCTGAAGTAAGAAAGAAGGATGCCTATTTCCAAAAGGTCCATAATGCTCTAGGGAAGGAGCAACTGCCTCAGTAATGCCTAGAGACTGAAGATCAGGGAATTGTCCCATTCTCCTGGACCTTGCAAGACCAGAATAGCGCAAGAGAGCTACTCTCAACCTTGACAAGTACAGCTACAGTTAGATGTCATTGCAATAATATTTTTTAAATATGGCTTTATGTTTTTGCACTCTGAGTGACATGATATGATGCAAACATGTTCAAAAAGATTTAAAGAACAGAGATGGCTTCACCTTGTCTCTTTCTCTTAATTATGCCTACTACTGCCTTTCTAATCTCCCTGGAAGATCATTACTTTCTCTTAATTATGCCTACCACTGCCTTTCTAATCTCCCTGGAAGATCATTCTACATTTACTCTCTGTATTAGCAAGCCCACTAGCAGGAAACAGACAGTACACTGGAATTAGGATAATTCAAGGATGGTTTAGCAAAGAAACTATTTATAAACATGGAGGCAAGGCACACGGAAACCACAAAGAATAGTGCAACCCCTTGGGGCTGCTATCACCTTAAGAATCATCGGAAACTTGAGTTGGTATATTTTAGGATTGTAAAAAATTAACTTTAAAATGTCTCCAGGTTGCTATTTCTATGATGTGACACAGGAAGGATCCACTTCAGATGTGTATTAAATACTTTTTAAAAATTGTCATGTATCTTTTTTCATAAGATGAGGACCATTTTAATTTATGTTAATTTGTTAAATAGTTTTGTTGTGATAGGGATTTCTTTCTTGTGAGGATGTGCCTTATATTCCTATGTTATTTTTCCTTCTATATTTAGTTGAGACAATCATATGATGAACAACCGCTTAATGATTACTGCAATCTGAATATGACTACTCAGTCTATGATTTAAGAGATTTACTGGGAAATAACTTGACACCTCAAAGAAATATTTAAGTTAGAGGAGAAGAATAAGCCAGTGATTTTGCTTTTTCTTTTTCCCCTGATATGCCTTAGTTTTTCTTATTCCATATTTTATTTGGGGAAATTGTATGCCTCTTTAAGCCCCCAATTTATCTATTGTATCTTCTGTACCCTGGTAGCCTTTTCTCAATTCTCAGAAGGCAATTTTCCCCCTTTGAACCGCTTTTGCTTTTTCTTTTATTTTATTATCCTCTTCTCTGGGTGGCTTCATCTTTAAGGTCTCGTTTTCAGTTTTATCTTTATCAATCTTCTTCTTCCTTATTGATCTTGTCTTTCATTAAGTGTGATGTATATGGGGATGATGAAGATAATTAAGGGTTGAAAACAGAATGATTAATTTAGCATGGGAAGACAAATAGAACAGGGGCAAAATGTTTAACCTGACTCCACCTCCAGGGCACTACTTGTATCAAAGAGTAAAAGACACATGGAATTCAATTGCTTCTGGGCATGTAAGTGATGCAGTTCCAGGTAGAACTGCAAATGATATTAGGAAGAGGATTGCCTCCTGGAGGTTGGAAGTTTGCTCCTGTGGCATTCACTTCTGTGTGGGCCCTCGCTCGACTCATGGGTGCTAGCTCTGGTTTTGTTATTAAATTGCTTGGACTTTGTTCTTTAAGTTACCTCATCTGCTATAAAAAGGATTTTAGATAGACTCTAGTGTATGGACAGAATCATCTGATTTTGCTCTTTGAACCCTACATTTTATGACACAAAACAAATTCGCAGTTAAGATAAAATACAATGCCTTTTAAGTAGTCTGCCTTTTATATCCTTATTTATTTGAACTACTTGATTTTGAGATTAAATAAGTTTCTAAAAGTTGAAAATGTGATGAGAAACATACCCAAAGATATTTCTTCAAGGGCATACATTACAGCGTTGCTTATAAAAAGAAAATGTCAGAAACAGAAGCCTAAATGACTATCAGCGGAAGACAGATATCCATTTATAATTCAAACAACAAAGCTATGCAAATATTAAAGTAGATGCATTGTGCTGCCATATGAAGACCTCCGAAGTACATTTAATGGGAAAAGAAAAAAGTGGCAGGCCAGTTAACATAAGCCCATCTGTGTTCAAAGGGGGAAAAAAGGGCTATACTTACATACGCTTGAATATGCAGACAAATCGAACTAGGGGTGGGCTGGGGAAAGTAAGCTCTTTGGAACTGCCTGAATTTTCATTAGTTGCATGCATTACTTTGTTTTTTACAAAAGCATAATGAAGACTTCCTTAATATTTCCTTGATTACAACTGAAATGTTTATCTTTGTTTCCCTTTACTTTCCTTCCTGAACAATCTTGAACAAGCAGTTAGGTAGGGCACAGCAAGGTAGGCTTTGCATGAAGGAGTAGCCTGATGTAGGGTGTTGAAGACCAAGCAGGGCAAAGAGGGCATCCGAGTGAGTGTGGGAAGGCATGGGGACTCACAGCCCAAGCAGAATGGGGAGGGCATCCTTACAGAGAGTCAGCTTGGTGTCAGAGCCCATATAAAAGAGGAGATGGCTCTATGGGAAGCAAGAGCCTAGGTGGGGTAAGGAAGATGTCCATACATGGGAGTGGCCAGGCATGGGGTGTCAGAGCCCAAGCTGGGTGAAAAGGATTTTCACACAAGAGGGTTGCTCAACAAGGGGAATCAGAGCCCAAGCGGGCTGAGAAGACATCAACATGGGAGAGATGGGTTGGGAAATTGGTTACAGTGATGAGTAAATATAATTATTATGGGGGCCTGGTTCCTTAGTCTTAGAAAGACAATACAAATACAGAAAGGGAAAGGACTAGGATGGATTCTGTGATGTTGGATTAAAAATCAGATATATTGGTATGAATTCATGAATTTCAATATATAGATAGAAATCAATATCTATTTCTATAGATAGATATAGCAATCAATATATGTAGAGATAATTATAGTTGTCTGGATATATGTAGATAGGTATAATTATGTGGTTATGTATTATATGTATACACAGACTTAAATTGGTACACATATAGATATATGTGTGTGTGTATATGTGTGCAGTTTTGTGTATGTGTTCCCTAGAACACACAGTATCCACTGAGAAGGCTTGTGAGCAACAACACACCAATATCAATGAGCACATCTAGCACCCAAATCTTGGCTTCTATATATAGTCTCCACTAGAAGGTTCAGGGTTTCTTGGAGGATTGACTGATATCTGGGCTAGGGCAGTGAAAGAAGAAGGTGAGCCTGGAACATCTTGTGCCAGAAAGCAAGGAAGTGCTCAGATAATGATTGGCACATGGCAGCACAAAGGCATTTCTGCCCACATCTGGGACAAGTTAAACATCAAAGTCAATCATGTTAGTGACAGATTTTAAGTCACTGAATAAAACAGGAAATGCGCGACCATGATGATATAAGTAAATTAATGAATAAGTTGATGGTTTGATGAAGAGTTGGACAGTTACATGGTTTCAAAGTGTCTCTCTCACATACTTATAAATTACAAAAGGGAAAAAAAGCAAAATTATAGTAGAGACATCTGGTAGATGGCACCTCATGCTAGTAATCAAAGTGAATATCATTGGTAATGGGACACAGAGAAATCATGTGCCACCTGATTGGATGCAATGGGAACACAGCATCCCTTCTGTGATTTTCTTGCTAAAGATTCAACACCTGAATCTAGATGTGAAGAAACATCAGACAAACACAAATTAAGGAAGAGTTAACACAGTAACTGTTTTTTATCTTAAAAGTATCAAGGTCATGAAAGTTTTAAAACTGCAGAGAACTGTCCCAGACTGAAGGAAACTGAAGAGACATTACAACTAGATGTAAGTTTGGTTCGTAACTGGATCTTTTCACTATGAAGGACATTACTGAAGCAACTAGGGAAACTTGAGTAGTGTCTGATAATTAGATATTGCATAGTAATATATCAATATTCATTTGCCTGTTCTAGTGTATGTATTATAATTATGTAGAAGAAAGTCCTTGTTTATGGGAAATACAATCTGGGGTCATGGGTCTCGGGTTGGCGATTTATTCTCAAATGGTTTAAGAAAAGAAGTTTGAGATAGTTTCATAACAAAAACTAAAATTTATAATGTGTAATATTGCATGAAAAGACAATTTTTATTTCTGTAAGCTTTGGAAATTTTCATTAAATAGGACTTTGTGTAAGTCTAGAGAGGTTTTAAAGAAAGAAAAACATTTCTACTGACTATCTTTTGTTATTTTAATGATATTAATGATTAAAGTCTAGAAAAATAAATGTTAAATTGTCACTTCATATATAAAAATAACTAAAGGCTCTCATTATTTGGCTTTAAAACAAGACTGTAATATACTTAGTCATTTTGGAAAAATGTTCCCCTTATATAGCTTACCTTTATATACAATATTACATTTTTATAGAGCAAATTCTAACAGAATATCTTAATATCAAATTCATATACACATATGAGATTTGTATGTTTATAAAATTCTAAAATAGCTGCTTTCCCAGCTGAATCTGCCAAGGATCCTACCTACTCTTTCCCCATCTCCACCTAATACTCTCTACCTTGCGCCCCAATCCCCGGCCAAATTAAATAGAACCCAGATGAATGAAGACAAGGTTGTTTCTGCTAAATGTGAGAACATGCAGGATATTTTCCTTGAATTGAATGTAACTACATTATTGAGCAGCTTGAGAATAAAAATGTATATGACACAGTCTCTGTCCTAAAGGTGTATGTAGTCATTGTCAACAACGTCAGCTGGTGGTTTGCCTTGATGAAAGAGTGAAGTTAACAAAAATATATTTCATTTTCCAGAGTCAAATGAAGATCACCCCAAATCCTCAGGTGCTGTATGCTGTACCCTGTTTTCAATACCCCAGATCCTCAGCTGCTGCACCCTATATTTAATCTAAAGGTCTTTTTGAAGTAACCAGTGATTATCCCAGAGTGGATATTGAAATAGAAGAGCAATGCATTAAATTGTAGAATGTTCTTCCCTGCTTGCCTCTGAATGGTTTTGAATTCATCTTCAGTACATTATTTTGGGCCTTTTATCACTGCAGTTTTTAACATAACTGAAGTCAGAGCTCATAGAAACCTTCTCTATATAATCATAAACTAAATATTTATAACGAGCAAATGATTTGTTAAATTTATCACTTACGTTGTTAATTTTACATGTATCTGAGTGAAACTGAGAGGTAAATCGGAAGGAAGAAAAATTAATCACTATATTCATTTTGCCTAAGTCTTAAAATCTTATCAGATAACATCTACATTTTGCATCATATGAATTAGGTTGGCTCCTCAACACAAAATGCTCTCTAGAACAATAGAGGGCTGTAGAATTAGTTCTACCCTGAGACTAGTGCAGAGCAAGCCTGACCCACTATGCTACATGGCACCTCTTGAACCAGAGGGCCTGAACCCTGAAAGTGGAACAGACCAGGGAAACTCTTTCCAAGTCCAGGCACTGGTATGTGGCAGTTTCAACAGTAAGTCGATACAAGAGCTCGGATGGGGAGCTGTTTGTAACCCATAGAAATATCTGCAACATCAATGAAGAGGAGGCTTATTTTAAATACATGGAAGAATGCAAATCAGACTTGCAAAAGATGGTGCTTGAATGTTTAAATATACATTTTATACCTTTTGTTTAAATTCATAGGGTGAAAAGCAAGATTTTACTTTAAGTGTGTGCATCTTTGATTTTATTTACATATGCAATTAGAGAGCGGTATGTGATACACACAAAGTCATCTAAACGGTTATTCTTGAACAAATCAAACTGGAATCCTGTCATGATTCTTTACCTTAAGTTTAAACCATTTTTAACAGCTTAACACCCTAAATGGATTTTTAGAACCTCAAATAGTCAGTTTAAGTCCTTATCTTACTATTGTAACGTTGATCATCGTACATTTCTAAACATTTTAAAAAACATATGGTGACTTAATTTTTTTATTAACTTTATTAATCCTGGCTTCTGCTATAGGGAAAGGAAATATAATGACACAGGAATGTCACCTTTTTGTGTGGCAATCTTTAAAATGATTATTTTCTGTGAGCAGTTGGGATTGGAGATTGTGTCTGGCAAATAGGCTTCTGCAGGCTCTCCCTTCAGCAATGTTTATCAGCTGCATGATAAGGAGTCAGTTTCTATGTAAATATAATCAGTATTTGATGGTGGTGAGGAAACCTCCTAGATTAAATGATTTTTGTGGTTCCTTGATTAACATACTTTATGAAACCATTACCATATGCACTACCGCTGCACATTTGGAAATAGCTCAGCTTCAAGTCTAAGGTCTTTCTAAAGAAATGTGAACTCTTAGAAGGAAAAAGTATGTGTGTGTGTACTCCTGTGACAAGGAACTCAAGATGCTGTATTTTGATACACTTGTATTCTTCCATCTAACATTCAACAATTAAGTGTTGAGTATTAACTATGTTTCAAGCCTGCTCTAAGCATGTATATACCACCCCAGCAGTCAGCATCTCTATCTGAATGGGGAGAGAAAGACAGCCATGAGATTAAAGGCTATTATTTTAGATCCAGCTTGTCCAACTCACGGCCCGCATGCAGCCCAGAACAGCTTTGAATGCATCCCAACACAAATTCATAAAGTTTCTTAAAACATTATGAAATTTTTATTTGCAATTCTTTTTAGCTTGCCAGCTATCATTAGTGTTTTTTATATACAGCCCAAGAAAATTCTTCCTTTTCTAATGTGGCCCAAGAAAGCCAAAAGATTGGACACCCTGTTTTAGATAGTGACAAAAGAGGGAAGAGTATGAGGCTTTTTTTGCTGGGTAATCAGACAATGTCTTTCTGCATTGACATCTGCTGAGACCTAGTTGATCAGAAGGAGTCAGCTGAGTGAAGCTACAATGAGTAATCCAGGGAGATCAAAGAGCAGTGCCACGGTCCAGAGGAGGGAATGAGCATGGATGTTCAAGGCATGTGAATTACACTGGGGCTGGAGCAGGAGGGAGTAGGAGCGGTGACTGCAGCAAGGTGGTAGGCAGGGGCGTAACGTTTAGGGCTCTTTATGTAGGGGCAATAGGGTTGCCAGATTTAGCAAATAACGATATGGGATACCTTGTGAAAATTGAATTTCAGATCAACAATGAAAAAAATTTAGTGTAAGTATTTCTACAGCAATACTTGGTATTTGGTATTGGATCTGGCAATTCTATTCTTTTTTTAAAATTATTATACTTTAAATTCTGGGATACACATGCAGAACACGCAGGTTTGTTACATAGGTATACATGTGCCGTGGTGGTTTGCTGCACCCATCAACCCATCATCTACATTAGGTGTTTCTCCTAATGCTGTTCCTCCCCTAGCCTCCCACCGCCTGACAGGCCCCGGTGTGTGATGTTCCCCTCCCTGTGTCCATGTGTTCTCATTGTTCAGCTCCCACTTATGAATGAGAACATGCGGTGTTTGGTTTTCTGTTCGTGTGTCAGTTTGCTGAGAATGACAGTTTCCCTTCTGTTCTTATTCTTATCATCCAAAGTGGAACACTTCTCAGTGAAGGGTGTGTTGTTGACAGCTCATCTAGGACAGTGGCTTTGCCTGGATTTGATTCTGGCAAACCAGGCTGTGTGATCATTGTACTTATGGAGTTTGAATTTCTGGAGGAAGTTATTGGAGAATTTTAATGGGTGATATATCATATTTAATCTCCTGTGACTGTTGTGTGGAGAGTAGACCCTACAATAGAGTAACTAACATCAGTTAGTTGGAGATGGGGTGAGTGAAGCCTATTGATGGACAGCGGTAAGATGAAGGTAACACTGGATTCTTCCTTTGTTATTGATTAGTGTTAGACCTGGTTGAGATTGGTGTATAAATACTACTGACCCGTCACCACACACACACACACACACACACACACACACACACCAATTTGCTTACTTTTAGAGGCCCCATGCTACATTATAGGAAATATATTTAGTTGCACAAACATCTCTATAAACATGTACATATAATTAAGAGCTGTCTTTCAATTGTCTAATATGCCCAGTGTTATGTTTTTGGAATGCTTAATTAAATACTTACTAATTCCTATGTTACAGTTTTCTCTGTATATTTTGCTACTCCTTTTCTTTCTCTTTCAGGTCTCAAGCCTTTTCAGAGATCCCTGAAGAGTTTGTAGAAACTCTAGAGCTTTGGGCCCATGATAGCTTTAAAGCTGGAATTCCAATGAGTCTGACTGTCTTCCTTACCCCATGCTTTTAACCATGATTTCACTAAAATATCTCTTTGCACTATTGAGTAAGTGTATCTTAGCTTATGATTTCAATGTTTCTTTTTCTTACTTAATGCTGTATTATATATGTTAACTAATATTTTGCAATCCTTGATGCCAGGAGTTCTCAAAGTGTGGTCCTTGGACCAGCATTACCTGGAAATTGTCAGAAATGCAAATTCTAGATTCCCATTCCAGACCTACTGAATCAAGAACTTGGACTTGGGCTGAGTAAGCTGTGTTTTTATAAGCTCTCCAGGTGATTCTGATGCACACTCAAGTTGAGAACCTGCTTTATAATAACTTTTTAATAGCTATGTAACATTGCAAAAGTTATCTAAATATGTATGTTTTTAATCATAGTTAAAATCATAGTTATCTAAATATGTATGTTTTTTACATTACATTTTGACATTACATTCCCTTTTTATGTTACATACAATGTTGGCAATAAAATTGTTCATATATATGGGGCTTTCTTCCACTTTTCAATTATTCTTTAGAGTAGAATGATTAGGGCAAAGATTATGACCATTTCTACGTCACCTTTTCTGTCAAATTTCTTTCTAAACACACATGTTTATATGCCTCTCCCAAAATATAGGCAAAGAAGTTTTCCTATAACCCAACCATCTTGAGGTAGTATCCTTTTAACATGAATAATTTAACTGATAATCTCATAACTTTAAAGTGATACCTTGATTCGGTTAGCATATTTATTACTAATAAATGAGAATACTTTTTCTCGTTTGTCTGGAATTTATATTCTCACTGTGTGAATTATAATTTTGCCTTTTGTCCATTTATTAGTCATTTTGTAGTTCTTAAAAATGAAGCACTTTACATATATATATGTATTGACACACTACTTATTTTCTTCTTACTCTTTTTGTAACATATTTATGTGAATTTGAGACAATATCGGCAGGGTACTTTTAATAATACATTTCATTCAGAAAGTGCATTTGTAGTTTCAAACTAGGGAATCCTGTCTATTGCACCTTAAAAAGTAGATCTTATACTCTCAAAATTGTCGGATTGGGCTAGTATCAGCTATGGAGACAAGTTGAACCAAACTCCCACAGCTTTCATACAACAAAGTTTTGTTTCTTGTTCATGTTACTTGTTCAGCATAGATCAGCAAGGTAGCTCTGCTATAGCATGCAAAGGCCCAGGCTTCTGGAAGCTCTACCATCTTGTAGCTGTGCCATGATAACACAGGACCTCTACAAAGGGTCATAGAGTGTGGAGGTAGCACAAGAAGCATTTTAAATGCCTTGGAGCTGCTCATTGCTGCTTTTAATAGGCCCAGTGGCCTGAAGTAGTCACATGACCTCAACCAACTAGAAGGGAGGATAGGATATATGGGAAAGTCACAAACATTTGGTCAGCAGCAAATGTCTGTGTCAATTGCTTTGATACTATGATGAATACTCTAGAATAATGCTATAATGGGTATTCTGGGCACTCATTCATTTATTCATTTACTTATCATATCAGGCAGTGTTCAGGCAGGGACAGAACCACTGCTCTTTATTTCAGGTGTGACAAAGTTAAGATAGGAGAGGTTTATACAAATGAAGCTCTGGGAAAGTTAAGGTTGGGGATGGCACAAAGAGATCTCTGCTGAAAGCTTTGAGGCAGGTGTTCCTGGAGAGCTTGCCCAGAGCCTACTGCCATTCTTCAAAGTCTCTGGAAAATTCCCACCAACTCTCTCTGTCTGCATTCATAAAGCACGTTTCTCATGGGCTCACCAGGAGCCTGCTGTGAAATCTCTGCCCACATGTCTGGCTGCAACTACCTCAAGGGAATAAAGGCTTCTCCTTCTCTTTCATCATCCAGATCTTACACACGTGCTTCTTCTTGGCCAACTCTAAGCCAGAATTACACATACAGGACAGCGGATTCAGGAATGTAGTCCCTAACATCTCCTCCGCAAAGTGGAAGAGACCTTAGAAGGCTGGTGGTAAGGCCAAGTTGGCAATAGACAAGCTGGCATACTTACTTATTTTCAGGGGGCAAATAGAAGAAACCCATAGTGCTGAAGGTAATGTGTATGTCTATATCTCCATTACACTCCTTTTTGAGTGAGGCCGTAAAGTTGACCTTTGCTATCATTAACTTGAATGACAGAAATATTTTATAGCACTAATTTGAAATAAGTTGTGGTTTTCTCTCAATTGGCTGTTCAAAAATTTTTAAAGCCACAATGTCAGAAGGAAAATAGGAATACTGCCTAGTCTTCAACTCTCAAAGAGATAAAAAACCTTCCTTTGTGGATATAACTAAACACAGGTGAAACAACTAGTGTTTAGCATAATATATAAACAGCATGAAATTTCCTGCTTAGGGACACAGAGAAAGGAACATGTGGATGAAAAAGCTACTATATTTAGAGCTCAAAATAGAAAAACATTTGCACTGCTTTGACTATAAAATATAACATCTCTTTTTTGCCTGGAGTTCAGACAGAGAAACAGAAACCACTCTTTGTATTTCAGGTATGAAAGATTTGAGGCAAATTAGAGCTTATTCAAAATTTAGAAACTCTGGAGAGGAGAGGTCAGGGATGCACTACTGAAAGTCAGGAGAGACAACACAGAGATCTTAGTCAAAGGCTTCAAAGCAGATGGGAGCCTACTACTAATGAGATAAAACAGCTATTAATGAAATAAACTAGCTGACAATGCAGTAAACTTGCAATTAACGGGATAAAATACTAACACTGAGCTGTCATGAAAACTCCACTGCAACAGAAAACATGGCATACTACGATGATGAAATAATTACAAGAACACCTCCCATCTTATTAGATTTTTTAAATACAGGGTTTAATAGGGAATATCTCTAGAGTGGCCTCTTGGATCAGCCCATAATTATCCCTGCATTGGATACAAATCACCCAAGACATCAGAAATGAATAAAATTTTCCTCTGGCATGGCAACTTGAGATTGACAATGGCTTCCCAGTGGACTGTGTTGAGAAGGATCCTGAGCTGCATCTGAGCTCAACACGAGAGTGCTTGGTCTGATGTGTAAACATTCCTGTGGTGTAGAGAGGGCTATGATTTGCCTTCCACATGTTTGTCCTCTCTAACTTCCCACTTTCATCTCCCTACCTTCCAAGTAGAAATGATTCTTTCCTGCTAGGTGCTATATGATATCAATTTAACATCTTTGTTCTTGTGTCTTTGATAGACTGCACATTACTATGCCTACTGTGCCTATACAACACAAGACATAATATGATTTTCAAGATAAATAATAGATTGCTTTGTTTCTTAGATCTTAAAAACCTTTTCATCTCTTGTACACGTGGAAAATCCTAGGGAGACCCACAGAGGGACCCCAGGGATCTTATCAAGATGGCAGAGTAAAGGTTTTGCCCCCTGTGAGACTCTCTATGATGAAAGTGAAGCCAATTTCTAACAAACAATATTATTAAATGTAAGGCTTGGTTCTTTTACCCTCCCCATGCTGACATTTATTATCTGCCAGAATCACAGCAAGCTACAATACCAAAGAAGTTGATTGGAGGTACTCAGTAAATAACATTTGATGAAAAGAAAATTAGGTGGTAAAGAGACCCTTGAGAAATTATAAAATAGCCTTCATGGCTTTCAGCCTATTCATCATTTACTAAAGCGTTGAATAATACAGCAGACCTAAGAACCAGCAGCAACCTGCTTCCAAATCCTGAAAATACTGAATCAAATGGTTGAACAGTACAGCTTGAGGAATTGTTCAAAGTTGACTCCAAATAACCTTTGATTAAGGAAGTAAAAAAGAAAAAGAAAAAGCTAATCTTCAAGTTTAACAAAAAGGCTTAAAAGACCCATGAAAAACAACATGAATTATTCAGGCTAGGGATATTGTGACTTGCCTTTTATACATAAAGGCTCAAATGTCTGATCACAAACCCAGTGCAAATATATTGATGTATATCAGTTGAGTGATGCTTGGGAGAGGAAAAAAGATGAGCCTGTCTTCCCTAGTGCCCTGGCTTTGTTTTCTGTAACAAAGTATAGTGAACTTTGAGTCCCAAACCTTTTTGTTATTGTTAGCAGAGAAGGGGCCTCAGGCAACAGACTTTTGTTGGGGCAAATAAACTCTTCTGGAAATGTCACCCCTAAATCACGTCTACATACAACCTCAGGTATCCAAATAGAACACAATAGTAAAATTGTACCTTTGTGTTTCTTCAAGGTCATGGCAGAATTGGTGAAAAATATTCTATCACTAGATGCTGGGCATGGTAACTTGTACCAGTAATCCCAGAAACTTGGAGGCTGAGGCTGAAAGATTGCTTGAGACCAAGAGTTTGAGACCGGCCTGGGTAACAAAGACCCCCAACTCTTTTTAAAACATTCTACCACTAGCTCTTGTTATCAAAATGTGTTTATTAGACCAAAGAACAAGTGACAGTCATCCTGTTGCTCTTCTGCTATAAAACCCCATCTCTTTCAGAAAGACTTCCCTGACCCTCTCTAGTTAACCCTGCTTCTAAGTACTAATAACACTTTGTATATCCTTCCATTTGCTGTTTCTAAGAGGCATTGTGTAGTGAAGAAAGCATGAGTTTTGCAACTAACCCAAATCCTTTCGAGCAAGCCACCTATCTTCTCTGACTCTGAGTTTCTTTGTCTGTATAAAAGCTTTCTGTGAGAGTCCATGAGATATAGTAGCAGCTGAATAAATGAGAGTATTTTGCTATCAGTTAGACCAAGAGGTCTTAGGAGTAGGGGTCCTGACTGAGTATGTATATCCCACACAGGATACCATCAGCTCCTTGCACCTAGGAAATAATTTTTGAATGAATGGTCTATCTGGCTCAGATGTCAATCCAGGTATCTAGCTGTCCTTTTTAGTGTGTTTCCATGTAATGCTAGACATTTGTCTCTTATAGCACTCTTTGTAATGTATTTCAGAATTTGTTTACATGTCATTCTGGTTCCCACAGGCAATTTCTTGAGACTTTCCTCTTTTATATCCAAAGTATCTGATACACGCAAGAGAGAGGAGGGAGGCTGGGTAAATAAGGAATTGGATAGTTATATGGGAAGCCTAAAAGCTTCAGAAGTTCATATACTAATGGAACATGTATTTTTATATTAGTTTGTTTGTGTTCATTCTACCATTATACTTAAATTACTATCTTGTTCATCTAGTCATCAAACACTGAATTCCAGTGTGCTCAGCAACATGCTGAGGGGTTCAGAGAAGAATTAGAGAAAAAGCTAGAATGTTAAGTGTACACTTTTACCCAAAGACTTTAAAGTTTACCAGGGGAAATCAGACATGGGATGCATGACAGAAATTACGAGTTCAAATGATGTTGCCCTTATGCTATAGACTGAATGTTTGTTTTCCCCTTAAAATTAGTATGTTGAAACCTAAGCCCCAATGTGATGATATTTGGAGATGGGCCCTTTGAGAGGTTGTTATGTCATAAGGATAGAGGCCTTGTGAATGGGATTAGTAACTTATAGAAAAAAGATCCCAGAGGGTTATCTTGCCCCTTCTATCACATGGGCAAGAAGATGGCCATCTAGGAAGCAGGATTTTACCAGACACCAAATCTGCCAGTGCTTTGATCATGGGCTTTGCAGGCTCCAGAACTGTGAGAAATAACTTCATGTTGTTTATGAACCACCCAGTCTATGGCATTCTCTTAAAGCAGCCTGAATGGACTAAGACACCCTCCTAGAAAGTCTTTACTGGGTTCTCAGGGATTCTCACTTCAAGTCCAACTCCTTACAATAAACTCTTGATTCTCCATCATTTTTACCTTAAACTCCTCTTTCTCTCTGCAATCCTTTCTAGCCACTGCAAATAACTCTCCTCTTCGCAAAACATAGCCTTTGTCTGAAAAACTCTCTTCCACCCCTCATCTGTGCCTTACTCAATCTTCTCCATATGCTTTAAAGCCGAGCCAGCCCAATGCCACTTCTTCCTTGGGACCTTCCCTTGGTCCCTAGTCCCAAACAATCTTTCCTTCCTTTAAATGTTTTAAATCTTCAAATATTTTCCTTCTTTAAGTACTGCCTACTTTCTGTTGACAGCAAAATGAAAGTGGAAATGATATTTGAGTTTTGCAAACCGAGATATGTCAGATGGTTAAGTCAATAAGCAAAAAGGAGGTGTGAAGGAAGGACTGGGTTTAGGTTGATGTGTTTACTTTGACAGAATGCTGGCTGGGACCAGGGGTGCCTGTCTCAAGCTCAGGAAAGGCCATGGTCAGTGGCATGGATTTGGGTCTTATGCAGAGACGTGCAAACAGAGTTGAAATGAATGGGCCTGACAAGAAAGAGAAAAAGCAGGAGACACAGCAATGAGAACTGAAGAGTGCCCATGTTTAAAGACTAAAAGAGGGAGAAGAAATCATAAATGAGATGAGGAAGGAGCTGTCTGCCAGGTAGAATTTTTTAAAACCTGGAGTTTATAGGGAAACGCAAAAGGGAATTACAGAAGTTAGAAAAAAAGGAAGATAGAAAAAAAAAAAAGCAAAGATGACTATATATCTACTATCTGGACTCCAGTCACCTGGTGTCCTTGAAACTTAGGACATACACATTTCTATTGTCATACCACAGCATAGTCATCCTCAGGTCATGGGTGCAACACAACCTCAAGGCCATAGTGAGGAGAGAGCAAGTGTTGACTGGAATGGGCTCTCACAGGCAGATCAGTGTAGAACTTTGTGTACACAAGTTAATATTTTTTGAAGGAAGCATTTTGGAGTTTGTAAGAGGAAATCATCAATACTAAGGGGAAAAAAATTAACATGACAATATGAAATTCCTTTATTAGTTCTTTATCCATGCTAGGTTTCTAGTGACACAAATAAACATGTTCCAGATTTTTTAAAAGGACTTTACTAATTACCATGGATAATATGTACAAGATACGGTTAAAGTATATCCAGTGACTCCAAATAACTCCTCAAAGTTGAGATGCTGCAAGATCAAAAAGAGGCGAGAAAAAGGAAAGAGAGATGAAAGAAACTTCATTCTCAGGTTAAACATCTGATTGACAAGTGTTGTATTGGAATTTATATAAGTGAGTCAACTGACTAAATCATCTGCTCAGAGAGCTTCTGGAAGTCATAGCAGCAAATGTGCTAATTTGAATGTTTAATTGTTTACTCTTGTAACTCATGTGAGATAATTGCCCGTAGAAGATAAAGATTGATGTCTGTGAGAGAAGGACAAAAATGGACTTTGAACCACAGGCTTCTAGTGTGTTCTTAAATGAGAAAAACTAGCCTTCTCCCTCATTAACCAGGAAAGGCTCACTGAGAAAAGACCGAGACAGATGTACAAAGTCCCAAAAGGGAATAGAGTGGATTGGGCAGCAGGTATGAAAGATGGAGATTTAGATGACACTGCTTGGACAAGCCACAAACCCTTGAGAAGAAGAGGGACCTAGATGTTAAAAACAGTGATGAGACACATGGAAAGATGCTTAGCATCATTGATCACCTAAAAAATGCAAATCAGCCCCACAATGAGATACCACCTCACACCCAGTAAGATGTCTACTATCAAAAATAAATAAAAGAACAAGTGTTTGCAAGGATGTAGAAAAATTGGAACCCTTGTGCACTGTTGGTGGAAATATAAAATGTTGCAGCTGCTATGGAAAACAGAAATGACGGTTCCTCAAAAGATTAAAAATAGATTTACCATATGATCCAGCAATTTCACTTCCATCCACTGACAAACAAATGGATAAACAAAATGCAGTATATGCATACAATGGAATATCATTCAGCTTAAAAAGGAAGGAAATCCTGGCACATACTACAACATGGATGAACCCTGAGGACATTATGCTAAGTGAAATAAGCCAGACACACAAAGACAAATACAGTTATGATTCCACTTACATGAGGTACCTGGAGTAGTCAAACTCATAAAGACAGAAAGCAGAGGAGCAGGGGCCAAGAAGGTGAGAATGGGAGTTGCGCTTAATGGGTATAGAGTTTCAGTTTCACAGAATCAGAAGAGTTCTGGAGACTGGTTGCACAACAGTGTGAATGTACCTATTTCTACTGAACTGTATACTTAAACAAGTGTCGAAGATGGTGAACTTTATGTCATGTATAATTTACCACAATTTTGACATTTTAAAAAATGATGATAATACATGTATTCATTCATTTGACAAATCTTTTAGTGCCCACTAAGTGCCAAACACTGTTCTGCTGTTGGGGAGCACTAGCAAAAACTCAATATACAAAAAAACCTTACCTTCATGAAGTCGACATTCTAGTGAAATAAGACAAACAAAATGAGTAGAATAAACTATATTCAATGGAAGAAAGTGCTATGGAGAAAATGAAGCAGAAAGTGGAAGGGAAGGAAGATCCAGAGTTGCCAGAATTTGGGGTGGTCAGGAAGGCCCCACCTCAAAGGCGACATTGAGCAGAGGTCTGAAAGTGAGGGAGTGAGGCATGAAGGTGATGGCAGAGAGAGGGGTTCACACAGAAGGAACAGCACTGCAAAGGTGGGAGCCTTCCACTGTGTTTCAGGAGCTGCAAGGAGGCCAATGAGGCTGGAGGTGATGGAGGGTGCAGGTGAGGCTAGGGGATTAGGAGACCAGCAAGGAGACCCATGCAGTAATACTGAAAAGAAATGTTGGTGGCTTCGATTAAGGTGGTAGCTGTGAAGAGAGAGTCATCCTCAAAGTAAGTGAACAGGGTGTGTTGATGGATTAGGTGGAAGAGTGCAAAACAGAGAGGAGTCAAGAATGACTCCAAGACAGAGGTGATTTTGCACCCCACGGCACACATGTCAACATCTTAGAGACAGTTTGGATTGTCACAGTCAGGGAAGGGAGCAGTCTGCTACTGGCATCTGGTGGGCAGAGGCCAGGGATGCTACTAAAGAGACCAGAAGGCACAGAACACCCCTCACAACAGGGAACTGTCCTGCCCAAAATGTCAATAGTGCTGAGCTGAGAAAGCCTGCTTTAAGGTGTTTGGCATAAATAAATAGAAGGATAAACAACAGAGAAAGCCAGACTAAGGTGATTAATTTGAGGTCAGGCTTAAGATTGAGAAACAAAGGAGAATAAATATTGTGCACCAAATACATACCTGCCACTGTTCGAGGAGCTGAGGATACAGCAATGACAAACCACTGCTGTATTTTGTAGGAGGGCAAAAATGCCTGTCCTTTAAAGCTGAAGTTCTAGTCTATCATTGGTACATATTAAAAGTGGTTCCAATATAAATTTTATTAATATTCACACTGCCTCAGGGACTCTGCTGAGCACATTGGATAATCCCAGCTAATTGTCATAACAGTACTATGTGGCATGTTTTGGCCTCCTGATATGTAGGAAGGAACATAGATGGTTTAACCACTGGCAGTACACAAGGAAACTTGGATTAAACTAAGATCTGTTGGACTCTGAAGCTCAGGGCCTCAACAGTGCGCCATGCAGTCTTCCGAATTCACTGTGTTGCCAAGGAAAGCCAAACAATAGAGACAATGTAAGCAACAGATGTATATGTATATCATTATATATATATATACATATATACACATATAAATATGTATGTCTTTATATTTTAATATGTATTTTCCTTTTACTTTTTTTTCCCAAACACAAGTCTAGCAACATGGAAAAATAATCTGCTGAATTGCTTCAACACTTAACTTCCTAGAACAGTAAAAATGGCGAGAGATTCCTGACACCAAAGATATGGCATCTTGCATCTGGTTGACCTATTTGGGGAGTGGGTAGCAGAGGGATTTTAGAGCTCCTTCCAGTGTCTATATTTTTCTGGTCTCCACTTACTCCCCAAAGCCTACAGACACTTGTGTAATTTCCAGATTTGCAAGAGAAATGATTTAAGAACAAACCAGAGCTGATCTTCTAGGAACTCAGATACACAGCCCATGCATGCCTGTGTTGCTGCTTGTTGACTTTGGGGTGGGGGCTAGAAAGTGGTTGGAAGAGAGGGAAGCAGTGAGGCCTGCATGAGACAGAGGACCATGCCTAATGTGCCATCAGCCTCCAGGCTGAAAGACAAAGGGGAAGGGACCCCTTCCGCAGTGACAAAGGGGCAGCATTTCTATCCATCTGAATTTGCACTCCTTGCCAGGACTTTTGAACTATGTTTAGAGAGAAATGAAAGGAAATAGCAGGCAAGAAAAAGAATATTGGATGCTCTCCTTTTTTTGCCGCTATACTATATGTTTTCAGATTAGTGACTATTTCTTAATTATTTCACTCTGGTTTTATTTTGCTATACATGTTTTGAATTATAGGAAATACTGGGCAGACAGGGCTGAGTTTTAGAGCACATGTTAAATTCCCATGATCATTTTAGGTCGGTGATTGATTTGGTTTTTGCACTCCCCTTTTAGCCATACCTGGCATATAGTAGACAATGAATTAATAAGGCACTAAATTTAATAAGTCTACCAATACTGTATCTACTTGAAGGCTTAGTTCCCATCTCACCCCCTCCGTGGGATCTTTGAGGACTGCTCCATTCACACAAGTCCCTCCCTCTGAATCCCATCATACCTATAGCATGTGCTGCTCATTCATTCAGAAAAAAATTTTATTGTGCACTAAATATATACCTGCCAGTGTTAGAGGAGCTGAGGATACAGCAATGACAAAATACTGCTGTCTTTGTGGGAAGGCAAAAATGCCGGTCCTTTAAAGCTGAAGTTCTAGTCTATCATTGGTACATATTAAAAATGGTTCCAAACACTGGTTAAATTTTTGTGTATATCATTTGTCTCTGCAAGTAAATTGTATATTTTTTTAAAGCAGAGACTTATTCTGTGGTTACAGTTTTGGGATTTTTCTTTTTTGTTGTTGTTGTTGTTGTTTTGTTTTGTTTTTGGTACCCTGTGCTTTGAATAATATGTCTTCTGAATAGTAGGAGCTTTTTAAACATTTCAGAATTTGAGAACAGAAGCGTTCTCAAATCCTGCCAATAATACATTCATTGGCAGTTATTTTTAGTGGTGCCCGATCTGGATAGGTGATGATTGCCACTGTAGTTAGCAACTTAAAGCATTCACAAATGATGGGGTCACAAAATAAACCGCACCTTCTCAAGCATGAGAAAATACTGTGCCTAGATGGGAAATATTACAAGTCACTAGTTAATGGAAGATCTATGTTTGTGCTCATTGTCGTGTCCTCATTTCTTGTAACTTCTATAAACTGGTTCTATTTTTTAATTTCTTTGACAAATAAAAATTATGTAAATCTATTGTGTATAGCACATTATTTTGAAGTATATATATATATAGTGGAACGCCTCAATAGAGCTAATTAACATATGCATTACCTCACATACTTATTTTTTTGGAGGTGAGAACACTTAAAATCTACACTTTTAGCAATTTTCAAGAATAACAAATGTGTTGTTATAAAATATAATCATCACGTTGTTCAATAGACCTCTTGAATTTTTTCCTCTTAACAGAAGCTTTGTATCCTTTAATCAACATCTCCCAACCCTCTCCCCACTTCCCCCAGCCTCCAGTAAAAACCATTCTTCTATAAATCTACGAGTTCAACTTTTTAAGGTTCCACATGAGTGAAATTACACAATATTTGTCTTTCTGCGCCTGGCTTATTTCACCTAACACAATGTCCTCCAGGTTCATCCATGTTGTTGCAAATGACAGGATTTCCTAATTTTTTAAGGCCAAATAGTACTCCATTGTGAATATATACCACATTTTTTAAACTTTTAAAATTTATTTTATATTTCAATAGTTTGAGGGGAACAGGTGGTGTTTGGCTACATGCATAGATTCTTTGGTGGTGATTTCTGAGGTTTTGATGCACCCATGACTTGAGCAGTGTACACTGCATCCAGTGTATAGTCTTTCATCCCTCACCCACTTCCCACCCTTTCCCCCAAGTCCCCAAAGTCCGTTGTATCATTTTTGTGCCTTTGCGTCCTCATAGCTTAGCTCCCACTTTTGAATGAGAAGATATGTTTGATTTTCCATTTCTGAGTTACCTCACTTAGAATAATGGTTTCTAACTCTATCCAGGTCGCTGTGAATGACATTATTTCAATCCTTTTCATGGCTGAGTAGTATTCCATAGTATATATGTACCACATTTTCTTTATCCACTCATTGACTGAGGGGCATTTGGGCTGATTCCATACTTTTACAATTGTAAATTGTATATACCACACTTTTAAGTCCATTTATCCACTGATGGACACTTAGATTGATTCCATATCTTAGCATTTGTGAATAGTGCTGCAATAAAAATGGGAGTGCAGGTATCTCTTTGACGTACTGATTTCATTTCCTTTGTATATGTTGTCAGTAGTGGGATTGCCAGATCATGTGATAGTTCTATTTATAATTTTTTTAGTAACCTTCATGCTGTTTTCCATAATCCCTGTACTAATTTACATTCCTACCAAGAGTATGCAAGCATTCCCTTTTCTCCACGTCCTCACCAATATTTGTTATGTTTTGTCTTATTGTTAATAACCATTCTAACAGGTGTGATGTGATATTTCATTTTGGCTTTAATTTGCATTTAGCAGATGATTAGTGATATTAAGCATTTTTTCATATACCTGTTGGTCATTTGTGTGTCTTTTGAGAAACATCTATTCAGATCCTTTGCCTAGCTTAAAATCAGGTTACTTGTTTTCTTACTATCGAATTTATGTGTAAGTCTTTATATATTTTGGATATTAACCCCTTATCAGATGTATGATATTAAAATAGTTTCTCCCTTTCTATAGGTTGTCTCTTCACTCTGTTGATTGTTTCCCTGACTGTGCAGAAGATTTCTAGTTTGATGTAACCTCATGTATGCTTTTGTTGCCTGTGATTGTGGTCATATACAAACAAATCATGCCCAGTCCAAAGTCACAAAGCTTTTCTCCTATTTTTTGGTAGTTTTCTAGTTTCATGTTTTACATTTAAGTCTCCTATCAACTTTTAGTTGATTGTTGTATAACGTATGAAATAAGGGTCCAATTTTTGTCTTTTGCATGCATGTGGATATCCAGTTGTCCAAATACCATTTATTGAAGAGACTGTTCTTTCCCCATTACATGTTCTTGGCACCTTTGTCAAAAATCATTTATTTCTGGGCTCATGTATGATTGGTCTATGTATCTGTTTTTATGCCAGTACCATGATGTTTTGTTTATTATAGCTTTATAGTATTTTTCGAAGTCAGATAATGTGATGTCTCCAGCTGTGTTGTTTTTGCTCACAATTGCTTTGGCTGTTCAGAGTCTTTTGTGGTTCCCTATAAAAGTTAGAATTTTTTTCTGTGTCTGCGAAAAATGTCATTGAAATTTTGATAGGGATTGCATTAAATCCATAAGTCATTTGGGGAATATGAACATTTTAACAATGTTAATTCTTCTAGTCCATAAACACAGGGTATCTTTCCATTTATTTGTGTCTTTTTCAATTTCCTTCCTGAATGTTTTATAGTTTTCAGTGCACAGGTCTTTCACATCCTTGGCTAAATTTATTCCTAAGTATCTTTTTGTAGTTATTCCACAAAAAATATTGTTTTCTTGATTTATATTTTGGATGTTAGTTATTAGCATATAGAAATACGACTGATTTTCATATGTTGGTTTTGCATCCTGCAACTTTACTGAATTCATTTATTAGTTCTAATAGTTTTTTGTGGAGTCTTTAGGGGTTTTTTTACATATAAAATCCTGTTTTCTGAAAACAGGGACAATGTAACTTCTTCCCTTCTAATTTGGATGCGTTTTATGTCTTTCTCTTGCCTAATTGTTCTGGCTAGAACTTCCAATACTATGTTGAATAGAAGTTATAAGCCAGTTCTGTATCTGAAAAGTGGATATTTAACAACCTGGCGATGAAGCTATTCATGTCATATGAGATAACACCTTGTGAAAGTACTTCATGAAAACACAATGTGCTGTGATTATCATGAGCAGATGGCTTTGAGCATGGAAAAGCCAGTGGTTACATGGCGGTTCAGGTAACTCCTTTCATGGAGAACTCTTGGTCTAAGAGGTGCTGCTTAGGAAAAACAGAGAACCATTTGGAAAGCTCAAACCTCAATTTGACCTAATTGGCTATCTATGAGCTGTGATTTGAGGAAAGAGTTCCAAGGGAAGGCCACCATTACCATCCAAAATAAATTCCCCATCTGCATGCTGATCCTTTAGATAGGGCACTTTAAAGACTTCCTTCATACCTGAGACCACAGTATTCTAGATAAATTCATGCTTTGTAATTTAGTCCTTGCTTATACTCATATCTGTGTGTGTGTGTGTGTGTGTGTATCTTGAGCAAATGCCAAATTCATTTCTTGTATCAAATAGAATTTTCTGCTTGTAGTTATCTGATATATATTTTCTGCCAAAAACAAATTATCTATATTAAATGATATAGATATCTATATTATCTATATATAGATATGATATAGATATCTATATTATCTATATCTAGATATGATATAGATATCTAGATATGATATAGATATCTAGATATGATATAGATATCTAGATATCTAGATATGATATCTAGATATCTAGATATCTATATAATAGATAATTATATCTATATTAAATGATAGAAATTATAAGTTTAGCCTTTAATACTAAACAGTATATTTAGTGTAGAGTGTTGGGAGTTAACTATATAAAGGAGATATGTAAAGGTTTCCTTTTTCTTAGTACTTTATCCAGATAAATATCCTAATTCAGATTTTACCAATTAACAGCCCCAATTTTTTTTTACTTCATCTAACCCATAATAACATATTCAAATTTAATTTAGCTCAAAAATTTTTGTTGAATACCAGCCCATGACCAGTGTTAGGTGGCAAATAAGTAAGATGACATCCCCCAAAATAAGTGTGATGAGAATCCTATCTACTAAGAGAGACTCAAATGATGACTTAATAAATATGGAATCCCAAAAGTCCATAAAAACTAAATTATCAGGGCTATCATTATAAAGAAATCATCTTACTTAAAACTAATCTGTACTTCTTATAAAGCAAATTATGTAACCCTTGTATTTGTGAGTTGTTATGCTGATTTATTTTCAGGTCAAAATGTCGGGAAAAGGTTAAGTATGTAAGATTTTTTTGGAAGTTGTCTCCTCTTTATTCCTGTTCCTGCGACACTTTGCCCACACTTTAGCTATTGTACTTATCATATTGCACTGTAATTATTTGTTAAATAAATGTTTTAAATTATTTATCCAGTCTCCCCCACCAGACACTGAACTTCTCCAGGCCAGAGTCTGTGTTTCTTCTTTATGTTCATCTTTGTGTTGTAGAGAACAAGACATAAGATGTTTTCCTCCTTCACTGCTAGGTTCATGGCTGAGACTTCTACAAAAAAAAAAAAAAATACATATGAGCAAGTTTTATATGACGTGAGAGTTTTCAGAAATGAAGAACCAAAGAAACAGGAAAACTTGTGTATTTTTATACTTAGGTTTAATGAAGAGTAGACAGCCATACAGAAGTATGATTGGACAAAGGTATGATCTAATCGGAATTAACTGGGGGCAACTTGTAAGGCCTATTTGTTCAGATTCTTCTTGGCATCTCTATGTCTTCATTCCTTCCTCCAGATACAGGAAAGATGTCTCTGGAATGAGGGTCTTATGACCTACTTTAAAGAAAGATCAGATAATTCTTTTACGACCTGCTTCAGAGGAGAACTTTGGGAGGAGGTCAAAGAGAACTTCCTGCTTCTGCTTTTTTCTGAAACATCAAGAGGCCATATTTTGGAATGGCATGTCCTAAACTCTGTCCGTATCGATAGTATCTAGTACCGTACTTGGCACAAAAGAGGGCTCACTGAATTTTTATCAAATACATACTTCAAATGTTCTGTGCAGTTTCTGAGTTCCTATCTATCAGTAAGAGTTCAAATCATAATTCAGCTCTTTCTCACTACAAGGACAGATTCAAAATGCAAAGATTGTTTTCCCACTTCTTAAACCTGGATTAGGCTTTTGAATAAGAATTTGTTGGTTTATGTGTGTTGCATAGAATTATCGTACGTGAAAATAGAATTTTCCTCTGACAATATCTTCATATATTCAAAATGCAATGTCGATCTTACATCCATTTTATGTTTTCCTTGTGGTTCTTTTCTCATCTCTTTCTCAGCGTCCCATATGTATAATAATAGAAATCTTTTCTTATTCACCTTCATATGGCTTCCTGAAGCTTCACTGCCTTTAGGAGTACATTTATATTCAGAGGCTCCAATGGTAAATAATTTCAGCAGGATGAGGCTCTTTAGTCCTATTTTGTATCTAAACGGCATGCTCAACACTATCTTCAGCTATCTCTTGAGAATCCAATTTCCTAAGGTTATATGCCTGCAACTGAGTGGAAATTTTCAAAACCTAGAGTTCAAAGTTAAGTAGCAAATTCAAACAAAGCCCAAACAATCCAGCCTGAGACTGATTTGTGTGGCCATAAACAGCAACAAAATCTTCCAGTGGCTATCAATATACTAACTGTGATTATGGGTTAGCAAATTCATCCCACTCCTCTGGCTCTAAGCATTTGGAGGCTAAAACAGAATTTTTAGAGAATGTAACAGTCCTCACAACTAAAGCAACCAAAGAATGATAGCAGATATCCATGCAACTATTAGGTATCAAAACTGTAGGACACAATATTAGGAGAAATTAAGTTGCAATTCAAAACTCTGTTACTGAGACAGTACAGCTAATAGGGGAAACTTTGAGTCACTAGCTGCTAGCTAACTTGACCAACATGCCAAGGTCAGCTGTTGTTGTTGTTTTAACCTAAACCATTCTATTGTCCGTGAAATATGGAGATGAGGAAATAATCATGATTTCTTTTTTGGTAAATATATTGGAAATTTTTTTTAATGAAGTATGTAAAACACCCTTATGCTGCTGATTTCCTGAATTTTCTAGCTAAGAGCTCATTCTAAAGTTACTAACTGATCAAGGCACTTTGTATAATTTCTTAGAAGCACTCTCACTACCTACTGGATTTTAAAAATACTTTTTTGGAGAATCATACCTTTTTTCCTTGTGTTCTTAGGAAGCATATCTGCACGACTGTCTGTCATAGCTGAGGGACCTATAAGCTTTTTATTATCCACATCACTCTTAGGGATTATTAATCAATTCTCATGCATATGTTTTGTTGAAAACTCTCAGTGCTATAATGATAATGGGTTAATGGAGATGCTTATTTCTGGGTCATGCATAAAGTTAGAGCCAACACTGTCTGCCCTCCAGAGTAATCTTTGCAGATAAATACAGAAATTGTATGCCACAAGAAGCCAGTTTTCATTCCTGAAAATCCAGGATGAGATGTAAACCAAATGAATGTAAATGAATCCACTAATATCAACTTTCTCCAGTCCTACACCCCCTAGCCAACCCTTAAACTACAAACAAAACGGAGGCAAGAAAATAAAAACTCAGATAAAATAAATATTTAATAAGGAGATTGCATCAGAAGTTTGAACCATCTATATAATTAGAGATAGAAGAAAATATGCCATTGCTATAGTTCTTACCCTAGACATTACGGGTCTCGTTAGCTATTTCTCTCTGAAAGGAGCTTGACTTTAACTGTGCACAGCCCAAAGTCTTAGTTGGTCTTCTCGGCTCAAATGCTCCTGTGGAAAGGACTCTGCTGCCCTCTACTGTCAATAAAAACAGAAGCCACAAACAGAACTGACTTCAGCATCTGTGCATGAGACAATTGGAGTCCCAGCTCCCAGGAAGGCTAGACAAGTCAACATCCCTTCCTAGGGAGAAGGCCCTTGAAAGGATCCTTAAGCTGCAAGCGAATCCTCAACTTAGCTGCCAGATGCAGTCCCAATGTGGAGGTGCTAAGGCAGGTTTTGAAATTCCAAGGCCAAGAGATGAAACAGTCCATCAAAGTGGACTTTTTTTTTTTTTTTCTAATTGGTTATTCATTCATTACCCAAAAGGTTGGTTACAGGAAAACACAAAAATCTACTCCATTCATCTCTTCATTTATTTCCACTATAATATAAAGAGGGCATTGACAGAGACAGAGGACATGATACCAGTTTGTTTTTTGTTAGTTTGTTTAAACCTTAGCTCACTGCAGCCTCGAACCCCTGGGCTCAAGCAATCCTCCAGCCTCAGCCTCTGATGACAAATGTGCACCACTCCACCCGTCCCCAATTTAACTGCTCCAAAGAAAAATAAAGCACAAGAAAGATAGAGACACTGTCTACATAGATTGGATAGGGGATGTTCCTCTGAAGAGATCAAGAAGGAAAGGAATAAATAATCCTGAGAAAGGACATTCCTGGCAGAGGAAGAGCAACTGCAAAGGCCCTGTGTTAGGAACACGTTGGGGCTGTTTTAGGAAGAGTAAAGTTGGTAACTGAAGTGTAGTGACTGGGAAAGTAAGAATGAGGCTGGAAAAGGTCAAATTATGTCCAATAGACATATACTATGAGTCACATATACAATTTTAAACTTTCTAGTAGCCACATTTTAAAAAGTAAAAAGAAATCAGTGACATTAATTTTAATAACACATTTTATTTAACCCAATATATCCAAAATGGTTGTCATATGAATATGTAGCCAATATAAGAAATACTAATGAGGTAGTTTACTTTTTTTCTGTACTAAATCTTTCAAATTTGCAATGTATCTTACACTTATAGCACACCTCAGTTTGACCACTTGCAAAGCGCTCGACAGTCAAATGTAGCTATGGTTACATTTTTTAAAAAAAATTTTTGTCCTAGGTGCAGTTGAATATTTCAGTTCTTTTGTAGTTTAAGTCAATTTTATTACACTGTTAAAACAAACTAAACATGGCCTCCGTACTTCTATGTTTGAGTCCTTGTGGACAAACTGCAACCTAACTTAATAGATAGACAAGATTGAAACTCTAACTTATCAGTATGCTCCTCTAACAATTGCTGAGTCTTGGCCAATCCCAGCAGCCGTACTTCAACCACTCATACACTGCTGAGTGTTCAAACTGTGATCAAATAAGGCAAATCCTAAGCTGTAACCAATCCAGCTGTTTCTGTACCTCACCTCCAATTTCTGTTCGTCACTTCCGTTTTTCTTGTCTGTAAATTTGTTCTGACCACGAGGCATCCCTGGAGTCTCTCTGAATCTGCTGTGATTCTGGGGGCTGCCCGATTCACAAATCAATCATTGCTCAATTAAACTCCTTTAAATGTAATTTGGCTGAAGTTTTTCTTTTAACAACACATACTTTGGAAGTGACTCTTAGTGGTGATCACCAAATGATTTCAATTGAATTTTAGTGAAGAATAAATGAGCAAGAGACCAAGCAGCTCAAAGGAGGCTCCAGCTGGGCACGGTGGCTCACTCCTGTAATCCCAGCACTTTGGGAGGCTGAGGCAGGCAGATCACGAAGTCAGGAGTTTGAGACCAGCCTGGCCAACATAGTGAAACCCCATCTCTACTAAAAATACAAAAAATTAGCTGGGCATGGTGGCAGGCGCCTGTCATTCCAACTACTTGGGAGGCTGAGGCAGAAGAATCACTTGAACCGGGGAGGCAGAGGCTGCAGTGAGCCGAGGTTGCGCCACTGCACTCCAGCCCGGGCAACAGTGTGAGACTCCTTCTCAAAAAAAAAAAAAAAAAAAGGAGGGGAGGCTCCAAGTTCACTTGCAGTCAGCAAGTTGGGTTTTGTTTTACTTTGGGGAATAAAGTGAGTGGAGTTAAGTTAAATATGACCTTGGAAGGTCTAGATAGGAATTAATTCCACCTAGAGCTTAGTAGAGGGCATTTATGGAATGCTGAGGGGAGGGGGCCGGAGGTCAAATGTGAATGAGTGGGGTCCCCACCAACATGGACACAACACAAACACTGCTGCCCCTGCTTCAGCCAGCCCCATTCTCAGAGGCTGTGCGGTGCAGTCGTTAGGAGCTTGTGTGCCGGAACCTGATTCCTGGCTTTGACACTCAACAGCTATGTGACCTCAAGCAGCGTTCTCCAGCTTTTGTGCCTCAATTTTCTCATTTGCAATGCAAAGTAGCTGTGAGGATTAAGTGAATTAATGTCAAGTGTTCAGAACAGTGCCCGGTGTTTAATCAATGTGCAATAATGTTAGCTCTTCCTGTGGAGTATCTGTTGTCCACCACTGTAAAATCTTCTGGGGCCTACCTCTCAACCCAACCACCACTTGGTGACGATCCTACTGAAGGCTTCAGTAGGCTTTACCCAGGTACACTTGCACAGCCTTCCACTTGGGCCAGAGCCCTGTACCTTTTGCTTTCAGTCTTGTGGCTCTGTAGAAGCCACAGCATGGGATACCCTCGGGAACCGGCTTGGCACTCACAGTTTCTCATGCTAGAAATACAAAGGATTTAATCCAATAGACCATCTTTGACCTAGTGGAAAAGGAGACAAAAGACAAATGTCTCCCCTTGTGCCAGTAGATAGGCAGTTCTGAAGTGGGTTTTATGAGGTTCTCAGAAGGTCCAGTGGTATTAAGCACCAATTACCTACAGATGAGGCCAACACCTTGTATAAACTTTCCTTCCTTCCTGTTTCTCTCCTGCTATCCTGTACTTCTGCTTTCTGGGATCACATTCCCAAATAAACTACATGGAATCCAGCCTTCATCTCAGGCTCTGCTTTCAGAGGAACCCAAGATAAGACACTGTTTTTTTTTTTTATTTTCTTTGCTGTGTCTTTGAGAAATGCCTGCGCAGTTATTCATATAATATATCCATTACAGTATGGTCTTGTCCCTTTACTTGTCCTTATCTATGGTATCTCCAATTTCATTCCTTTTATTGGTTCCTTCCCTGGTAGTCTACAAACATCTGCAAACTCTCTGTGTCCTACAGAGACCTTCTCCATGAAGTCACAGCCCAGTTTCTTGAAAGAGGAGCCTGCACTCACTGCCTTCAGTGCTCATTCACTCCATCACCCACTGTGGTCTGGCATCCTTTGCCTCTGAAGCCATTCTTGTGATTGACCTGTTAAGTTACAATTCCAGTTACCTTAGAAGAAGTAAAGTAGAACTGCCAAGCTGTGGCAGGCAAGTTATTCAATATTGTGGAATGTATTCTGCAGAGAGCTTTGTGAATGACAGTAATAAATATGGTAACATTAATTAACATGTAATGAGCACTTATAATAGTCTAGGAATGATACTAAGTGCTTTACATGCATTCTTATTTAATCTTCAAAACAAGCCCATGAAGCATGAATTATTATTATTCCCACTTTGTAGTTGAGAAAATAGATTGAGAGTAAATCATCTGAAAACACACAGCTAGCTAGTGCAGAGCCAGGACTTAAATCTGGGTCTGTCTCCTGAGATGCTAAGCGCTTACTGAGCTCACTAAAACCCTCTTTAACTCTGACTCTATGTGCTTGACCCCAGCACTAACACTGTAGACCCCCACCGTGAGATACAGATTTTCTTTCATTAAAAACAGAAGTTAAAAGAATCGTATCATGTAGTGACAGAAAGTAAATTAGAGGTTGCCTAGGGCTTAAGGAGTGAGGGGAAAATGGAAAGTGACTGCTAATGGGTATAGGGTTTCATTTTGGGGTTATGAAAGTATTCCAAAATTGATTATGGTGTTAGTTGCACACCTGTAACTGTATGTATATGCTAAACACCACTGAACTGTACACTTCAAACAGATGAATTGCATAGTATGTGAATTACACCTCAATAAAGCTGTTACTAAAAGCGGGAGGAGATCCTATTAGAGGTATTTAGCTTATCTGACAACCAAATACAACACATATGCAGTGCAGGAAGCAGTGGATAACACCCTGCTATTTATCAAATTCACAGTCAGCTATTGTTCAAAAAGTGATGCTTGATTTTCACTTGCATGTACTTGTGGGATGCAGGATTTGGGGTTCCAAGAGGTGTTCCCTTTCAGACCATTGCCTATCAGGCACAGGGTCACTGAAAGCCATTAGCTAGAAAGCATGCAAGCAACTGCAGGTGCAACCAGACTCTTCTGATTTTTTTTTAAAAAAGGGAAGAAAGATCATGAACACCCTGAAAGTAGCACCAGATCATTTGAATGCCTACCAGTGACATTGATGGCATTAATTAGGGGACCACATCCAGATGTCTTAGGCTATTTTGATGACCACACTACCTCCCGACATAAGCTTATTGTCCTAAATTATTATTATTATTAATTTTTAAAAAAGGAGTTGAAGTGCTGTTTTGTTTCACCACCAGAATGCTGTTCTTTCCCTGACAGTAGATGTTGACTGTTGTGAAACCACATGTTGGGGAAGATGGCTTTGAGGTTTGAAAAATTTGGATTCAAAATGAACCTTGGTTCACTAGGGGAGGGGCATCAAGAAAAGAAAGATGACCAGCTGGGCAAGACCATTAACTATATGTTTCTGCTGACCCTATTACTTCAGGAACTTGATTAATTTCTCCCTAAACATCAGACCACAGGTGAATTGCCTAATTCTCCCCACCTGTGACCTTATTAACTCGTGATTGCTCAGAGGTACCTCTCTATCCTAAACTACTTCCCTGTATAACAATTTTCCCTTTTGCCCACAAAACAAGGGCATACAACAGTGCAGAGAGGCTCATGTCAATCTTGTGTGATTGATTGGGAATTTAGCTTTTGCCCAGCCCCCTCTTCTCTTCACCTCACAGAAGAGAATCCCAGAATTATAGGGGTTTTTTTTTCTCTTCTTACCCACTCCAGGGAGAAAGCCTCTCTAAATAGGGAAAGAATGCCTTGTAAATCTACATCATAAAGGGCCAGAGAAAGGGATAGAGGGGACATTTGGGGAGGGAAAAGCCTGATATTCTAGGGGAGGAGGGAGGACAAGGGACTGCAGGGGGAGGATGGGGCAAGGTAAGCAGAAGGGACAAGGAATTGAAGGGAGGCTGTGTAGTATTACTGAGCCTCTCCTATATTCCTGAGCTTTCACATATATGAACAAGGGGTTTGAGTTCACTGTATTTCCTTGGGTCATGAGTCTGTTATGTCTTTGCATGACACCCTGACCTGGGATGAACCACATGGCTCAGGGATATCATGGACATGTAGATTCTCCCTGGACGTGCCCACTAAGAGGACATCATAGATCTATTTTAAAATGTAGCTGGTGGTACATTTAGATGGTAAGCAGAGTGTTTTCCAATCCTGAGGATAAAGTATAAGCATGAGTTAAGCAAAGAGAACATCCAAAGAGCCATTCCAGTTTACTTAAAGGGAAGCAAATATTCTCACTGGTGTGCAAGAATCTGACTTTCTAGATCAGACCAGACTAGTAACAGCTTGCTTCCTAAAATGCTAACTAAATTGGTAAAACTTTTAGGATGGAGGTGGGATAAGTGGAAGGAGATATTTTGTTGGAGAAGAGTTTCAGATTCTTCATTACATATGAATTCTGTTACATTTTCTGTCCTTTTGTTAGATTTTCCATTAAGAAAATAGAGGAAAGAGCTCAGAACTTGGGGAGAGAGAAGGTCTGCGTACAGATCCTTCACTCACTTCCTAGCTGTGGGGCTATTCGTGGGCGAAAAAGAAAAAGATATTACCTGCCTTTCTTGTAGTATTATTTCTACGTTTAATTTATTTATTATATGTATTTACTATATATGAGTACCTATTATACATAAAAGAAAAAAGAAAAAGTAGCATCTATTGAGTATGCCTAAGTAAGGAATTTTAATTATCCTCATTTTATAGATACATAAGTTGGGTCTCAGAAAACTTATACGAGGTCAAATACCTAGGAAGTGGGAGGGCTAGGGTTCAAACCCAGTCTGTCTGCTTTCAAAGTGTCTTTCTTCTAGTGGTCAGTGTCCCTTTTATTAAGCAGTGAAGTAGTCTAGTTCTATAGTTCAGCAGATCTTCACTTGACAATTTCTTCTTTGTCTAGTGGAAGTTTGGTGTTATAATCAGGAGTACTGTCTCTTTAAACACAATTATTACAGTGTTCCATTTGCAATATATTTTCCAATAGCTGAGCTTTAACATCTTACTGAATTTTTCAAGGCTCTATACAATCTACAACTAGCTAAGACAGTTCTGATGAAAATTCAGATGGAGCTTTACCCATTTTATAGCATTTCATACCTGAAAATATACTCAGTCAACAATTGACTTTTCTTAAATTCAACTTGGATTTTCAATGGGAGTCAACTAACTGTGGAATAATCGTATATTTATACAAACTAATTTAGGAATTTCTTTGTTGCTCCTGTCCTTATTCTTTTCAGAAAGAAAAAGGAGCATCAGGAGAGAAAAATGTCCTTATTTGGTCCTTGATGACAACCTTCCTTTGTAGCCATATCTGTACACAAGTTTCACAAGTTAAGCATGAGATAAAACTGCTGATAAAAAAAAGGTTGATGATATTGTATCAGTTGCTGGGATATTATCTATCTACCAGCAGTTCAGCCTCAGTTAACAAGCAGACAAAGTTCAAGTTTCTTCCTCAGATAATTTAAATATTCCATTAAAAAGTGAAAACATTCTAATTTAAAGCCCCTGAAGATTTAAAAGAAGAAAAAGGAAGAAGGTGGAAAAACTTTAGAGGACAAGGAAGAAATGCATCAGTAATTTCTGTCAGACAACACTTTTCCAAACTAGCCTGAAAGCCAAAGATGAAATAGAAATTTCTTTATCGAACAAGAAGACAAAGGAGAGCTGACCTTTGATCAAATATCCGTTTGTAGTTTCGACACGGAAATTTGCATGAAAAAAAGGTGTGCTGGACACTGACTACTTGAATAGTTAAGTTCCAGCAATGTAAAGAAGCCAGATGTCAAACTTCTTTAAACAGCCTGTCAGATAAAAGCTGGATTTCTTCTGCTGTGCACGTGGGAGGTTTTTCAAGCTGCAGAGGGTTTTAAGGAGGACAAACAAAGTATTTTTGTCCCATGTTTCAGCACATATTATTTTCTATCTTTTCAGGCCTGGGTTTGGATCAATAATTTTTCATCTTATATGTATTAGAGATTGGGATGATGGAAAAAAGCAACATGGTAACATAAACATCAAACCATCTAATTTGCCTTCCGTAGTTGTTACAGGAGAACTGGTTACAAAGCTATCAATCCTTTTTCAGTTTCATTCTTTAAAATGTAATTAGAAGACCAATAACTGTCTTTGAAGTGTTAGCTAAGAAAGATTTGTTTATTATATAACAATCCAAGTGAATGTAAGGATGTTTATATGGGAAATCATTATAAGTACAGAAATATAATTATTTTTCCTCTCTTTTAGAGTAAGCTGATAGCTGATAATAAGCTGATATGTAAGCTGATAGCTGGTAATTAATAAACCTGTTTGTAAAGAGATCTTTAGCATGAAGCCCAGCTAAAGTGCTGAATCAGAATAGTTAAAATGATACAGTGCAATTCTCCTTTGGATTTCTCACCCTAGTGTTTTTCCATTCAATCCAAGTATAGCCTTTTAAAGACTGTTTCAAGCACATAGCACAAATAGGCATTTAACAGATATTTGCAGAATGAAAGAAATAGGACACTATTGATAGTTGTTTGGGAATGGGAAGCAAACAAAGAATGTTCTGCCTTTGTCTTTCTAATAGAGGCCTTCACTAGGTGAGATCCATTTTTTATTTAGGGCGGGAATACAAGATTATAGTCAAGTGGATAGGCTTTTGAATCTCACACCTTGGTGCAAACCCCAGATAAATCTTACCAACTTGGGTACCTTGGGTTAGTTAATAAATCTCCCTTAACTTTAGTCTCTATCTCTTTAAAATAGAAATAATTGCATCTACCCTTAAGACAACATATATGAAGAATGAGGACTTAGGAAGTGTTCAGTAAAAGGCAGCTAAATTGTTTTTTAATTTTATGGATAATTCCATGTAAGTTCTCTGTACAACTTCCTTCATCTTTAGCTCCACCATCTTCTGGGCCATGCCTTTAAATATCTGCATTTATATGTCTGTTTTCTGTCAATCTTAACACAAGGGCATCTTCTTTCCATTGACATTGCTTATAGGTCCTCTTCTCTGCTGTATGTACCACAGCACTAACCTCAACTGATATAGATGGCTCTGCCTGTCACAGTTTTATGTGTCATGAAGTGACTTTTCCCTATAAAGAGACTCTAATACTGGGGCTAATTTTCCAGGAGAGGAGCTAAAATAACTAGCTCCTAATTACTGGTTTATCTCTGCCACAAACTTTCATATGCAAAGCCCGTTTCCTTTAATATTCTCTCCAGAAGACATAAGATGCCTTAAAAGAATCTTTCAGTATGTGATAACTGGTTTCTTCAAATCGCCTTAGGCTTTTTTTCCTTATCTTTGTCTACTAAATTCAAGAAGTCAAAAAGGAAGAAAGCAGGGAGATGGAATCTGAAATTAGATTTGGAGATCTAGGCCTGCAGCTCTCCATGAAGTATTTATTTCATTACTTATCCTTGGAAGCTTGTTAACCTAGTGTTTGTGAAACTCAGAAATCCATAATTTAGGAGTCCAGATGAGCTGATCTTACAAAGACCAACATCTGGCATAGAAGAATAGGAAAACTACTTGATTGTGTTTCCTTGATTTTAACCAAGAGAGTGAAAAACTGTAATATCTGGTCTGTTTTTAACAATTCTTTCCATCTAGGCACTTTTATTATATGTTGAAGACTATGCAAAATAGAGCTCTTATATGTCTTAAAAAAGATCCTAAGAATTATTGTTTCATTGAAGAACATTTACAGAACAAGAATTGATCACAACTGGTAAGTGTTGCTCTTTATGGCCAAACTAAAAAATTCTTAGAAACACCAATTTCTGCAGTAACTAATAATTCTGAACTCAGACATGGACTATTCTAGAAAATAACTCTGGATCAATGATTCTAAACATAGCACAAATACTCCAACGTCCAATGTGAAAGAAATAGGAAGAAACTAAAATAAACTGCATGCCCATCAATACATTTGCCCTGACATGTCTGCCACAGGTTTTGGGGACTTTTTAAAAAAATCATTGAGATAAATTCACATACCAAAGAGTTCACCCTTATAGGAGTGTACAATTTGGTGATTTTTAACATGGTCATGGAGTTATGCAACTTTCACCACTATCTAATTTTAGAACATTTTCATCACCTCAAAAACAGTGTTATTTTTAAAATTGTTTTGACTATTTTGGGTCCCTTACATTTTCATATAAATTTTAGGATCACCATGTCCATTTCTACATAAATAGCAGCTGGAATTTTGATATTGCTTAGGTTGAATTTGTATATCAATTTGGCAAATATTGCCATCTTAATATTAAGTCTACTTGTGACTTAATGGGATGTCATCTCATTAATTTACGTCTTAATTGCTTTCAAAAATGTTTCACAGTTTTCGGTGATAGGTTTTACATTTCTTTCATTACATTTATTCTGAAGTATTTTGTTCTTTTTGATACTATTGTAAAGGTAATTGTTTTCTTAACTTTATTTTAAAATTATTCATTGCTAGTGTATAAAAATACAATTGATTTTTTTATTGACCTTGTATCCTTCAATCTTCCTGACCTCACTAGATCTAATAATTTTTAGTGAATTCCTTGTGGTTTTCTATATGTAAGATCATGTGATCTCCAAATGTAGATATCTTTTATTTTTTCTTTCCAGTTTAGATGTCTTTTATATCTTCTTGTTGCCTAATTGCCCCTACTGGAACCTCCAATACAATGCTGAATAAAGCCATCAAGAGCAGACACCCTTATCTTGTTCCTAATCTTAGAGGAACTCATTCTGTCTTTTACCATTAAGTATAATGTCAGGTGTGGGTTTTTTATAGATAGCATTGAGGAGGTTGGGGAAAGTCCCTCTGTTTCTAGCTTATCAAATGTTTTATCATGAAAGGGTGTCAGGTTTTGTCAAGTGATTTTTTTTTTCATCCCTTAAGACGATTATGTAGGTTGTGTCCTTCTTCTATTAATGCAGCGTGTTTTGATTTTTCTATGTTAAATTAACCTTCTATACCTGAGACAAATCATACTTTGTTGTGGCTTATAATCCCTTTATGTTTCTGGATTTAGTTTGCTAGTATTTTGTTGATTATTTTTGCAGGTATAATCATAAGAGATAATGTTCTGTAGTTTTCTTGTCATATCTTTATCTGATTTTGGTATAAGGATAATACTGACCACATAGAATGAGTTGGGAAGTGTTCCCTCCTCTTCTACTTTTTTGGAATAGCTTATGAATACTTGGTAATAATTATTCCTTAACATTTGATAGAGTTCACCACTGAAGCTATATGAGTCTGGGCTTTTTAAAAATAATTTTATTTTTAATTTTTGTGGCTATGTAGTAGGTGTATATATTTTGGTACAGACATGAAGTACGTATTTTGGTACAGGTATGCAATGCATAATAATCACATCATGGAAACTTGGGTATCCCTTCCCTCAGATATTTATCCTTTGTGTTACAAACAGTCCAGTTTTACTCTTTTAGTTGTTTTAAAATGTACAACTAAATTATTATCGACTATAGTCCCCCTGTTGGGTAATCAAAGGCTAGGTCTTATTCTTTCCAATAATATTTTTGTACCCATTAACCATCCCCACTGCACTCCCCAGCCCCCCACTATCTTTCCCAGGCTCTGGTAACCATCCTTCTATTCCATATCTCCATGAGTTCAATTGTTTTGATTTTTAGATTCTATAAATAAGAACATGTGATGTTTGTCTTTCTGTACTTGGCTTATTTCACTTAACATAATGAACTCCACTTCCATTCGTGTTCTTGCAAATGATAGAATCTCATTATTTTTCATGCTGAATACTTCATTGTATATATATGCCACATTTTCTTTGTCCATTCACCTGTGGATGGACCTTAGGTTGCTTGCACATCTTGGCTATTGTGAATGCTGCTGCAACAGACATAGGAGTGCAGATATTTCTTTTATATACTGATTTCCTTTATTTTGGGTATATACCCAACAGTGGGATTGCTGGATTGTATGGTAGCTTTATTTTTAGTTTCTTGAGGAACCTTCAAACAGTTCTCCATTGCGGTTTCACTAATTTACATTCCCACCAATAGTGTACAAAAGTTCCCTTTTCTCCACATCCTTGCCAGCATTGTTATTGCCTGACTTTTAGACAAAAGCCATTTTCACTGGGATGGGATGATGTCCCATTGTAGCTTTGATTTGCACTTATCTGATGATCAGTGACATTGAGCACTTTTTCATATGCCTGTTTGCCATTTGTATGTCTTCTTTTGAGAAATACCTATTTAAATATTTTGCCCATTTTTAATCAGATTATTAAATTTTTTCCTACATAGTTGTTTGAGCTCCTAATATATTCTAGTTATTAATTCCTTGTTGGATAAACAGTTTGCAAATATTTTATCTCATTCTATGGCTTGTCTCTTCACTTTGTTGATTGTTTGCTTTACTGTGAAGAAGATTGTCAATTTAATTTGATCCCGTTTGTCCATTTCTGCTTGGGTTGCCTGGGCTTGTGGGATATTACTCAAGAAATTTTTGCCCAGACAAATGTCCTGGAGAGTTTTCCCAATGTTTTCTTGTAGCAGTTTCAATAGCTGGAGTTCATAGATTTGACTCTTTAATCCGTTATGATTTGACTTTTGTATAAGGCAAGAGATAAGGATCACATTTCATTCTTCTGCATATGGATATCCAATTTTCTCAGCATCACTTACTGAAGACACTGGCTCTTCCCCAATGTATGTAAAAAGCTATTAATTCCATTTATTCTATAGTACAGACTAGGTTCAATGTTTCTTTGTTGGTTATCTGGCTGCGAGATCTGTCCAATGCTTGAAGTGGGGTGTTAAAGTCTCCACTTATTATTGTATTGGGGTCTATCTCTCTCTTTAGTTCTAATAATATTTGCTTTATATATCTGGCTGCTCTAGTGTTGGAAGCATATATATTTACCATTGTTATATCCTTTTGTTGAATTGACTCCTTCATTATTATATAAAGACCTTCTTTGTCTCTTCTTACGGTTTTTGTCTTGAAATCTATTTTGTCTTATATAAGTATAGCTACTCCTGCTCTTTTTAGTTTCCATTGGCATGAAATATCTTTTTCCATTCCTTTATTTTTAGTCTATGTGTGTCTTTAATAGGTGACATGTGTTTCTTGTAGGCAGTGGATCATTGGGTCTTGTTTCTTCATCCATTCATCCAGTCTATGTCTTTTGATTGGAGAGTTTATTCCTTTTACATTCAATGTTATTATTTTTAAGTATAAACTTACCCCTGCCATTTTGTTATTTGTTTTCTGGTTGTTTTGCGGTCTTCTCTTTCTTCTTTCCTTCTTTCCTCCCTTCCTGTCTTCCTTTTAGTGAAGGCGATTTTCTCTAGTGGTATGCTTTAATTTCTTGCTTTTCATTTTTTGTATATCCATTTTATGTTTTTTGATTTGAGGTTACCATGAGCCAGGCAAATACTATCTTATAACCCATTATTTTAAACTGATTACAACTTAGCACTGATTGCATAAATAAATAAACAGGCAAAAAGAAAACCGTTAGTTTAACTTCATTGTCCCCTGCTTTTTAACATTTTGTTGTTTCTCTATGTCTTATTGTACTGTCTATGCCTTGAAAAATTGCCGTAGTTATTTTTGATTGGTTCACCATTTAATCTTTCTACTTAAGAAAAGTTTACACACCACAATTACAGTGTTATAATATTCTGTTTTTCTGTGTGCTTACTATTACCAATGAGTTTTGTACCTTCAGATGATTTCTCCTTGCTCATTAATGTCCTTTTCTTTCAGATTGAAGAACTCCCTTCAGCATTTCCTGTAGGACAGGTCTGGTGTTGATAAAATCCCTCAGATTTTGTTTCTCTGGAAAGTCTTTATTTCTCCTTCATGCTTAAAGGATACTATCCTAGGGTAAAAGTTTTTTTCCTTCAGCTCTTTAAATATGTCATGCTACTCTCTCCTGGCCTGTGAGGTTTCCCCTGAAAAACCTACTGCCAAATGTATTGGAGCTCCATTATATGTTATTTGTTTCTTTTCTCTTGCTGCATTTAGAATCCTTTAGCCTTAACCTTTGGTAGTTTGATTATTAAATGCCTATAGGTAGTCTTTGGGTTAAATCAGCTTGGTGTTCTATAACCCTCTTGTACTTCAATGTTGATAACTTTCTCTAGGTTTGGGAATTTCTCTGATTTTATCCCTTTGAATCAAGTTTCTATGCCATCTCTTTCTCCACCTCTTCTTTGAGGTCAGTAACTGTTAAATTTGCCCCCTTTTGAGGCTGTTTCCCAGATCTTGTAGGCTTGCTTCATTCTTTTGTATTCTTTTTTCTTTTAACTCTTCTGACTGTGTATTTTCAAGTAGGCTGTCTTCAAGCTCACAAATTCTTTCTTCTGCTTGGTCATTTCTGTTACTAAGAGATTCGGTGCATTCTTCAGCATGACAATTGCATTTTTCAACTCTAGAATTTCTACTTGATTTTTTAAATTACCGTAATCTCTTTGTTAAATTTATCTGATAGCACTCTGAATTCTTTCTCTGTGTTGTCTTTAATTTCTTTGAGTTTTCTCAAAACAGCTGTTTTGAATTTTTTTGTCTGAAGTGTCATGTCCCCGTTTCTCCAGGATTGGTCCCTGGTGCCTTTTATTTGGTGAGGTTGCGTTTTCCTGCATGGTGGTGATGCTTGCAGATGTTCTGTTAGTGTCTGGGCATTGCAGAGTTAGGTATTTGTTGTAGTCTTCACAGTCTGGGCGTGTTTGTGCCTGTCCTTCTTGGGAAGGCTTTTTAGGTATTCAAAGGGACGTGGGCCCTAAGCCCAATAACACTGTGGTTTTTGCAGACTTGAGAGGTATTACTCTGGTGGTCTCAGATTAGATCAAGAAAATCTCTCTGGATTACCAGGCAGAGACTCTTGTTCATTTTCTTTACTTTTTCCCAAACAAACAAATGGAGTCAGTTTCTCTCTGCCTCTCTCTCTCTCTCTCTCTCTCTGTCTCTGTCTCTGTGCTTAGCCATCTGAAACTGGGGGTGTGGTGATGCAAGCACCTCTGTGGTCACCACCACTGGGTGCACTGTGTCAGTGTCAGACCTGAATCCAGCATAGCACTGGGCCTTGCCCAAGATCCTTCCCTTCAGGGTGATGAATTCCCCCAGGCCCTGGGTGTATCCAGAAATGCTGTCTCAGAGCCAGAGATTGGAGTCAAAAACCTTAGCAAGTTACATGCTATTCTGTTGTACTGCAGCTAAGCTGGCACTCAAACCACAACACAAAATGTTTTCACTCTTCCCTCCCCTTTCCACGGGCAGAGGAACCTCTCCCTATGGCCACCACCGCCGCCTGTCCATATGGGCTTCTGCCAGGCCACTGCCAATATTCACTTAGAGCATAAGGATTCTTTCATCAGCTTGCATTGAACGCTGCCAGGCTTGGGACTCGCCCTCCAGGGCAGTGGGCTCCTCTCTGGCCCAGGGCAGGTCTAGAAATGCTGTCTAGAGCCTAGACCTAGCCTCAGGGACCCCAAGAGCCTGCTTGTTGCTCTACCTCACTGTGGCCAAGCTGGTACCTAGGGTACAAGACAAATTTCACCTTCCTTTGCCTCTGCTTTTCTCAAACAGGAGTCTTTCACTGTAGCCACCCCAGCTGGGAATGTGCTGGGTTACCCCTGAAGCCAGCTCATCTCAGAGCCCAAGGACCATTGCGTATTCCCTGGATATCACTGGTGGTTATTCAGGGCCCAAGGGCTCTTTAGTCAGTCGATGATGAATCCTGCTGGGACTGGGTCCTTCCCTCAAGGCAGCAGGTTGGCTCAAGGTGTGTGTCTAGAAGTGTCACCCGGGAGTTAGGGCCTGGAACAGGGACCTCATGACTCTGGCTGGTGCCCTATCCTACCGTGGCTGAACTGGTATCCAAAATCCAAGACAAAGTTCTCTTTACTTTTTTGCTTTCCTTTCCTTAAGGAGAAGGAAGAAGTTTGTTTGTTGTTGTTGTTTGTTTTTTGGTTTTTTTTTTAAAGAGCCAGAGTTTCCCTCTGTCACCCAAGCTGTAGTGCAGTGGTGTGATCTGGGCTCACTGCAACCTCTGCCTACTGGGTTCAAGCTATCCTCTTGGCTCAGCCTCTCAAGTAGCTGGGATTACAAGTGTGTGCCACCACACCTGGCTAATGTTTTTATTTTTAGTAGAGACAGGATTTCACCATGTTGGCCAGGCTGGTCTTGAACTCCTGACCTCAAGTGATCCACCCACCTCAGCCTCCCAAAGTGCTGGGATTACAGGCGTGAGCTACTGCACCCGGCCAGGAAGGAGTCACTTTTGTCAAGCTGTACTGCCTAGTGTTGAGGGAGAGATGGCGCCAGCTGGTATCTCTCTAGTCATGTGTCACCCTAGTTCATTGGAGTTACACCCAGCCAATGAACTCCTACGATTGCAATTCCTAGGCAACTCCTGGATTACCAGGCAGAGACTCTTGTTCCTTTTCTTTACTTTTTCCCAAACAAATAGAGTCTCTCTCTCTCTGTGCTGAGCCACCTGAAACTGAGCAATGGTGATACAAGCACTTCTGTGGCCATCACCACTGGGTGCACTGTGTCAGACCTGAATCCAGCACAGGACTGGGCCTTGCCCAAGATCCTTCCCTTCAGGGTAAGGAGATCCCCCAGGCCCTGGGTGTATCAAGAAATGCTGTCTGGGAGCCAGAGAGCTCCCAGAAGCTGCCTAAGAGTTGCATAGGAATTGCAATCCTTGTGTCCTAGACTGCCTTTCAAATTTACCTAGGACCCCATAGCACTTTTGCCCTCGGTGACAAGGCTTGCCAAGAAACTTAAGTTCCGACCACTGGGATGGGCAATTCCCCTCTGGCTAGGACTGGTCCAAATGTTCCCTTCATGCATAGGTGCTACCTAAGCCCAGCACAGCTTTGTTCTCCGCTGTGACAGAGCAGCACTGAGTTCAATGTAAAGTTCCCCAGCTGCTGCACTCTCCCTCCCCAAAGTGCACTGATTCTCTCTCTGTGCCAGACAGCAGCTGCCTGGGTGTGAGGGTGGGGTGGCATTAGCAATTCAAGACTCTTTCTTCTGCCCTCCTCAATGCTTCTATGATATGAAGTTAAAACCAGGCACTATGATTGCTCACCTGATTTTTGGTTCTTGTGATGTGTGCTTTTCTGTGTGCAAATAGTTGTTAAAATTTGGTGTTCCAGTTGGGGGTTGAATGGTATAGCTTTGTGTCTCCACCCAAATCTCAGGTTGAATTGTAATTCCCAGTGTTGGGGAAAGGACCTGATGGAAGGTGATTGAATAATGAGAGTGGAATTTCTCCTTGCAGTTCTGGTGACAGAGGTCTCATGAGATCTTGTTGTTTGCAAGTGTGTAGCACTTCCCCCTTCACTCTCTCTCTCCTGCTGCCATGTGAATACATGCTTGCTTCCACTTTGCCCTTCTGCCATGATTGTAAGTTTCCTGAGGTCTCCCAACCATGCTTCCTGTACAGCCTGTGGAACTGTGAGTCAGTTAAACTTCTTTTTTTTTTTTTTTTTTCATAAATTACCCAGTTTCAGGTAGTTCTTTATAGCTGTGTGAGAACAGACTAATATAGCTTCTATTCTGCCATATTGTCCCAGCCTTCCCTGAGACTTTTTTTGTGGAAGATTTTTATTAGTAATTCAATCTCTTTACATGTAATTCAGACTTTCTAATTCTTCTTGAATCAATTTCTTTTTTTTTTTTTTTGAGACAGAGTCTCGCTCTGTCGCCCAGGCTGGAGTGCAGTGGCGCCATCTCGGCTCACTGCAAACTCTACCTCCCGGGTTCATGCCATTCTCCTGCCTCAGCCTCCCAAGTAGCTGGGACTACAGGCGCCTGCCACCACGCCCGGCTATTTTTTTGTATTTTTAGTAGAGACGGGGTTTCACCATGTTATCCAGGATGGTCTCGATCTCCTGACCTTGTGATCCTCCCACCTCAGCTTCCCAAAGTGCTGGGATTACAGGCGTGAGCCACCACGCCCGGCCTTCTTGAGTCAATTTCAGTAGTGTGTGTTTCTCTAGGAATCTATCCTTTTTCTCTAAGTTATCTAACGTTTTGATCTACAATTATTTATAGCATTCCTTTATAATTCCTTTTATTTCTTTGACAGTGGTAGTGAAGGCTTCTCACTTATTTCTAATGTAGTAATTTGAGGCCTTTTTTCCCCTCTTGGTCTATCTGGCTATATCCCATAAATTTTGGTATGTTGTCTTTTCATTGTCATTCTTATCAAAGTATTTACTAATTTCCGTTTGATTTATTCTTTGACCCATTGGCTATTTTAGTGTGTTGTTGAAATGATCTGTACAACAAACCCCTGTGAGACAAGTTTATCTATATAACAAACCTGCACAGGTACCCTGAACCTAAAATGAAAGTTTTAAAAAAACAGTGTGGGCTGGGCATGGTGGCTCACGCCTGTAATCCCAGCAGTTTGGGAGGCCTAAGTGAGCAGATCACCTGAGGTCAGGAATTCGAGGATGCCAAAACTCTGTCTCTACTAAAAATGCAAAAATTATCCAGGTGTGGTGATGGGCGCCTGTAATCCTAGCTACTCGGGAGGCTGAGGCAGGAGAATCTCTTGAACCTGGGAGGCAGAGGTTGCAGTGAGCTGAGATTGCGCCATTGCACTCCAGCCTCAGCAACAAGAGCAAAACACCATCTCAAAAAAACCCAAAAAAACAAAAAAAAAGTGTGTTGTTTAATCTTTACATATTTATAAACTCTCAAATTTTCTTCTATTATTGACTCTAATTTTATTTCCTTGTGGTTAGAGAATATACTTTGTATAATTCTAACCCTTTTAAATATATTAAGGTTCGCTTTATGGCCTAACACACAGTTAATTCTGGAAAATGTTTCATATGCACTTGAGAAGAATGTGTGCTCTGCTGTTCTTGGGTGAAGTGTTCTATAGATATCTGTTAGTTCTAGTTTAGCTTAGTTTATAGTGTTGTTCATGTCTTCGATCTACTTTTCAGTCTTCTGCCTAGTTGTTTTATCCATTATCAAAAGTACAATATTGAAGTCTCCAACTATTATTGTTGCATTGTTTATTTCTTCCTTTCTTTCTGTTAGTTTTTGCTTCATGTGTTGTGGCTCTCTGTTGTTAGATGCATATATGTTTAAAAATATTTTCTGTTCTTGATAGATTTACCATTTAATTACTGTAAAATACCCTTCTTTGTCTCTGCTAATGTTTTTGTTATAAAATATTGTTTTCTTAAAATCGTCACTGGTATTTTGTCTGATACTATAGCTACTCCAGGGCTCTTTCTTTTTTTAAGCCACTAGGGTTTTATTTTATTATTTTTTTATTTTTTTAATTATACTTTAAGTTTTACGGTACATGTGCACAACGTGCAGGTTTGTTACATATGTATACATGTGCCATGTTTGTGTGCTGCACCCATTAACTCATCATTTAACATTAGGTGTATCTCCTAATGCTATCCCTCCCCACCCAGTGACCCCACCACAGGCCCCTGTGTGTGATGTTCCCCTTCCTATGTCCACGTGTTCTCATTGTTCAATTTCCACCTGTGAGTGAGAACATGCGGTGTTTGGTTTTTTGTCCTTGCAATAGTTTGCTGAGAATGGTGGTTTCCACCTTCATCCATGTCCCTACAAAGGACATGAACTCATCATTTTTTATGGCTGCATAGTATTCCATGGTGTATATGTGCCACATTTTCTTAATCCAGTCTATCATTGTTGGACATTTGGGTTAGTTCCAAGTCTTTGCTATTGTGAATAGTGCCGCAATAAACATACGTGTGCATGTGTCTTTATAGCAGCACAATTTATAATCCTTTGGGTATATACCCAATAATGGGATGGCTGGGTCAAATGGTATTTCTAGCTCTAGATCCCTGAGGAATCACCACACTGACTTCCACAATGGTTGAACTAGTTTACAGTCCCACCAACAGTGTAAAAGTGTTCCCATTTCTCCACATCCTCTCCAGCACCTGTTGTTTCCTGAGTTTTTAATGATCACCATTCTAACTGGTGTAAGATGGTATCTCATTGTGGTTTTGATTTGCATTTCTCTGATGGCCAGTGATGATGAGCATTTTTTTCATGTGTTTTTTGGCTGCATAAATGTCTTCTTTTGAGAAGTGTCCATTCATATCCTTCGCCCACTTTTTGATGGGGTTGTTTGTTTTTTTCTTGTAAATTTGTTTGAGTTCATTGTAGATTCTGGATATTAGCCCTTTGTCAGATGAGTAGATTGCAAAAATTTTCTTCCATTCTGTAGGTTGCCTTTTCACTCTGATGGTAGTTTCCTTTGATGTGCAGAAGCTCTTTAGTTTAATGAGGTCCCATTTGTCAATTTTGTCTTTTGTTGCCATTGCTTTTGGTGTTTTAGACATGAAGTCCTTGCCCATGCCTATGTCCTGAATGGTAATGCCTAGGTTTTCTTCTAGGGTTTTTATGGTTTTAAGTCTAACATTTAAGTCTTTAATCCATCTTGAATTAATTTTTGTATAAGGTGTAAAGAAGGGATCCAGTTTCAGCTTTCTACATATGGCTAGCCAGTTTTCCCAGCACCATTTATTAAATAGGGAATCCTTTCCCCATTTCTTGTTTTTGTCAGGTTTGTCAAAGATCAGATAGTTGTAGATATGTGGCATTATTTCTGAGGGCTCTGTTCTGTTCCATTGGTCTATCTCTCTGGTATAGACCAATACAACAGTATTGGTACCAGTACCATGCTGTTTTGGTTACTGTAGCCTCGTAGTATAGTTTGAAGTCAGGTAGCGTGATGCCTCCAGCTTTGTTCTTTTGGCTTAGGATTGACTTGGTGATGCGGGCTCTTTTTTGGTTCCATATGAACTTTAAAGTAGTTTTTTCCAATTCTGTGAAGAAAGTCATTGGTAGCTTGATGGGGATGGCATTGAATCTATAAATTACCTTGGGCAGTATGGCCATTTTGACAATATTGATTCTTCCTACACAACAGCATGGAATGTTCTTCCATTTGTTTGTATCCTCTTTTATTTCATTGAGCAGTGGTTTGTAGTTCTCCTTGAAGAGGTCCTTCGCATCCCTTGTAAGTTGGATTCCTAGGTATTTTATTCTCTTTGAAGCAATTGTGAATGGGAGTTCACTCATGATTTGGCTCTCTGTTTGTCTGCTATTGGTGTATAAGAATGATTGTGATTTTTGCACATTGATTTTGTATCCTGAGACTTTGCTGAAGTTGCCTATTACCTTAAGGAGATTTTGGGCTGAGACAATGGGGTTTTCTAGATATACAATCATGTCATCTGCAAATAGGGACAATTTGACTTCTTCTTTTCCTAATTGAATACCCTTTATTTCCTTCTCCTGCCTGATTGCCCTGGCCAGAACTTCCAACACTATGTTGAATAGGAGTGGTGAGAGAGGGCATCCCTGTCTTGTACCAGTTTACAAAGGGAATGCTTCCAGTTTTTGCCCATTCAGTATGATATTGGCTGTGGGTTTGTCATAGATAGCTGTTATTATTTTGAGATATGTCCCAGCAATACCTAATTTATTGAGAGTTTTTAGCATGAAGGTCGTTGAATTTTGTCAAAGGCCTTTTCTGCATCTATTGAGATAATCATGTGGTTTTTGTCGTTGGTTCTGTTTATATGCTGGATTACGTTTATTGATTTGCATATGTTGAACCAGCCTTGCATCCCAGGGATGAAGCCCACTTGCTCATGGTGGACAAGCTTTTTGATGTGCTGCTGGATTCGGTTTGCCAGTATTTTGTTGAGGATTTCTGCATTGATGTTCATCAGGGATATTGGTCTAAAAATCTCTTTTTTTGTTGTGTCTCTGCCAGGCTTTGGTATCAGGATGATACTGGCCTCATAAAATGAGTTAGGGAGGATTCCCTCTTTTTCTATTGATTGGAATAGTTCCAGAAGGAATGGTACCAGCTGTTCCTTGTACCTCTGGTAGAATTCGGCTGTGAATCCATCTGGTCCTGGACTTTTTTTGGTTGGTAAGCTATTAATTATTGCCTCAATTTCAGAGCCTGTTATTGGTCTATTCAGAGATTTAACTTCTTCCTGGTTTAGTCTTGGGAGGGTGTATGTGTCAAAGAATTTATCCATTTCTTCCACATTTTCTCGTTTATTTGCGTAGAGGTGTTTATACTATTCTCTCATGGTAGTTTTTATTTCTGTGGGATCAGTGGTGATATCCCCGTTATCATTTTTTATTGTGTCTATTTGATTCTTCTCTCTTTTCTTCTTTATTAGTCTTGCTAGCGGTCTATCAATTTTGTTTATCTTTTCAAAAAACCAGCTCCTGGATTAATTGATTTTTTGAAGGATATTTTGTGTCTCTATTTCCTTCAGTTCTGCTCTGATCTTAGTTATTTCTTGCCTTCTGCTAGCTTTTGAATGTGTTTGCTCTTGCTTGGTTCCATTCTCCCCATCACTTTCAGGTACACCAATCAGACGTAGATTTGGTCTTTGCACATAGTCCCGTATTTCTTGGAGGCTTTGTTCGTTTCTTTTTATTCTTTTTTCTCTAAACTTCTCTTCTTGCTTCATTTCATTCATTTGATCTTCCATCACTGATACCCTTTCTTCCAGTTGATCAAATCGGCTACTGAGGCTGGTGCATTCATCACATAGTTCTTATGCCTTGTTTTTCAGCTCCATCAGGTCCTTTAAGGACTTCTCTGCATTGGTTATTCTAGTTAGCCATTCATCTAATTTTTTTTCAAGGTTTTTAACTTCTTTGACATGGGTTTGAACTTCCTTCTTTAGCTCGGAGTAGTTTGTCTGAAGCCTTCTTCTCTCGACTCGTCAAAGTCATTCTCCATCCAGCTTTGTTCCATTGCTGGTGAGGAGTTGCATTCCTTTGGAGGAGGAGAGGCGCTCTGCTTTTTAGAGTTTCCAGTTTTTCTGCTCTGTTTTTTCCTCATCTTTGTGGTTTTATCTACCTTTGGTCTTTGATGATGGTGACGTACAGATGGGGTTTTGGTGTGGATGTCCTTTCTGTTTGTTAGTTTTCCTTCTAACAGTCAGGACCCTCAGCTGCAGGTCTGTTGGAGTTTGCTGGAGGTCCACTCCAGACCCTGTTCGCCTGGGTATCAGCAGCTGAGGCTGCAGAACAGCAGATATTGGTGAACAGCAAATGTTGCTGCCTGATCGTTCCTCTGGAAGTTTTGTCTCAGAGGAGTACCCGGCCGTGAGAGGTGTCAATCTGCCCCTACTCGGGGGTGCCTCCCAGTTAGGCTACTTGGAGGTCAGGGACCCATTTGAGGAGGCAGTGTGTCTGTTCTCAGATCTCCAACTGCATGCTGGGAGAACCACTACTCTCTTCAAAGCTGTCGGACAGGGACATTTAAGTCTGCAGAGGTTTCTGCTGCCTTTTGTTTGGCTATGCCCTGCCCCTAGAGGTGGAGTCTACAGAGGCAGGCAGGCCTCCTTGAGCTGCGGTGGGCTCCACTCAGTCCTGCAGCCACTGTCCGACACTCCCCAGTGAGATGAACCCAGTACCTCAGCTGGAAATGCAGAAATCACCCGTCTTCTGTGTCGCTCATGCTGGGAGCTGTAGACTGGAGCTGTTCCTATTCGGCCATCTTGGTTTCACGCCTCCGGGGCTCTTTTCGTTACCCTTTTCTTGGTATCTTTTTGCATCCTTTTGCTTTCAAGCTGAAACATATTTTTAATTCATTCTGCCAGAATCTGCCTTTTGATTGAAGTGTTGAATTTATTTATAATTAGTATAATTACTGATAATTATACTTAGTAATTAGTATAATTACTGATAAGGTAGGACTTTATATCTACCATTTTGCTATTTACTTTCCATATGTCTCCTATTCTTTTTTGCCGTCTATTCCTCCCTTACTGATTTTTTTTATGTTAAGTAGATATTTTCTACTTTACTATTTTAATTCCATTGTTTCTTTTATGTTGTATTTTTTAGTTATTTTCATAGTGGTTGCTCTAAGAATTACAGTTAACATCTTCATGTATAAAAGCTAGTTTGCATAATACTAATTTAATCTCAAAAGTATATAAAATTTTGCTCAAATATAATCCCAATTGCTCTCCTTTCCTTTGTGCTATTATTATAATACAAATGGTACTTTTTATACATTATAAACCATAAACACAGTTTTATAATTGAGATGGAGTCTCACTCTGTTGCCCAGGCTGGAGTGCAGTGCTGCAATTTTGGCTTCCTGCAGCCTCTGCCTCCCAGGTTCAGGTGATTTGCCTGCCTCCACTTCCCAAGCAGCTGGGATTACAGGCACACACCACCATGCCAGGCTAATTTTTGTATTTTAGTAGAGATGGGATTTCACCATGTTGGGTAGGATGATCTGCCCACCTCAGCCTTCCGAAGTGCTGGGGTTACAGGTGTGAGCCACTGCACCTGGCCTTCAGTTATCTTTCAAATCAGGAGATAAAAGTGTCACAAATAAAAAATTTATTCTTACTGTCTTTTATGCTTACCTGTGTAGATACTTTTTCTTGTGTTCTCTATATCTTCATGTGGTTTTAAGTTCCTGTCTGGTATTACATCATTTCAGCCTGCAGTGCTCCCTTTAGTATTTCTTGTAGGAGAGGTCTGCTAGCAAGAAACTCACTTTTTCACAAAATGTAATAGCATTTTAATTTCTTCTTTTTTCTTTTCTTTTCTCTTTCTTTTATTTTTTATTTTTTGATGGAATCTCACTCTGTTGCCTAGGCTGGAGTGCAGTGACGTGATCTCAGCTCACTGCAACCTCTACCTCCTGGGTTCAAGCAATTCTCCTGCCTCAACCTCCCCAGTAGCTGGGATTATAAGCACACACCACCATGCCCAGCTCATTTTTGTATTTTTAGTAGAAACGGGGTTTCACCATGTTGGCCAGGCTGGTCTAGAACTTCGGACCTCAAGTGATCCACCTGCCTCAGCTTCCCAAAGTGCTGGGATTTCAGGCATTAGCCACTATGACTGGCCAATTTCTTTGTTTTTCAAGAATAATTTTGAAAGACATAGAATTCTTGGTTGACAGTGTTTTTTCTTTTTGCACTTTGGGTATGTCATCCTGCTGCCTTCTGACCTCCATAGTTCCTAAGAAAGCAGCTATTAATTTTTTTTTTTCTTTTTTTGAGACGGAGTCTTGCTCTGTCAGCCAGGCTGGAGTGTAGTGGTGCGATCTCAGCTCACTGTAAGCTCCGCCTCCTAGGTTCACACCATTCTCCTGCCTCAGCCTCCCGAGTAGCTGGGACTACAGGTGCCCACCACGAAGCCCGGCTAATTTATTGTATTTTCAGTAGAGACAGGGTTTCACTGTTTTAGCCAGGATGGTCTCGATCTCCTGACCTCGTGATCCGTCTGCCTTGGCCTCCCAAAATGCTGGGATTACAGGTGTGAGCCACCACGCCCAGCCGAAAGTAGCTATTAATCTTATTGAAGATTATTGCACGTGATGAATCACTTCTTTCTTGCAACTTTCAAGATTTTCTTTGGCTTTGACTTTTGACAGTTTGGTTATAATGTGCCAAGTGTATAAGTATAAAAGACAGTTATCATTGGTTATAATGCACCAAGTGCAGATCTGTTTGAGTTTACCCTACAGAGTTTGTTGAGTTTCTAGGATATATAGATTAACATTCTTCATCAAGTATGGAAGTTTTCAGCCATTATTTCTTCAAAAATTTTCTTCTACTTTCTCTTCTCTCTTTTAGGGACTCCCATTGTGCATATATTGATACTATATGGTGGTGTGCTATGGTTCTCTATGGCTTTGTTAGTCTTATTTTATTCTTTTCTGCCTCCCTTTTTTGACTGGATAATCTCAATTGACTTTGACTTATCTCCCAGTTTTTGATTCTTTATTCTGATAGCATGTATCTGCTGTTGAGCTCTTCCAGTGAATTTTTCATTTCCACTAATGTACTTTTCAAATCCAGAATTTCTATTTGTTTTTTGTTTATATTTTCTGATTTCCCTGTTGACAATCTGTTAGACATTATACACGTGTTTTCTTTTCTTTTCTTTTTTTTTTTTTTTGAGACAGAGTCTTGCTGTCTCCCAGGCTGGAGTGCAGTGGCGCGATCTCGGGTCACTGCAAGCTCCACCTCCTGGGTTCACGCCGTTCCCTGCCTCGGCCTCCCGAGTAGCTGGGACTACAGGCACCCACCACCATGCCCGACTAATTTTTTTTTTTTTTTTTAAGTCAAGGCGGGGTTTCACCGTGTTAGCCAGGATGGTCTTGATCTCCTGACCTCGTGATCCACCCGCCTCGGCCTCCCAAAGTGCTGGGATTACAGGCATGAGCCACCACGCCCAGCCTCATATTTTCTTAAAAGTCTTTAGTTGTTGTGTTCTTTAGTTCCTCAGATGAGCTAATTTAGTTTTTGCCTATTAAATCCAATGTATAGGCCCCTTCAGAGACAGTCTTTTTTGACTTATTTTTTTTCTCTGTGTAAAGGTCATATTTTTCTGTTTCTTTATATTTCTCATAATTTTTTCTATAAACTAGGTATTTTAAATAATGTAATATGACAACCCTTATAATCAGATTCACATTTTTAAGGGTTTCTTGTTAGTATTGTTGTTCTTGCTGTTGTTGCCATTTGTTTGTTCAGTGACTTTCCTAAATGACTACTTTACAGTTTGTATTCTTTGTTGCATATGGCTACTGAAGTCTGTTTGGTTAACTTTGTAGTCAGTTAATGATTGGCTAGAGAGTTCCTTAAATGCCTTGAACAATTAAATCTCCCAGCCCTTGCTGATTAGCTTTGTCAACCTATTTGGGCATGCCTTCAATATTCTATGACATTTTACTCCTGCTTTAGCTTTCACTTCCTGCTTGCTTTGGGACTCAGGATCAGCTAGAGGTAAGAGATTAGGGCCTTCTCTGGTCTTTTATGAGCATGCATACAGCCCTGTACATGCATGTGGACTGCTAGATTCCCTGGAGTATATTAAAGCTGTTCAAAACTCCCAGTGGGGTTTCATTCTACTGCTTTTCCTTCTCAGTTTTTTAGTTAGCTTTTTGTTTGCCCCAACTGATATCCTCACTCTGGCAGCTATGATGTTAAACAATTACTACTGATTGTTTTCAGCAAATGCCCTATGGAAAAGGCTGTTTGGACTGAGAAAGCTCTCAGTCAGGTCAAATAAATATAACCTCTGTAAGTGAGGGATTTCCAAAGAGTTGCCAAACAGGTAAAATTGGAAAATCCTCTAGGAATGATGCTTTTGGGGACCTCTAAACTCATTATGTCCCCTCTAGTGGCTGCTACCCTAATTGTGATGTTGTTGGTTCTCAAGGCTGCCGCAAAACTGGGGCAAACGTGATGAGTTATAGAAAGTTAAAATACCACAAAACTCACTGTTCTTACTGAGTGTCGGCCATTCTTCTGCATAAATTCTCCTTGGGTTGTTGCAAAGGAGCAGTAATTAACTTCACTAATTAATTTCCAGAGTTCAGTTTTGAGAAAGTTGATTTTGACAACTTTTTGTCAGTGTTCTCATTGCTTTTGTGGATAAGCAGATTTTCAGAGGCCCTTGCTCTTCACTGATCTGGAAGTTCTTCGCATAGTTATTTTTACACAGAGGACTGAAGTAACTATGTTTGATTATAGTATGTTATGCAGGTGCCCCTAATTTGGTCTCAGTCCAGTTGGCCCAACACATGCATTCACAGCACCAACAAAGGAAGTGATTCATGAGGACCCAGACCCTGATCTGACAGAATAGGATCACTTCTTATTGGATTCAGAAAAGACTCAGTTGTGAGTAGAAAGCTTCATGACTTCCACTGATTTTATAGCAGGGGGGAGTTTCCAAAGGCCTCCTAATACCAGATCTGACTGTCCCCATGTGCAAAGCATTCTTCAACAAACTTAAATACAGATAGCAAGTATTTCAACACCCTAAGTGTTCTATCACTGACACATGATGAGTTTCTGTGCCTGGGTTTCTAATAAGAATTTTTGTTTTAAAAAATAAAAAGAAATTCTTTTTCTCAAGTATCTGGGGCAAAGGTATGAATTATAACTCTTGAAGAATCTGACATTTTTGAAAAGTAAGAATTTTGTCCCCAGAGTTTAAGGACAGTGATTCTGAGGAGCTGTTAATTTAAATTGGAGACATTTGTAAAGAACATAAAGTAAAGATGTGAATACTGAGAATCCTCTTCATGAGTCAACTTTAAAGTTTGTCCAAAAATTAACATATGAGACATTTAGGTTTTCTCTAAGGTAAAAATACATGTCATGCATTCACAAGCAACCACAAGTTTATTAAAGAATAGCCAGCATTCTGTTTTCTAGGGGAAGACAAAGCAAATGGCCAGAATGACTCTTGGGGGAGAAGGGAGTAAGACACAAAGTGGGAGCATTCACAGTGCAAAAAAGAAATAGTAGAATAGATCTATTGGAATGCATGACAAAGACCTGAATAGCCAGAAAGGTCTATAAATTACTATACACAGATCACTGTCACTGAAGAATCCATCGATTGCAAAATGTGAAAATTTCTGAAATAGAAAGCTGAGTAATACATTTCTCAGTTGGGAAAATGGGTGCCAGCTTCTGAAAGAGGAAAACATTTAAGAACAGAGCAGCATCTATGCCTTATTTATTTATTTTTGGTTGTTATAGAAAATAGAAAGGAAGGAATAAGTTGAATTCAGCTGATAGTATTCAGAGCTAAGATAAAGTGGACCATTATAAGAAATGAAGCGGCATCATCAGAGACATGTGGTCCCCAAAGCATGAGGGACTAAGTGGCGAGGACACCTGGTTACGCTTTTCTGGCTTCTGATCCGGGATCTATTACCATACTCTAATTATAGAACTCATTGCCAAAGGTTGAAGAAATACAGCTGTTGGAGTTATTTAGAATAAGAGCATAAGTATTTAAGTACAATGCCATTTACCAAGAAGTATATTGTGTTTCTTAATGCCATGAAACTAAAACACAGCCGCTGAGAAACAGACACATTTTTATAAGTCCAGATGGCTTTTTCCTCTCTTTTCACCCCCCTATTCTCTTCACATTGCTGGGAACCTGTCTTTCTACCGGATTATTTTTCACATATGCTAGATGTTGATTTGTGCATTGTGTTCTCTCCTTTTGTTTTCTACTCCTTTTATCCCTTTAATAATTTTAAATATATTCAATTTACTGTCTCAGTCATAGGTTTATCAGAAGTCCTTATGGTTCTAATCCTACAGTCTTATTTTTGTTGTTTTGTTTATCTGTTTGCTGATTCTTGCTCCAAGGTGGATGTGTGATTGTGTATTTATTTTAAATAGGGCTTGTTTTGTGCATATGCATGTAAATTCCACGTTGCCTGGGTAACTGGAGTGTCCTTCCATGGTGGGTTTTATGTTCCCTTCCCAGGCAATCCAAGTGTACCACTGGGCCATAAGAGTTTCTGTTATTTTCTTATCAGGTGGGAGGAGGGAAAGACAGGGGGTTATGGGTTCTGTTCCACTTGAGTAGTTACAATTTGACTATAAGTCTACAAAGGGTACAAGTTCAAAGCTTTGATTTGTGTTATGAAATGATTTTTTAAATATAATTTTGCATTTTTAGTTATGGATACATAATAGTTGTCCATATTTATGGGGTATATGTGATATTTTGATACAAACATACAGTGTGTAATGATCAAATCAAGGTAAATTGGGATATCCATCACCTCAAGTATTTATTATTTCTTTGTGTTAGGAACATTGCAGTTTCACTCTTTGAGTTATTTTGAAATATACAATAAATTATTGCTAACTACAGTCACTCTATTGTCCTGCCTAACACTAGATCTTATTCCTTCTATCTAACTGTATTTTTGTACCCATTAACCATCCTCTCTGTATCCCCCTCTCCCCACTACCCTCCCAAACCTTTGCCAACTATCACTGTACTTTCTCAGGAAATTTTCATTTAACTGTTTCCCATGCAAAGCCAAGGTACAGAAATTTCACACATTGCTGACAGGATCATAAAATGGTGCCACCACTTTGAAAAAGAGGTTGGCAATACTTAAAAAGTTAAACACAGGGTTTCCTTATGACCCAGCAATTCTGCTCCTAGATGTATACCTGTAGTAAACGAAAACGATCACCTGTAACTGAATGTTTATAGCAGCATTATTTATAATAGCCTGTAAGTGGAAATAACCCCAAATGTCCGTCACCTGGTAAACGGATCAATAAAATGTGGTATATCCAATAAATGGGATATTATTTGACATAAAAGGAATTAAGCATTGATAGATGCTACGGTATGAATGAACCTTGAAAACCTTATGCTAAATGAAAGAAGCCAACCCCAAAGGCCATATTGTATGATTCCACTTATTTGGAATCTTCAGAATAGGCAAGTCTGTACAGACTGAAAATAAACTAGTGGTTGCCATGGGCTAGGGCGAGGACCAAACAGGGAGTGACAACTAAAGGGTACCAAGTTTCTTTGAGGGATGATGAAAACATCCTGGGATTAGAGAGTGGTGATGTTTGCACAGCTCTTTGAATATGCTAAAAACCACTGGGCTGTACATTTGAAAAGAGTGAACCTTTTGGTATGTGAATTATATCTCTATAAACCTCTTTTTTTAAAAAAAAAATCATACTCACTAGACTGTGTTAAAGGTGAGGATAAAAACAGACAACAATCCCACAATTTAAACCCCCCACCCCGGGAACAATTTAATATACTTCCTTCTTGTATTTTATGGTGTGTATATTTTATTATTTATTATCATCATATAAATTTAACTTTGTGTTCTGATTTTTTTTATTTCACGTTAGTCCTAAGCATTTTTTTTCAGTCTGCTTCCTAGTCTTGCTAACTATCTTCAACAATAATCACTTTATTTCCACAAGGGGATGTACCACATTTTATTTAACTGTTCCTCTATTTGTTACTTGATTTCTTTCCATTTCTTTGCTATAATAAAAAACGCAATCATAAGTATCTTTGTGCACATAGTTTTTATCAGTTATTTCCTTAGAGATTTTAAAGAGCAAAATGTTAATGCTGTGTGAACGTTTTTGATCATTTCCTGATGCTTGATTAATATTGCCAAATTTTATTCCAAAGGAGTTTTTCTATTTTATCCTTTAGGATGAAACGCATTCCACTAAGTATTACATAGTTGAGTAACTACATTACCACTAACATAATATGCAGAGGATTTTCTGCAGACCCCATCTGTGAAAATTCACCCCAGACCTTTGAGAAGTTGACCATGTGCCATTGAGTGGGTGAGAGCAGGCATGAAATTGGTTATGAACAGGTGAATTGCATGACTGATTACCCAAGCCTCTCTGTCTCTTCTTTAATTAATCAAAAGCTCTTTATAAGAATCATGTTGCAGAGGAGCCCATCACTTATAGAGCAAGGAAGGCACATTATACCAGGAATTAGGAAAGGATAGAGGATAAGGTTGAGCAAGGAAAACAGATCGGACTGTCATTTCAGGGCAAGATTCTGTTCCCATGGGCATGGAGACTTCACTTCATGGCAATACCCTATACGGCTTCCTGTCTGAGCATTGAAATCATCAGAGTACAAGCTTATTTTCTGAGGCCTACTCTTTATAAAAGTTCTGTAATTGCTGAGGGAACCAGGTTCCTTTGTGCCAAGTCCCTGCAGACTTCCGAAGTCACATTTGGAAAACACCCACCCCTAGCCAAGAGTTCTCAACAAGCTTTCATAAAGGAGAATTTTGTCGTAGATCTAAGTATTCCACCTGACAATACACATCATATGCTGGCCCACAGGCCCCTTTGAGCCTAAAAAAGGAAGAATTTTCTTACTTATTTCAATGCAGAGCTGAGTCTAAGACCCAATTCTACGTGGTCCACCAAAAACAAATGGTGGTGTCAAGTAGAACAACTGGCATCTTTTGCAATATGAGCTCTCCGGGAGAGAAGCTTAAGGCAAATCACCAACTGGCATAGCATTCTAATTTCTGACAGGTGTATTAATCACAATGTTTCATTTACACATGCCCACACCCTCATTTCACTCTTGCATACATAACTGATGCACTTAGTTCATAGTTTATATCGGTAGGTGTAATCTCCAGGGTAGATTCAGTTAGAATTTTGACTGACTGACCTCTAAAGTAGTTACATGCTCATGTGGCTTTCAGATTCATTTTAGGAGGAGTCTACATTTCTGCCATAAATGAGAAGATGGTTGCCTTATACCACTGCTTTCTTTTTTTTAACGTTTCAAAAGTCTGAGCGTTATATTTTTCTTGCCATCACAGCTTTTGGGGAAAGTTCCTATAATTTATCCATAGTATCTTTGAATGTAGGGTATCTTGTTTATAATTTTTAATGTTTTCAGAATCCACTTTGACTCTACATCTTTGAATATATTCATTTGAGAGTCTCCTCCTGCAATCCTGTTCTGCAGCTTTTTTCTTTCATTCAATTCAACTGTTTTTATATCCATCTGCAAACATGGAATAATTTCCAACTACTAATATTGAAATGGCAGATCAGGCCAGGTGCAGTGGCTCACACCTGTAATCCTAACACTTTGGGAGGCTGAAGTGGGCAGATTTCCTTAGCTCAGGAGTTCGGGACCAGCCTGGGCAACTTGGTGAAACTTCATCTCTACTGAAAATACAAAAAATTAGCTAGGCACGGTGGAATGTACCTGTAATCCCAGCTCCTGGGAGGACTGAGGCACGAGAATCTCTTGAACCCAGGAGGCGGAGGTTGCAGTGAGCTAAGATTAATTTATTCAGTAGTGTTTTAAAATTGAGTACCTCCTGTGTTTCCTTCACTCTGCTGAGCCAGTAGTAAACAAAAATAAATTGCCTCGCTATCTTCATGAACTTACAGTCCAGTAGAGGTACCAGAAAAGCAATAAGGACAAGATTTTTTAAAGCAACTACAAAATTGTAACTACTGTAAATGCTCTGAAGGAAAGGTCTTTGGTGCTGGGATGATGTATGAGAGGAGGATATGACCTGGTCAGGGAAACCTTTTCTGAGAAAGTGACACTGCCCTGGGACATGAAGGATAAATAGGGTTACTTATGTGAATGGGGAAGGGGAGATAAGATGTCCCAGGCAGAGGGAACAGCATGTGCAAGCTTTGTCATAGGAGCTGAAAGTCTCCAAGACTCTGGAGAAAGGCCAGTGTGGCTAGGAGAAATACCTAATGTAGAGGACATGTTGATGGGTGCAGCAAACCACCATTCGCCATGGCACGTGTATACCTATATAATAAAGCTGCACATTCTGCACATGTATCCCAGAACTTAAAGTATAATAATTAAAAAAAAAAAGAAAAGCCATTGTGGCTGAGGTATGTGGAAAAAATCAGAAGCGTGGAAGGAGATGAATTGGTGAAGAAAGCAGTGGCCATATTAATATTTGTCTTCATCCTAGGAACAGTTACATTAATATCAATTATCACTGTCTTAGAGCTGCAAATGTTGCTAATATATAACCATTAGAATCATTAAGCTATTGATTTTGCAGTATCCAACAGCAAATTTGAATTTAAAACCATATATGGACTAAAGCAATTACAGGTGTTATACTGACTGCATATGATTTTTCTTGCATTTGCAATTGAAAATATTATTTTTAAGTACCCAGTAAAGTTTTTTGATTCTATATTTCCCCTACCAAATCTTTTATTGTAGTGGTACCTAGCATAGTGCTTCATGCTTAGTTGATGCTCAATAAATGCTTGCAGAATAGTGAGAAAAAGAGTGAGTTTGAGGCTGCAATGTGAAGAAATCATCAAGAGAGCCATGCTACTATGTTCATCTACAAATTCATTTGTGATACAACAAAATATAAAAAGAGTGGAGCTATGAACACTGTTTCAAATTCAAGTGCATTGCTGTCTGAGTCATTTCTACTTCTGCAATTGACTTCTGCATTCTAAAATGACTCCTTCTCTTTTCACATTCATTGCATAGCTGTTATCTGGTTCGGGTGTTGACTGATGTAATCAGAGTAGACAGTACACCCATGTGTTTCAAAGATGTCTCTTGCCATGGGAATGTGAGAGTGTGAAACATCAAACAGCATTGCAATAGATCCCTCACTCCTGGGTTGAAGATAATTGTTTCCCCAGAGTAGTGGGAGGCTTTATAATAACTTGGCTAAAACCTGTGAATCTAGTTAAGCTTATTTCAGTTCTGCAGACCTTCATGGAATGGTTTCTATGTGCAAGACACTCCCTATGTGAGCCGAGAGATACAAAGATGAATGTGCTGTAACTCCAGCCCTTTAGAGGAACTCAGAATTTCATGCACAAACATAACTCTAATTCAAAGCAGATGTGATACTTGCTATAGAAATTAGACACTTGAAGAGCTTTGGTAATGAATGGGAAAGAGCTCTAGTTGTAGATAAAGTTGGTGTCTTAGTCCCAATCTACTTATATTTTAACCAAATTTTTTACTCAACAATACCCATTGAGTCCTAATTTTTGTGTTTAGTAAAAGGATAAGGCATTTCTAGCCCTGGAGGAGCTCACAGCCTTTGATGAAAATATATGAATAGATATATATTTTAGTATGATAAAATGTGGCAACTATTCATATGATATCAGAGTTATGTGTATAATTCTAAGAAAGCACAGAGGGAAAAGCCTGGAGCACAGGGTGGAGCTGAGACCATTTTTTCAGTGGAGCTGGTAGGAGCTGGGTACTAAAGGATGAGTTGGCAAGGGACAGGTCAGTTCAGGGAGGAAGGATACTGAAGGCAGTGGGAAGAAAAACGTGCAAGACTCAAAGAAGTAAAAGCTTGCCATGCCTGGGGAATGACTAGTCATTCTAGACTTAGGAAGTATAGTGTGTGTAAAGGAGATAGAAGGAGGAGATGCTAGACAGTTTGCCGAAAGGAAAATTTTAAACTGCCCTAGGGAGTTTAGACATTATCTTATAGGGAACCTATAAGTCAGAGAATATTGTAGGCAGTGGCATGATCTAATTCATATTTTAGAGGATGCATAGAAGAGAGGAAGCTGAAGGCAGGAGACCGAGCTGGAGACAAATGCACTGACCACATAGGAATACACTGACCACAGGTGAGGGCAGGACTAGAGAAGCAGCATCATTGTTGCTGTCCACCTGTTTCAGTACCCCATGTAGGCATAAAAGGAAACAGTATTTTGCTGTTTCTCTGTTTTTGATTTGGCTATCATAATACATGCAAATAAAATGCAGCATGTATTAGATTCCCCCAGAGCTTTGTTCTGTGTAGTTAAATTAGACTGTTAATTTTCTAAAAGAACCAGAAACAAATTCAGCTAATCATGAACACAAATAAGATTTTCAGCGCCTGTATGCAAAATGAGGATAATAATGAAACCTTCCTCATGGGGCTGGTGTGATGATTAAATGAGATGACATCTGCAGAGCACTTGACGCTGTCCTGGCACGTAGTTGACACACAAAACATGTTAGCCTTTATATGAATGGGTGTCATGAGATCTGATGGTTTTAAAAATGGGAGTTTCTCTGCACAAGACCTCTCTTTGCCTGCTGCCATCCATGTAAGATGTGACTTGCTTCTCCTTGCCTTCTGCCATGATTGTGAGGTCTCCCCAGCCGTGTGGAACTGTAAGTCCAATAAATCTCTTTCTTTTGTAGAAAAAAAAAGTGTTAGCTATTATAATCCATTCACTGGATAGTTAATAAACATCTAGTCTGAACCCTCAGACACTGAAGCACAAAGTCATGAAGAGAACAAAACCCTGCTCTCCTTAGTTTCATAGTCCTTTGGCAGAAAACACTATATAAAGAAATGATTAAAAGAATGGGGCAAGTACAAATAAAGGGTATGAGAAGGATGTTAGAGGTTCTAGAAAAGGATATATTCACCTCTGACTAGAGGGACAAAGTATAGGAGCTTTTGGGCAAAGGACCATTTTGAGCCTAATCACAAAGAATAATTGAGAAGGACATTCCAAGTAGTTGCATAAAGGCTTCCTACTCAAAACCGATTCACCAAACTAGCAACATCAGAATCAGCAGCACTTGGGAATTTGTATTAAATGTGAAATCTCAGGGCCTGCACCAGACCGACAGAATCTGCATTTTAGCAAAATTCCCAGATGACCTGTGTGCATATTAAAGCTGGAGAAGCAGGTACAAAGATGTAGAAGTGGAAATGAACTAAATAAGTACAGAAAGTATGTTTATTTGCTGAATGCAAATGACTCATTTAAAAAAATCAGAACCTAGCAGGTGACAAATTGATGTTTTTCTTTTTAAAAAAAGTTTATTTTAGGTTCAGGGGTACATGTGCAGGTTTGTTATGTAGGTAAACTTGTGTCACGAGAGTTTGTTGTACAAATTATTTCAACACCCAGATACTAAGCCTGGTACCCAATAGTTTTTTCTTCTAATCCTCTCCCTTCTCTCACCCTCTTACCTCAGGTAGGCCCTAGTGTCTGTTGTACCCTCTTGCTGTCCATAGGTTCTCACCATTTAGCTCCCACTTATAAGTGAGAACATGCAGTATTTGGTTTTTTGTTCCTGTGTTAGTTTGCTAAGAATAATGGCCTCTTGCTCCATCCATGTTCCTACAAAGAACATGGTCTCATTCTTTGTGTGGCTGCATAATATTCCATGGTGTATATTTACCATATTTTTTTTTTTTTGGCAGAGTCTCACTCTGTCACCCAGGCTGGAGTGCAGTGGCACAATCTTGGCTCACTGCAATCTCCACGTCTCAAGTTCAAGTGATTATCCTGCCTCAGCCTCCCAAGTAGCTTTGATTACAGGTGTGTGCCACCATGCCCAGCTAATTTTTGTATTTTTAGTTGAAACAGGGTTTCACCATGTTGGCCAGGCTGATCTCAAACTCCTGACCTCAGGTGATGTACCCACCTAGGCCTCCCAAAGTGCTGGGATTACAGGTGTGAGCCACCACACCTGGCCATATTTACCACATTTTCTTTATTCGATCAGTCATTAATGGGCATGTAGGTTGATTCCACGTCTTTGCTATTGTGTATAGTGCTACAATGAACTTACATGTACATCTGTCTTTATGATAGGATGATTTATATTCCTTTGGATATATACCCAGTAATGGGATGGCTACTTTAAGTTGTATTTCTGTTTCTAGCTGTTTGAGGAATCACCACACTGCTTTCCACAATGGTTGAGCTAATTTATACTCCCCATAACAGTGTTTAAGTGTTCTCTTTCCTCCACAACTGTATTAGTCCATTTTCCCCCTGCTAATAAAGGCATACTCAAGACAGGGAGATTTACAAAGGAAAGAAGTTTAATGGAGAACTCACAGTTGCATGTGGCTGGGGAAGCCTCACAATCATGGTGGAAGGCAAGGAGGAGCATGTTACATCTTATGTGAATAGTGGCAGGCAAAGAGAGAGCTTGTGAAGAGAAACTCCCGTATTTAAAACCATCAGATCTCGTGAGACTCATTCACTATCACAAGAACAGCACAGGAAGGACCCACCCCCATAATTTAATTCCCTCCCACTGAGTTTCTCCCACAACATGTGGGAATTGTGGGAGTTACAATTCAAGATGAAATTTGGGTGGGGCCACAGCCAAACCATATAGCAACCTTGCCAGCGTCTGTTATTTTTTGACTTTCCAGTAATAGCTGTTCTGACTGGTGTGAGATAGTATTACATTGTGGTTTTGATTTGCAAGAGAAATTGGAATTTTTCCCTTCCATAATTAAATTATTGAACTTAACACTTAAATGAACTTATATGCCTAAATAACCAGTGGATCAAAGAAGAAATTACAAGGAAATTAGAAAATAATTTGAGATGGATGAAAACGAAACACAGTCTATAAACTGATGGGATGCAGCTAAAGCAGCTATTAGAGGAAAATTTATAGCTATAAATGCCTACATGAAAAGAGAAGAAAGATCTCAAGTCAATAGCCTTACTTTCCACCTTAAGACACTGGGGAAAAAAGAGCCAACTAAACCTAGAGTAGGCAGAAGGAAGGAAATAATAAAGATTAGAGCAGAAATTAATGAACTAGAGAATAGGAAATACAAAAAAAATATATGAAACTAAAAGTTGGTTCTTTTAAAAGATCAACAAAATCAACAAACCTTTAGCTATACTGACCAGAAGAATGAGAAGACTCATTACTAAAATCAGGAATGCTTAACAACATGCAGAGAACATAGTAGACACTCAATAAAAATGAAAAATATATAAGTGGTTGTGTCATGAAAATACATATGATTTTTCTCAAAATATTAGTTTTAAAATAATCAGTAGATGGATATGAAATAATTTGAAGTGAATGAAAGAAAATAAGCTGTGGGACAGAATTGCTGTAAAAGAATTTCCAATGAATATATTCAACAAAGCAATGCATGTACCTAGATCAGTAGGCTTACTATTGTTAAAATGGCAATACTTCCCAAATTGATCTTGGACTCAACAAAATCTTGATCAAAACCCCAGATGGTTTTTTTTTTTTTTACAGAAATTGGCAAACTTATCCAAATATTCATATAGGAATGAAGGAGACCCAGAAGAGCTTCAAAACAATCTTGAAAAAGAAGAACAAAAATTACAGAACTTACATTTTTCAACTTCAAAACTTACTACAAAGCTATAGTAATCAAGACAGTGTGATACTTGCCTGAGGATAGACATAGATCAATAGAATAGAATTGAGAGTTCAGAAATAAACCTTTACATTTATGGTTAATTGATTTTTGACAAAGGAATCAAGACAATTCAATGAGCAAAGAGTGGTCTTTTCAAGAAAGAGTTAAATTGAGCTTGTAGAAGTAGAGAGTAGAATAGTGGTTATTAGAGGCTAAGAAGGTTTAGAGAGGGAGGAGGCTAGGGAGAGGTTGGTTAATGGATATAAAATGATAGCTAGAGAGAAGGAATAAGTTCTAGTGTTCTGTAGCACTGTTAGGTGAATATGGTTAATGACAATTTAGTTTACATTTTCTTTTTTTGTTTGTTCATTTGTGTTTTTTATTTTTTTATTCTTTTTTTATTATACTTTAAGTTCTGGGATACATGTGCAGGATGTTCAGGTTTGTTACATAGCTATACATGTGCCATGGTGATTTCTACACCCATCAACCCATCATCTAGGTTTTAAGCCCTTCATACATTAGGAATTTCTCCTAATGCTATCCCTCCTCTTGCCCCCTACCCCCTGAAACGCCCCGGTGTGTGATGTTTCCCTCCCCATGTCCATGTGTTCTCATTGTTCAGCTCCAACTTATAAGTGAGAACACGCAATGTTTGATTTTCTGTTCCTGTGTTACTTTGCTGAGAATCATGGTTTCCAGCTTCATCCGTATCCCTGCAAAGGACATGAACTCATTCTTTTTATGCCTGTATGGTATCCCATGGTGTATTTGTGCCACATTTTCTTTATCCACTCTATCATTGATGGGCATTTGACTTAGTTCCAACTGTTTGCTATTGTGAATAGTACTGCGATACACATACGTGTGCATGTGTCTTTATAGTAGAATGATGTATAATCCTTTGGGTATATACCCAGTAATGGGATTGCTTGGTCAAATGGTATTTCCGGTTCTAGATTTTTGAGGAATCTCCACACTGTCTTCCACAATGGATAAACTAATTTACACTCCCACCAACAGTGTGAAAGCATTCCTATTTCTTCACATCCTTTCCAGCATCTGTTGTTTCCTGACTTTTTGATGATTGCCATTCTAACTGGTAGGAGATGGTATCTCATTGTAGTTTTGGTTTGCATTTCTCTAATGACCAGTGATGATGAGCTTTTTTTATGTGTTTGTTGGCCACATAAATGTCTTCTCTGGAGAAGTGTCTTTTCATATCCTTTGCCCATTTTTTGACAGGGCTTTTGTTTTTTTCTTGTAAATTTGTTTAAATTCCTTGTAGATTCTGGATATTAGCCCTTTGTCAGATGAATAGATTGCAAAATTTTCTCCCATTTTATAGGTTGCTTGTTCACTCTGATGATAGTTTCTTTTGCTGTGCACAAGCTCTTTAGTTTAATTAGATCCCATTTGTTGATTTTGACTTTTGTTGCCATTGCTTTTTGTGTTTTAGTCATGAAGTCTTTGCCCATGCCTATGTCCTGAATGGTATTGCTTAGGTTTTCTTCTAGGGTTTTAGGTCTTACGTTTAAGTCTTTAATCCATCTTGAGTTAATTTTTGTATAAGGTGTAAGGAAGTGGTACAGTTTCGGTTTTCTACATATGGCTAGCCAGTTTTCCCAACATCATTTATCAGATAGAGAATCCTTTCCCCATTTCTTGTTTTTATCAGGTTTGTCAAAGATTAGATGGTTCTGGCTGTGTGGTATTATTTCTGAGGCCTCTATTCTGTTCCATTGGTCTATATATTTGTTTTGGTACCAGTACCATGCTGTTTTGGTTTCTGTAGCCTTGTAGTATAGTTTGAAGTCAGGTAGTATCAGGGGAACCAGCCCCCAATATTTCAACATAGGTTCTTTCTATTTTCCTTAAGTGTCGGCCAGCTGAGAAATAGGGAGAAAGAGTACAAAGAGAGGAATTTTACAGCTGGGCCTCCGGGGTGACATCACATATAGGTAGGACCTTGAGGCCCACTTGAGCTGAAAAACCAGAAGGTTTTTATTAAGGGCTTTAAAAGGGGAGGGGGTGTACGAACAGGGAGTAGGTCACAAAGATCACATGCATCAAAGGGCAAAAAGGAGAGCAAAGATCACATGTTTCTGAGGCCAGTAAAGATCACAAGGCAAAGGGCAAAGCAAAGACCACAAGGCAAATGGCAAAATCAAAAACTCCCCATAAGGGTCTACGTTCAGCTGTGCATGTATTATCTTGATAAACATCTTAAACAACAGAAAACAGGGTTCAAGAGCAGAGAACTGGTCCGACCTCAAATTTACCAGGGTGGGGTTTTTTTCCCCACCCTAATAAGCCTAAGGGTACTGCAGCGTACCAGGGCGTATTTCAGTCCTTATCTCAATGCATAAGATAGACACTCCCAGAGCAGCTGTTTATAGACCTCCCCCCAGGAATGCATTCCTTTCACAGGGTCTTAATTATTAATATTCCTTCTAGCAAAAGAATTCAGTGATTTCTTCCCTACTTGCACGTCCGTTTATAGGCTCTTTGCAAGAAGAAAAATATGACTGTATTCTGCCCGACCCTGCAGGCAGTCAGACCTTATGGTTGTCTTCCCTTGTTCCCTGAAAATGACTGTTTTTCTGTTCTTTTTCAAGGTGCACTGATTTCATATTGTTCAAACATACATGTTTTACAATCAATTTGTACAGTTTAACACAATAGAGGTCCTGAGGTGATGTACATTCTCAGCTGATGAAAATAACAGGATTAAGAGATTAAAGACAGGCATAAGAAATTGTAAAAGTATTAATTTTGGGAACTGATAAATGTCCACGAAATCTTCACAATTTATTTTCAGAGATTGCAGTAAAGACAGGCTTAAGAAATTATAAAAGTATTACTTTTGGGAGCTGATATATGTCCATATTAAAATGAAATCTTCACAATTTATATTCCTCTGCCGCAGCTCCAGCTGGTTCCTCCGTTCTGGGTCCCTGACTTCCCGCAACAAGGCAGCATGATGCCTCCAGCTTTGTTCTTTTTGCTTAGGATTTTCTTGGCTATACAGGCTCATTTTTGGTTCCGTATGAAATTTAAAGTAGTTTTTTCTAATTCTGTGAAGAAAGCCAATGGTAGCTTGATGGGAATAGCATTTAATCTACATATTACTTTGGGCAGTATGGCTATTTTCATGATATTGATTCTTCCTATCCATGAACATGGAATGTTTTTCCATTTGTTTGTGTCCTCTCTTATATTCTTGAGCAGTGGTTTGTAGTTCTCCTGGAAGAAGTCCTTCATGTGCCTTGTCAGTTGTATTCCTAGGTATTTTATTCTCTTTGTAACAATTGCGAATGGGAGTTAACTCATGATTTGGCTGTTTGTCTATTATTGGTGTATAGGAATACTTGTGGTTTTTGCACATTGATTTTTTTATCCTGAGAATTTGCTGAAGTTGCTTATCAGCTTAAGGAGTTTTGGGGTTGAGATGATGGGGTTTTCTAAATATACAATCATGTCATCTGCAAACAGAGACAATTTGACTTCCTCTCTTCCTATTTGAATACTCTTTATTTCTTTCTCTTGCCTGACTGCCCTGGCTAGAAATTCCAATACTGTGTTGAATAGGAGTGGTAAGAGAGGGCATCCTTGTCTTGTGCTGGTTTTCAAAGGGAATGCTTCCAGCTTTTGCCCATTTGATATGATATTAGGTATAGGTTTATCATAAATAGCTCTTATTATTTTGAGATATGCTCCATCAGTACCTAGTTTATTGAGAGTTTTTAGTATGAAGGGGTGTTGAAATTCATTGAAGGCCTTTTCTGCATCTATTGAGATAATCATGTGCTTTTGGTCATTGGTTCTGTTTATGTGATGGATTATGTTTATTGATTTGTATATGTTGAACCAGCCTTGCATCCCAGGGATGAAGCCAATTTGATTTTTGGTGCATAAGCTTTTTGATGTGCTGCTGGATTCCTTTACCCAATATTATATTGAGGATTTTTGCATTGATGTTCATCGGGGATATTGGCCTGAAATTTTCTTTTTTTGTTGTGTCTCTGCCAGGTTTTGGTATCAGGATGATGCTGGCCTCATAAAATGAGTTAGGGTGGAGTCCATCTTTTTCTATTGTTTGGAATAGTTTCAGAAGGAATGGTACCAGATCCTCTTTGTACCTCTGGTAGAATTTGGCTGCGAATCCATCTGGTCCTGGGCTTTTTTTGTTTGGTAGGCTATTAATTACTGCCTCAATTTCATAACTTGTTATTGGTCTATTCAGGGATTTGACTTCTTGCTGGTTTAGTCTTGGGAGGGCATATGTGTCCAGGAATTTATCCATTTCTTCTGGATTTTCTAGTTTATTTGTGTAGAGGTGTTTATAGTATTCTCTCATGGTAGTTTGTATTTCTGTGGGATCAGTGGTGATCTCCCCTTTATCATTTTTTATTGTGTCTATTTGATTGTTCTCTCTTTTCTTCTTTGTTAGTCTGGCTAGTAGTCTATCTCTTCAAAAAACCAGCTCCTGGATTTATTCATTTTTTGAAGGGTTTTTTGTGTCTCTATCTGCTTCAGTTCTGCTCTGATCTTAGTTATTTCTTGTCTTCTGTTAGCTTTCGAATTTGTTTGCTTTGCTTCTCTAGTTCTTTTAATTGTGATGTTAGGGTGTTGATTTTCGATCTTTCCTGCTTTCTAATGTGGTCACTGAGTGCTTTAAATTTCCCCCTACACACTGCTTTAGCTGTGTTCCAGAGATTCTGGTATGTTGTATCTTTGTTCTCACTGGATTCAAAGAACTTATTTATTTCTGCCTTAATTTGGTTATTTACCCAGTAGTCATTCAGGAGCAGGTTTTTCAGTTTCCATGTAGTCATGCAGTTTTGAGTGAGTTTCTTAATCTTGAGTTGTAATTTGATTGCACTGTGGTCTGAGAGATTGTTATGACTTCCGTTCTTTTGCATTTGGTGAGAAGTGTTTTACTTCCAATTATGTGGTCAATTTTAGAATAAGTGTGATGTGTTGCTCAGAAGAATGTATGTTCTGTTGATTTGGGGTGGAGAGTTCTGTAGATGTCTATTAGGTTTGCTTGGTCCAGAGCTGAGTTCGAGTCCTGAATATCCTTGGTAATTTTCTGTCTTGTTGATCAAATATTAACAGTGAGGTGTTAAAGTCTCCCATTATTATTGTGTGGGAGTCTAACTCTCTTTGTAGGTCTGTAAGAACTTGCTTTATGAATCTGGGTGCTCCTGTATTGGGTGCATATATATTTAGGATAGTTAGTTCTTCTTCTTGCATTGATCCCTTTACCATTATGTCATGGCCTCTTTGTCTTTTTTGATCTTTGTTGGTTTAAAGTCTGTTTATCAGAGACTAGGATTGAAACCCTGCTTTTTTTTCACTCTTCATTTGCTTGGTAAATATTCCTATATCCGTTTATTCTGAGCCTATTTGTGTCTTTGCACATGAGATGGGTCTCCTGAATACAGCACATCGATAGGTCTTGACTCTTTATCCAATTTGCTATGCTGTGTCTTTTAATTAGCCCATTTACATTTAAGGTTAATATTGTTATGTGTGAATTTGATTCTGTCATCATGATGCTAGCTGGTTATTTTGCACATTAGTTGATGCAGTTTCTTCGTAGCATCATTGTCTTTGTCTTTTGGTATGTTTTTGCAGTGGCTGGTACCAGTTTTTCCTTTCCATATTTAGTGCTTCCTTCAGGAGCTCTTGTAAGGCAGGTGACAAAAACTCTCAGCATTTGCTTGTCTGTAAGGGATTTTATTTCTCCTTTGCTTATGAAGCTTCGTTTGGCTGGATATGAAATTCTGGGTTGAAAATTCTTTTCTTTAGGAATATTGAATGTTGGCCTGCATTCTCTTCTGGCTTGTAGAACTTCTGCAGAAAGATCACTGTTAGTCTGATGGGCTTCCCTTTGTAGGTAACCTGACCTTTCTGGCTGCCCTTAACATTTTTTCCTTCCTTTTAACCTTGGTGAATCTGACAATTATGTGTCTTTGGGTTGCTCTTCTCAAGGAGTGTCTTTGTGGTGGTCTCTGTATTTCCTGAATTTGAATGTTGGCCTGTCTTGCTAGGCTGGGGAAGTTCTCTTGGGTGGTATCCTGAAGTGTGTTTTCCAACTTGGCTCCATTCTCCCTGTCACTTTCAGGTACACCAGTCAATCATAGGTTTGGTCTTTTCACATAATCCCATATGTTTTGGAGGCTTTGTTCATTCCTTTTCATTCTTTTTTCTCTAATCTTGTCTTCATGCTTTATTTCACTAAGTTGATCTTCAATGTCTGATATCCTTTCTTCCACTTGATTGATTCAGCTGTTGATACTTGTGTATGCTTCACAAAGTTCTCATGCTGTGTTTTTCATCTTCATCAGGTCATTTATGTTCTTCTCTAAACTGGTTATTCTACTTAGCAGTTCTTGTAACCTTTTTTCAAGGTTCTTAGCTTCCTTGCATTGGGTTAGAACATGCTCCTTTAGTTTGGAAGAGTTTGTTATTACCCACCTTCTGCAGCCTACTTCTGTCAATTTGTCAAACTCATTCTCCGTCCAGTTTTGTTCCCTTGCTGGCAAGGAGTTGTGATCCTTTGGAGGAGAACAGGTGTTCTGGTTTTTGGAATTTTCAGCATTTTTGCGCTGTTTTTTCCTCACCTTCATGGATTTATCTACTTTTGATCTTTGATGCTAATGATGTTTGGATGGGGTTTTTCTTGGGCATCCTTTTTGTTGATGTTAATGTTATTGCTTTCTGTTTCTTAGTTTTCCTTGTAACAGTCTGGACCCTCTGCTTCAGATCTGCTGGAGTTTTCTAGAGGTCCACTCCAAACCCTATTTGCATGGATATCACCAGCGGGGCTGCAAAACAGCAAAGATTGCTGCCTGCTCCTTTCTGTGGAAACTTCCTCCCAGAGGGGCACCTGCCAGATGCCAGCCAGAGCTCTTCTGTATGAGGTGTCTGTCAACCCCTGCTGGGAGGTGTCTCCCAGTCAGGAGGCACAGGTGTCAGGGACCCACTTGAGGAGGCAGACTGTCCCTTAGCAGAGCTCAAGTGCTGTGTTGGGAGATCTGCTGCTCTCTTCAGAGCTAGCAGGCAGGAATGTTTAAGTCTGCTGAAGCTGTGCCCACAGCCACCCCTTCCCCAAAGTGCTCTGTCACAGGGAGATGTGAGTTTTAACTATAAGCCCCTGACTGGGGCTGCTGCCTTTCTTTCAGAGATGCCCTGCCCAGTGAGGAGGAATCTAGAGAGGCAGTCTGGCTACAACGGCCTTGCCGAGCTGCGGTGGGTTCCACCCAGTCTGAATTTCCCAGTGGCTTTGTTTACACTGTGAGGGGAAAACTACCTACTCAAGCCTCAGTAATGGCGGACACCCCTCCCCCCACCAAGCTCCAGCGTCCCAGGTTGACTTCAGACTGCTGTGCTGGCAGTGAAAATTTCAAGCCAATGGATCTTAGCTTGCTGGGCTCCATGGGGGTGGGACCCGCTGAGCAAGACCACTTGGCTCCCTGGCTTCAGCTCCCTTTCCAGGGGAGTGAACGGTTCTGTTTCTCTGGCGTTCAGGCACCACTGGGGTACAGAAAAAAACTCCTGCAGCTAGCTCAGTGTTTGCCCAAACAGTCGCCCAGTTTTGTGCTTGAAACCCAAGTCCCTGGTTGTGTAGGCACCCGAAGGAATCTCCCGGTCTGTGGGTTGCAAAAACTGTGGGAAAAGCGTAGTATCTGGGCCGGATAGCACCGTCCCTCACAGCACAGTCCCTCATGGCTTCCCTTGGCTAGGGGAGAGTGTTCCCCAGCCCCCTGCACTTCTCAGGTAAGCCAACACCCCACCTGGCTTCTGCTCACCCTCCGTGGGCTGCACCCACTGACTAACCAGTACCAATGAGATGAACCATGTACCTCAGTTGGAAATGCAGAAATCACCCATCTTCTGTGTTGGTCTTGCTGGGAGCTGCAGACTGGAGCTGTTTCTATTTGGCTGTCTTGCCAGATCCCTGTCAGTCTAGTGTATATTTTCAAAATGGTAGAAAAGAGGATTTTAAATGTTCATGACATGAAGAAATGTTAAGTGTTTGAGATAATGGATATGCTAACTACTCTGATTTGATTATTACACATTGTATACATGTATGGAAATATCACACTATATCCCATTAACATGTACAATTATTACATGTCAACTAAGAAAAGGAAAAAAATATTTGAACAAATGGAAAAGGCAATCATGTAACTGCATTGAAAGGGAAATGCTAAAGTGTTGATTTCTTAATTTATGGATCTTAAATTTTTAATTAAACTTTTTCAAAAAGAAAGGATGCTAGAACTATTGGTTATCCACCTACAAAAGAACAGAGTTGGATCCCGTTCTCATGGCATAAACAAAAAAAAATGAACTCACAATACATCATAGGCCAAAATATAAGAGCTAAATCTATAACTGTTAGTAGAAAACATAGGGTAAATCTTCATGACATTCGATCAGGCTATGGTTTCTTTCCTATGACATCAAAAGCCTAATTGACCCAAAAAAATAGATAAACTGGACTTTACTAAATTAAAAAATTTACATCTTAAAGGACACCATTAAGAAAGTAAAAAGACAACCCAGAGAATGAAAGAATGTATTTGTAAATCTTTTGTACATAAAATACAAATTGATGTATATCATATATGTATGATAGGGACTTATCCAGAATATATAAAGAATGCTTACAACTCAACAATAAAAAGACCAATTACCCAATCAAAAAATTGACAAAGAATTTTAACAGACATTTTCCAAAAAAAAAATACACAAATGGTCAATAATCACATGAAGAGATGCTCCACATCCTTAGCCATTAGGAAAATACAAGCCAAAACCATAATAAGATACCATTTTGTCCCCTGCTAGAATGCTTAAATTAATAAGTATATATAGCAAGCATTCGTGAGGATGTAGAGAAATTGAAGCTACCATGCATTGCTGGAGGGAATATAAAACAGTGCAAGCACTTAGAAAAACAGTTTGGCAGTGCCAAACATGTTACAGATGAGTTACCACATGATCCAGCAATTCCACTCCTAGATATATACCCAAGAGAATTTGAAACATGCATCCATACAGATACCCATGGATATTCATAGCAGCATTATTCATCATAGCCAAAAAGTGGAAGCAACCCAAATGGTTATCAATTCATGAATGGATAAACAAAATGTGATATATTCATACAATAAAATATTATTCAACAACATAAAGGAATGAAGTATTGTTCATCACGGTCACTGATACATCATGATCAGTATCATTGATATGACATCATGGATTAACAACATCCAAAAGAACATTTCAAAGAATGATGTAAAGAAGCCAGTCACGAAGAAAAAAATCGTGATTCCATTTATCTAGAATGTTCAGAATTGACAAATCTTGGAGAAAAAAAAGTAGATTCATGGTTACCTAGATCTAGCAGAAACTGAGGGAAAATGGGAAATTCCACCATTAGTGGAATTTAGGGTTTCTTTTTGGGTGAGAGAAATCTTCTAAGATTAATTGTGGTGATGGTTTGCATAAGTGTAAATATACTAAAAATCATTAAATTACATACTTTAAATGGCCAAATTGTATGATATGTGACTTGGATCTTAATAAAGCTGCTTTTAAAAAATAAATATATATGTATAGGGGTCTTAGTCTCATGTCTGTGAACCTCTTGTCTAGAGCTAATCACCCAATATAGTACCTCCTAGCCACATGTGGCTCTTTAAATGTAAATTAGGTTAAAAATTCAGTGCCTCATTTGCATCTGCCATATTTCAAATGCTCAATAGCCACATGTATTCCATGGCTGCCATACTGAACAGTGTGGATATGAACATTTCATCACAGAAAAGTTCTCTTAGCAAAAGCCTAGAATATACGTGGTAAAGTGTTCACTGGATCCACGAAAACCTGGAAGTGTATCTGAAACCTTGAACACATTTGCATTTTTTTCTGGGCAGAGGTATATAGCTTTCATAAGATTCTCAAAGGAGTTAAGTGCTAGGGTGAACACAGCATTTTCTATAACCACTAACCTGAACTATTTAAAAAAATCAAAGTAATGTCCCACTAATCCTGTATCAAATTAAAATTTTACTTTATTTGAGGGTCTGATTTCACTACCTATTAAAGAATCTGGAGGAGTGATTTTTGTTAGCACTGCGCTGCTTTTACCTGAGAAACAAAAAGAATTCATAGAAACCTCATTAAATTATTTCTCCCTTAATAAATGAGAACACACAAATGAGTATTACCCAGAGCAGTAATCATTATGCCATAACCAGCGCTTGTGAGGCTCAGAAGGACGTTGACCCACAAAGGAAAGTGAAAGCAAATGTCACACTGAATTTGAATTGACATGAAAATGGGCATATTGATGAATGATAATGATGAGAACAGGCATAGTGGTGGAGAGGCTGGAACAATACAGAAAGTACAGGAAAATCTGAAAGATCGCTCATGGCATTCACAAGGTATAAGTGCGGCAGCACAGTCCTTTGAAGCTCTGGCCTCAGAATGAAGGTAAATTCCGGGGGGAGTCCCTCAGAGAAAGGTCATCACAAATCGCACATTATTGTGGAGATGCAAAGACTTAGTGTCTGAAACGCTTTAATTTCATCTGCATAGTATACTATCGCCAGCTTGGCGGAAAAAAAAAATTGAAATCCACCACCACAGCTGTCCCTTACCGCTGTTTGTTTCTAAAATATCAACACCTGGCACCCCACAGTTGTGCTCTCAAAACCAGGAATTATTGCTTTGACTAAAAGGAGCAAGCATGGAAACAGCAAGCATGTGTGACTGTGGCTGACAAATGGCTTGTGTCAAATTCTTGGGAGATAAATATGCGACCCCTTCCCATGGAGGCTGCACAGATGGATCTTCTTGTAAATCCAATCTCCAGTCAAAGCCACTCTTTGCTTAGGTCACAAGAACTCTAGCTTTTACCTCTCAATGATGAGAAACCAACATTAAGGACAACGACCCCCGCCCCACTAAATCATACCACTGGGAAGACCCCAGATCATTAAGTCAAATGCAAAATCATGGGACATGCTGGTGGCTCATGGTCCAGATGTCAGATGTCATACACACACAGTAGCCTCAGTCATTCCTGACAGTGCCATTTCAAAGGGGGAAAATGGCTTTTTTTTTCTCCTTTTGGCATAACATTCAGTTAATATTTCAACATTTGCAAGAAACCACAATCCACTTTCTTTTTCTTTAGGATTCACCTTGAATTTCTTAATATGAACAGAGTAGTTAAAAGCTTGAATCTTAAGTGGAGGCCTAGCTGTGACCTCTAGCTCTGCTGCTCCCTAGCTGTGTGACCTTGGGCACAGCGCTCTCTCACTCTGAGCTTTAGTTTCCTTATCAGGAAAATAGCAAGAGTAATAGTATCTGTTTTGAAGGACAGTGAGAAGTAAATAATATTATTTGTATATAGTTCACAACAGTGCCTAGTTCAATGTCAGAGCTCAAGGGTTGGCAGGTATTGTAAAGCCTCAAAGTGGTGTTGATGGCTTTTCACATATCTCATTTCATCTTAATCATGTTAACTGATGAAATAAGAAAAATTAATGATTGGGAAAAAAATGTGTTCTGAAATTGTTTTTGAAAGAAAAACCCCATTGGTATAGGAAAACATATCTTAGTATTTCTTATACCTTTATCATTTTGTGTGTGTAAGTTTCTGTGATATTTGAAAGAAGTAAATTTTCCCATCGATAATGTTCTTTTATCCTGTCTGATGAGTTTAGCTCCAGGTAAAATTCATCAGAGTACTTTGATATTTAGCCTTTCACTGAATGAACAGACCATTTTGCTCAGCACAGGGCCACTGACTACAGGGCTGGGAGGTGATCTCATTAAGTTGCAAAAGGAATGAACCCCAGAATAAGCAGAAACAGAGCAGGAGTTACTTTAGGAGACTTGTGGTTTGGGTGGCCTTTGGAAGTCAGAGAAGTATAAGATGAGGAAATGAGATGAAAAGATAGGCCGGGGCACGGTGGGTCATGCCTGTAATCCCAGCACTTTGGGAGGCAGAGGTGGGTTGACCACCTGAGGTCAGGAGTTCGAGACCAGCCTGGCCAACATGGTAAAACCCCATCTCTACTAAAAATACCAAAAATTAGCCAGGCGTTGTAGCAGGCACCTGTAATCCCAGCTACTCGGGAGGCTAAGGCAGGAGAATTGCTTGAACCCGGGAGGCGGAGGTTGCAGTGAGCCAAGATCATGCCACTGCACTCCAGCCTGGGCAACAAGAGCAAAATTCTGTCCCAGGAAAAAAAAAAAAAGAAAAGAAAAGATAAATAGTTTTCAGGATTCAAACTGTTTATTTCAAATGACAGTTGTATTTTTTTATTTGTTCCTCTTTGGCAATATATCTGAACTTGAAACTATAAAGTTTGAATAGTTGCCAAGGAAATAACCCAATAAGCTTTATGATTCATTTTGCTTCATTTCCTTTGAAGATCCAAATTAATCTGAAATTCACTTATTAATAGCTAAAAATTAAATGATACAAATTGCTCACCTTCTTGGGATTGGTCCATAACTAGCTTCCAGTCAGGTAACGGAAGAGCTATTTGATAATCCTGACCTTTGGAGTTCTCCCCTTGAATATAAGATAATTACAGGCATGAGAAATAGCCTGGGTCTTTCATAACACGCTCACTGTTACATTTCTACTTCAAGAAGTCCATTTAGAACTCAACTCTGTTTACTAATCTGTATGAGGAAAATGTCTTCATTTTCAGAAAAAAAAGAGGCCTCAAGATGCATCTACTCAATTCCTCAGTAATTTCTAAGGCACATTTTTTCCATTTAGAACCTTATGACTTATGAGAGGAACACTCAAAGACCCTCTCTACTTCATCTTACACATTTGAAATAAGTTCAGAGAGGGAAAGTGACTTACCCAAGCTCACACAAACTTTTTGTCATTGGGCTGGATCTAGCAGTTAGGTCTTCTGATTCTTGATTCACTATTCCATTCAGTTAATGAAATAAATGCAGAAAGAGTTTGGGGGACATTTTCAATGTATTTTCTTTCTGGAATAATACAGTCACATTGACTTTCATCAGCAGGCTTATTTAAACCCTACCTAATTGTTCCCCTTTATTACCAACAATGCTTCTATAAAGTGACTTGAGATACATGTAATTAAATGTTAACAGGAACATAGAATAACTGAATGTGTAATTGTGGTGTACCAGTTAGGGTTACATGGTTACAAGGAACAAAAACTGGACAACTTAAGCCAAAAATGAATATGTTGAAGGACATGAGGGATCACACAGAATCAAAGCAACACTTAAAGAACAAGATCCAGAAGGGCACAAAGCAGGGTAGTACTGGGGTCTGGTTTTCCAGGCAGCAGAATTGGATTAAGCTTCTCCAACTCAGTGCAATTGGCCCTTCATATCTGTAGATTCAGCATCTACAGATTCAACCAACTACAGATTGAAAATGTTCAGGAAAAGCCAATAAAAATAACAATACAACAATAAAAAAAGATAATACAGCATAACAACTGTTATGTAGCGTTTCCATTGTACTAGGTATTATAAGTAATCTAGAAATGATTTCATGTACATGGGAGGATGTAGGTAGGTTATATGCAACTATTATGCCATTTTATAGCAGGGACTTGAGCATCTCTGGACTCTAGTACCTGCAAGGGGCAGATACCGAGGATGAATGTATGAAATGTTCATTGATGTTGAAGTTTTTTTGTCCATGTATGACTCTGCTCAAAATTTGAATTTCCAAGAGGATGACTCTGGCAGGATTCAGGGCACTTACCTATCCTCTGACATCAAAGCAAGACTGTGCATCTTGGGGAAACAGGAGATTAGGTACTTTGAAAGAAGTTCAGGATGCAGTTACCAATGGAAGAGTGAGAGGATGCTGGATGGTGAAAATTACCTCTATCACTCTTGGCTTCCCTTTATAGTGGTAATACAGTACTCTTTGGCAAAACCTCTCAAAATCCAAGCATCTTTAATTCAAGCACATCTTTTAGAAGATGTGACATAAGGACAGGGCCATCTTTCTATGTTTCTTTAATGTTCTCCCCTCACCATCCTCTCTCCTCTCTTGTGCCACAACCAGGACTTAATAGGCACTTATTATTAGATTGATATGGACTGAACCACTCAACTAAAGTCATTTGCCTATTGAACCATTGCTCATGGAATGGGACTATTCCATGAGGTTTACAGTCTTATGGACTATTAGAGCCAGGAGAGCTACTTCATAGACAGTTGAAGTAAATACCATGGAAACTGCAGTGTCATGGGAGCACATCATTTAGTTTATTCATATCATCAATATCAATGCTAGGAGGACTCAAAAGCACATGTACCAAGGCCACATTACCCAAAGTTGAGTAAATTGTGCCATTAACCGCCTATGTAATTTTAGACAAGTTACTTAAACTCTGTATGTCTCAGATTCCTCATCTGTAAAAATGGAGTTAATAAGCATCTATTTTATATTTTGTTGAGGAGTAGACAACTTAATATATGAAGAATACTTAGAGTATCCAGTTGATGACAACTTAGTTGCTGTCATCATCACCATTATCAACATCATCATGGAAACTTTCAGACATTTTAGTTGACATTTGAGTCAGGATGGGTTGCTTTTTTTCCAGTTTCTGTGCCCTTTTTGGGATGTGGCATAAGATGGGTTGAATAAGATAATGTTTAATAAGCTAACTGCATTTGCAACTTGTGCTAAAGGTTTGCTTTTTCCTCTTAAGCTCTTCCTTAAAAATTGCCTTGACAATTTTTATTTTCTTTGTAAATACAAAACATATGAGCAGAATCAGCGAAACTCAAGAAGGGTCTGCATTTATTTCTTTCTAAGGGTTTGGATCTGCATTTACAATGGCTACACATTTAATCAGTGAATTCTCTTGTGATTATTCGCTGCCCATTAATCAGCTTGCCCCCCTAAAAGGTGACAAAATGGTGGTTCCTTTTAAGTTTCAAAGAGGCCAGTTTAATCTGGGCCTTCTGTTGCTTTGTTAGGGAAATCAAACTCCCAGAATTGTTCTTTGGCTTTCTCTAGTTGCTCAGAGGTCGTGGGAAAGTCGATGTGAGAGCCGCAGTGTGATTCATCATTGCCTGATGAAATAGTGTGACACCTAGAAACCATGTTCTAACCAGTGGCACTCACATTCTCTGTCTGTCTGTTAAATCATCTACTAGAAAGTAAATGCAGTGGTGACTCTGAGCAGGATAGGTAATATGTGGTCACTCCCGATGTTAAAGCTGTTTCCAACTAGAGTGATATAAGTGACAGAAGATAATTGGGCTTTTCAACCCCAGTTTGTGTCTGCCTCTATGAAGAATATTTTTAGAACCTTCCTTCTTTCCTTGAGTCTTTACTTTTTATGCATTTGCGATAAAGGTGATAAAATAACTGCATAAGTAAAACTTTGCAGTCCATGTCAAAGAACAGCCTACTCCAAAAGAAGGTGTTTAAAAATGGCCCTATGAGCAGCTGTCTACGTCTTGTAGATTTTTATGCTCAGGAGATGTTCTGCACAATGAATTTCATTATACAGTAAATGTTCTCATTTTGTAGAAATTAGAGAATTGTCTCTTGGAGACAAACTTCAGTCTCTTGATTAGTGGTCAGCTTGGTGACTTCTATTTCCTCTCCTTTTTCTGGCGGAGTGCCTTCCTTGAGTCTCAGAGAGGGAAGAAACTTTGATCTTAGAGGCAGAAATGTATCTGGAAAATCTGTCCAGTTATGACAACTACATGCTTACACGCCTTCAGTGTACAACCCCTTTCTGCTCAAAACTACATACCTTTCTTTTCTCTCCTTTCTTTCCATTCTCTCCTTCCCCTCCTTCCCTCTCCCCACTCTCCTCTTTCCTCTGTCCCCTCCCCTCCCCTCCTTTCCCTCCCTCCCTCCCTCCCTTCTGTCCCTCCCCTCACCTCCCTCCTTCTCTTCCCTTTCCTTCCTTCCTTCCTTCCTTCCTTCCTTCCTTCCTTTCTTCCTTCCTTCTTTTTCTCAGCATCTTGCTCTGTCACCCAGGCTGTAGTACAGTGGCATGATCACAGGTCACGACACCCTCAACCTCCCCACGCTCAGGTGATCCTCCCAACTCAGCCTCCCGAGTAGGTGAGACCCCAGGTGAGTGCCACCATGCCCAGCTAATTTTTTGTATTTTTTGTAGAGATGGGGTTTTGTCCTTTGCCTAGGCTGGCATCAAACTCTTGGGCCCAAGAGATCCACCCATTTCAGCCTCCCAAAGTACTGGGATTACAGGTGTGAGCCACCATGCCCGGACCTTCCTTCTTTTGTTTCCTCCTTGCTTCCTTCCGTCTCTCCTTCCTTCCTTTTTCCTTCCTTACACTTCTTAAGCATTTACTTTCAACCTATATGTCACCTCTGTACTAAACCCCTCAGAAAGAGAATAAGACAAGGTCCTGTCCCCTGCCTTCATTTTGCCCAGAGACAACTGGGGAAACAGACAAATAAACTAACATGAAAAGGTTAGAGCCTCACTATTCCAAGTGTGATCCCCTAGGAACTTGTTAGAAATACACAATCTCAGCCCCACTCCAGACCTACCACGTATTTGCAAGTTTCCCAGGTGATCTTGTTAGACGTATGTGCAAAGTGCTGTACTATGAAAGGCTAGGGTCCAGACAGCCAAGTGAGGGCACAGGCTGTGAAGCCATCTTAACTCTATGAGTTCCTTGTCTTCCCATGCACAATCTCATAGCAACCCTGCTGTCCAGTTAGCACTGTGTCCCCAGGACCATGCAGCTGCACTGTGCCAAGGGTGTGGGGGAAAAGTAGGCCAAACTCTGCAGACTGCAGGCCACAACTCCAGGGGGTGTGACTTATACCCCCTTATATGCAACACCATTAGGTATCCCTAAGACAAAGAGTAAGCCTTTTGCTCTTCTACTTACCCACAATACCTACAGAGGGAAGGGAAAAACTTAGGTCAAAGGTCAAAGCCCCGAATAGCAGATTAAGTGAGGTTGATCTGGTCATATATATTTCTCTAATAAGTTTTCTGTTTTCACCCTTGTACTTCTAATACTTCTTTGAAAATCTGGTGAAAGTTGTGTGTCTTTTTCCGAAACACTTACAGAGAGAAGATACATGAATTTACGCATCCTTTAGGACACTTATAGGACCCCTCAAATCCAATTCAGGACCCCCTTAGGTTCAGCTTTCTCCAGGAGGTTAAGAATCACTGACTTGCAGAAACGTTTGATGGATTTATAATAGCTACATTTTCTACAGCATATTGAAAGCTTTTACTCCATGCCAGAAATTATACTGAGCAATTTCCAAACATTATATTGATTAATGCCTGCAACAGTACTGTCTGGTAGGCCTGTATCAACATCATTTTACAGATGAGGAAACTGAAGGATAGAGAGGTTTTCAAATTGACCAAGGTCATACCCTACAAAAAGACAGAAGTGGAAATCAAACACCAGTCTATTAGACTGCAGCACACATGCAACTTTACCACACAACTGTCTCCTCAGGAAGAAATACTACCTTTGAAAAAAAGGCAACAAATATATGTAATGTCATTGAGCTGTATACTTAAAAGTGGCTACAATAATATATTTTATGTTATATAAATAAGGCAACAACCAAGAATATACACCTCACAGAGCATGATGCTTGGAAATGTTCAGTGTTTCCAAGTCCCTCTAGACTCCTTGATTCACCACCCTTTTTCTTAAAAAGTAATGAAATACCAGCCAGGTGCGGTGGCTCACGCCTGTAATCCCAGCACTTTGGGAGGCCGAGGCAGGTGGATCACCTGAGGTCGGGAGTTCGAGACCAGCCTGACCAAAATGGAGAAACTCCATCTCTACTAAAAATACAAAATTAGCCGGGCGTGGTGGTGCATGCCTGTAATCCCAGCTACTGGGGAGGCTGAGGCAGGAGAATCGCTTGAACCTGGGAGGTGGAGGTTGCAGTGAGCTGAGATAGCACCATTGCACTCCAGCATGGGCAACAAGAGCGAAACTCCGTCTCAAAAAAAAAAAAAAAAAAAGAAAAAAAGAAATACCAAACCTAAATTTAGGCACCTCTGTCCCTTGCTCACCGCAACTGAAAACCGTAACTACAGAATGATCAAACTACAGACCCATCTAAAGTCCTCAAGTACTGTTTATAGGATAGACTTTCAACTTATGGTTACCCTCGAATATGCCAGATATTTGATATATTCATGTAGGTCTTTCAAGTTATAGAATTTTTTTTTTATTTCAATTGGTTTTCGGGAACAGGTGGTATTTGGTTACATGAATAAGTTCTTTAGTGGTGATTTCTTAGATTTTGGTGCACCCACAACCCAAGCAGTGTACACTGTACCCAATGTGTATTCTTTTATCCCTCACCCCTCCCACCCCTTTCCCCAAATCCCCAAAGTCCACTGCATCATTCTTATGCCTTTGCATCCTCACAGCCTAGCTTCCACTTATGAGTAAGAACATATGATGTTTGATTTTCCATTCCTGAGTTACTTCAGTTAGAATAATGGTCTCCAATTCCATCCAGGCTGCTGTAAATAACATTATCTTGTTCTTTTTTATGGCTGAGTAGTATTCCATGGTGAGTATATATATATTTTATATATATAATATATATGTTTTATATTTTATATATTGTATATATGTTTGATATATTTTATATATATGGCTGAGAAGTATGCCATGGTATATAAATATGCGATATATATATCACATTTTCCTTATCCACTCATTGCTTGATGAGCATTTGGGCTGGTTCTATATTTTTGCAGTTGTGAATTGTGCTGCTAGATCTCCAATTTGATCAAGTTATAGAACTTTTAAAGGGATATCATTGCTCTTTATTCTATCCTTAGCTAGCAATATGAGAAATCCTGTCGAATAGCAGTGTTTAAGTGTTTTATTCCCAGTGTTAAGGGCCAGCTAGAGGAGTAGTTTAAGAGCGTGGATTCCGACTGGTTCAAATCCTGCATTATTAGTTCTGCAATCTGGGGCAAGTTTTACCCTTTATATGGCTTCATTTCCTTATCAGTAAAATGGAGGTAATAGTGAGATAAGCCTTCCAGGGTGGTTGTGATGATTAAATGTGATGATACAGTAAAATTTCTTGTAGAATGCCAGGTCCACGAAGAGTGAGTGCTTAACAAATAATAGTGTTGGTGAGAAGGGGATGATGATATCGTTATTCAGATTCTGAAGAGTCTCCTGAATCATTCAGCATGTCTTCTCATGACTTACTTCCTTCAATAATCCATCCCTGTGACCTTGACCTCTGTGGATTTTCATTATTGACAAAATAAACACCTTTTCCATTTTTTGAAGAATAATTGAAGGACACAAAAATGCACATATTTAAAATGAATAAGTTGATGTGTTGATGTTTGTATTTGCCTGTGAAACTATCACCACAATCAAGATAATGAACATATCCATCACCCCCAATAGTTTCTTTGTACCCCCTTTGTTATCCCTCCCTCCCTCTCCCAACACCAACCCCAGGCAACCACTGATCTGCTCTCTGACAGATTCCTCTTGAGATATATTAAAGCATACTGAGGCTTCCTCTGCATTTTGTATTTGACTGAGCATATCATTTTGCCTTCTCCTTAAACATAATTACATATTTAGCTTCTCTTAAAAGTGACAAGGGTTTCTGATGGGCAGGTGTTCAGCAACGTAGCCTTTCAAGATACATAATAGCCTTTCAAGATACATAAATCAAAAAGGCCAACCTCTCTTCACTTTGAATTTCCATGAGTTATCCTGACAAATTTCGCAGATTCTCCTGATGTTATTTGTGTTGCCTGCTGTGTTACCAGCAGTCCTCTGCTTACCAGATATATTTTTGTTTCAGGATTGCCTCACAGTATTATCATTTTAGAAAACACCTGAAATGTTTTCCAAATGCATAAAGCAACTGTCAGGTGTCCCCAGGTTCAGTTAAGATTCACAGGACTACCGTGAGGTGTCCCTTCTAGAAATGGGTCCATTTACTTAATATGCAGGGGAAGATGATGATGTCACAATTTATTTCTCTTCTTTGAAAGTTTTTTTTTTTTAATTTCAATTGTTAGATGCATCTCAATTTCAAAAACATTAAATATGGAAGGAAAGATGTGCATCTTAGGGCCCAAGAAAGGTGGTAACTCTCAACTGTCATTTGGTACTCTTATTTCATTTTTGTTTCGTTTAAATGATTTTCTTCCAATGGGGAGATGTTGGTCAAAGGGTACAAAGCCTCATTTAGACATGATGAATATGCTCTGGAGATCAATTATACAGCATGGGGATTATAGTTAATAATAACGAATTGGATACTTGAAAATTGCCAAAAAAGTAGATCTTAATTTTTCTCACCACAAAACATTATATGTATATATGTAAGTGGATAGATATGTTAGTTTGATTTAATCATTTTACAGTATACACATATATCAAATATCACATTGCACTCTGTAAATACATACTTTTATTTGTGCCAGTTAGACTTTAACTATAAATTTCATTTCTTTATACTCAATATAAGGCCTAACACATGGCTCAAATGCATACAGACCTGCATACACAGAAAGAAAGTCAAACTTTATTTAATCTATTCTTCTCATTTTGCAGAAAGGCAAAAAAATGATAAATACCATGCCCGGGTTCATATAGTCTTTACAGAGTCAGGATTTGTTCTAGATTCCCTAATTCTCTGTCTACTGGTCATTTTAGCACAGGTAGGATGGAAGCTAGGAAATGACATTTTGAAAGCTCCCCAGGCAGGTAATTCTTATATGCACTAGGATTTGACTTGCTGCACATGAGATTCTCAGAATTTGCACACTTGGTAATTCTAGTTTCAGCAATTCAAGAGATAGCGGGCATATGAATATAAATGCTTATAATTTTGCTGAGCCACTTAGTGGAATTATACTACAGGCTATAAAACAAATACTTGAGTATGAGTCAATTACCTAGTGACTGAGGCTTACTGATCACCCTACATCCACATTTAAATTCTGCGTCATTCATTCATTCATTTGTATATTCATTCATTTAGTCATTAAGCTCTTGTTTTTCACCAGGCACTACCCTGGGATTCAGACACCATTATGAGGATGCAGTGCTGAGTAAGACTGGCAAAGTTCCTGACATCTGGTGCAGAGGAGGTAAACAATAAATAAATAGTTAATAAGGCAGGCAAATAATGCTGCAATTGCAAGCCTCAACAAAGATTACAAAGGAAAATAATAGGAAGTTGTATTCATCCTGAAACCTGAAGGAGCAGAAATCATAGGTGAAGAGTAACTCTTGACAACATATCTCAATATTTTATTTGGATACAAACACAATGTAATATTAATATTTAATCTTGACTCATACTCCGTAGTTCTAAAAACTAGAATGCGCCTAGTGTTTTTATTCCAGCTATTATGTCCCAGATGCCTAAAAGACTCTAAGTAAACATTTTAGAGATGCTTTGGGAAGCAGCAGAACGCCTTTGAAAGGAACTTGCTCATGAGCTGAAGTCCTGATTCTGTTTTCTTCTGTATCCCCAGCCCTGCCTTAGCAATGAGTATATCGTGAGTCTGGCAACCCTCCTTAAGTGTCTGAAGGAACCCTTAAATGTTGGTCATCTTTACTGCATTATAGAGTAAGATAGCTTTCAGAAGTGTTTGGGAGGTTTCAGCCCCTATCTCTCGTGCAAATTGAGTGTCTGCTCTAATATACCCATGCCTCTCATGGAATTTCTTTGAGTTTCATCCCAAGGAGGCTGTCTCCAATCATTTCTGCCTCCTTCAAGCATTTCACCTTACATTTAGTATTCTTTTATCCACACCCTTTGTGGAATGTGTGAGCTAATTTCATTCTCTAGTACATATTTGGATGAATAGGTTTAAATTATTTGTTTTATAGACTCTTGTAATTATAAAAATGTACTTCAGGCTGGGCACAGTGGCTCACCTGTGTAATCCCAGCACTTTGGGAGGTCGAGGCAGGCAGATCCCTTGAGGTCAGGAGTTCGTGACCAGCCTGGCCAACATGATGAAACCCCGTCTCTACCAAAAAATACAAAAATTAGCCAGACATGGTGGCGGGAGCCTGTAGTCCCAGCTACTCAGGAGGCAGAGGCAGGAGAATGCCTTGAACCCAGGAGGCAGAGGTTGCAGTGAGCCAGGATCGCGCCACTGCACTACAGCCTGGGTGACAGAGCAAGACTCCATCTCAAAAAAAAAAAAAAAAAAAGTACTTTAGTCTTTACAATTTGGGGTGAAACATATTAAATGTACCAAAGACATATGAATATCAGATATTTGGGGTGAAGCATATTAAATGTACCCACAGACATATGAATATCAGATTTAAAAAAAGTTTTTGAGAGTCACATCTAAACAATTTTCACTACAGGCTTGCAGCCAGCTACCTAGATTCAAATCCTGGCTCTGCCGTCTTACTTGCTGTGTGACTGTGGGTAAGGTATTAAACTTCTTTGTGCCTCAGTTTCTTCCTATGTACAATGTGTTGTACAATACTTATGTGCAATGCTTATGTAATAGCATTAGGGTTATCAGAATATAGCAAAATGAAATTAGGTAGTGCATATCTAGCACTCAGATTAGTGCCCAGTGAATAATAAGCCCTGAATAAATTAACAGGTATCATTATTTTCTCTGGTCTATTAACCAGTAGTACCTGATAAGACAGGATGAAATCCTCTGAGAATTGAATCTCATTTGTTCATACAATACTATGGAAATGTTGCTGTCTTTCTCTGTATCAACATCAGCCCTTAATTTTGGAACATTTAAATTCCTTCTTTGTGAACTTCAATGAAAATAAATATTTTTTAAAAATACTGATTTCAGTGGTGACATTCAAGCAATTATGTGCAAACCATTTCAGATTCTTTAGAAATGATTGTTCCCAGAATTGCCAAAAAAAAAAAAAATGTACCTGAGCTACATAGAGGGGCAGCTCCTCCAAGCACAAATTATTGAAAGGTTAACAACAGTAATAATAATAAACCAGTAACTCATAAGCCTTTATTCCATATGTATGTTAGTCTATTCTCACCCTGCTATAAAGAAATACCTGAGACTAGGTAATTTATAAACAAAAGAGGTTTAATCGGCTCATGGTTCTGCAGGCTGTATAGGAAGCATGGTACCAGCATCTGCTGAGCTTCTGGGGAGGCCTCAGGAAACTGATAATCATGGCAGAAGTCAAAAGAGGAACAGACATTTCACATGGTCAGAGCAGGAGCAACAGAGTGAGGGGGACAGCCACACAAGTTTAAGCGACCAGATCTCACAAGAACTCACTATCACGAGGACAGTACTATGAGCGATGGCGCTAAGCCATTCATGAGAAATCCACCCCCAGTATCCAATTACCTCCTACCAGGCCCCACCTCCAACACTGGGGATTACATTTCAATATGAGATTTTGGCAGGGACACACATCCGAACTATAGCAGTATATATTTTACTTTATTAGTTTTTCCCCCTTTTCCCCTTTTTGCCCTCCCCCCACCATCCCAAATCTCTTCAGGATAATAAACTGAGAGAAAATATGATATTTTTAAATTAGTATATAATGTTTTGTCATATAGAAAAGCCAGTTCACTTAATTCTGTCTATTTGACAAATGACAGTAATTGATTTTTTTAAATGTTAAGCCAACCTTGACTTCCTAGAATAATCCCTGCTAGGTCAAGATAGAGCATTTATTTTATATGCTGCTGGATTCACTTTGCTAAGATTTTGTTAAGGACTTTAAATCTATGTTCATGAGATATGTTTTTCTCTTTGTAATATCTTTGTCAGATTTTGATGACAGGATTATACTAGCCTTATGTGTTTAAAAATATTCTTTCTACTTTATTTTCTAAAAGAATTTGTGCATTATTGGTATTATTTCTTTAATAGATAGAATTTACTAATAAAACTATCTGGGTTTGGAGTTTTCTGTATAGAAAGTTTTCTCACAACTAATCAATGTCTTTAATAGAAATAGAGATATTCAAATTTTCTGTTTCATATTTTTTCAGTTCTAGTAAGTTACGTTTTTCAAAGAACTTGTCTATTTTACTTAATTTTTTTTAATTTCATGGATTAAGTTATTTATAATTTCTTGATTATCCTTTCAATGTCTATAGAATAACTTCTCCTGGTTATTCTAGAATAATATTCCTGGTACTGGTAATTCATATTCTCTCTTTATACATACACATATCTTTCTAGTTAAAGATTTGGGTTTGTTGATTTTCCCAATTACGTGTATGTTTTCTGTTTCATTGACTTCCAACTTTTATGATTTTCTTCATCTTACTTACTTTGACATTACTTTGTTCTTCTTTTTCTAATTTATTAACTGAAAACTTAGATCATTGATTTTAAGCCTTTATTTCTTCTCATGTAATATTTTGAAGCTATAAATCTTCCGTGAAGCATTCATTGCTTTTGCTGCCCGCCCCCCACATATTTTGACATATTGTATCTTTATCATTTAGTTAAAATTATGTTTCAATTTTCTTTATAACTTTTTCTTTGATCATTAACTTATCTAGAAGTGTGCTGTTTCATTTCCAAGGATTTGAGTTATATATATATATATTTTTTTTTAAACTTATTTCTGATTTGATTTCTGTTTGGTCAGAGAACACACTATGAATGATTTTAATTCTTTTAAATTTGTTGAGATTCATGCTCTGGGCCACCAAATGGCTGTGGGTGCATGTATTAATAATGATCATGCATACTTGAAAAGAATGTATATTCTGCCCTTGTTGGGTGAAGTGTTCTATAAATGTCAACTGGGTCAAGAGTTGATACTATGTTCAAATCTTCCATATCTTTACTGATTTTTTGTGTGTGTGTAGTTGTTTTATCAATTGCTGCAAGAGGAAAATTAAAATAAGAATTGTGGATTTCTCTATTTCCCTCTTTAATCCTGTTAATTTTTACTTCATGTATTTTGATGTACTATTATTAGACATATTTACATTTACATTTGTTATGCCTTCCTGATGAATGGACCCTTTACCATCATGAAATATTCCTATTTATCTCTGATAATACTTTTTGCCTTGATGTCTACTTTGTCTAATGTTAATATACTTACTCCAACCTTTTAAAAGGCTTACAGTTTGCAGGATGTAGCTTTCTGATCTGTTAATTTTACCTTATCTCTCTCTTATTATTATTTAAAATGTGTCTACTATAGACAGCATATGGTTGGATATATTTTTTTAATCCATTCTGACAAGCTCTGCCTTTTAATCGGATTATTTCATCCATTTACATTTAGTTAACTAATATAGTTCAATTCAGGTCTACTGTTCTGCCATTTCTTTTCTCTTTGCCCACTCTGATTTTCGTTCCTCTGGATTTTCTTTCTTGCCTTTTATTGAATTAACTGGATATTTTTTAAATTCCATCTCAATCTATCTGTTGACTTATTAGCTATCTCTTTCCATTTCTTAGAGTTTCTTCAGGGATTACAATGTGACATTCTTAACTTTTCACAATCTACTTAGACTTTATATTGTTTCATTTTATGTAAAATGTATGGGAAGACCAGTGTAACATTTATCACTCTATCGCCATTATTTTTGCTATCATCATATTATTACATATATATATACATATATATGGAGTGCATATATATTTACATATATATGGAGTGCATATATATTTACATATATATGGAGTGCATATATATTTACATATATATGGAGTGCATATATATTTACATATATATGGAGTGCATATATATTTACATATATATGGAGTGCATATATATTTACATATATATGGAGTGCATATATATTTACATATATATGGAGTGCATATATATTTACATATATATGGAGTGCATATATATTTACATATATATGGAGTGCATATATATTTACATATATATGGAGTGCATATATATTTACATATATATGGAGTGCATATATATTTACATATATATGGAGTGCATATATATTTACATATATATGGAGTGCATATATATTTACATATATATGGAGTGCATATATATTTACATATATATGGAGTGCATATATATTTACATATATATGGAGTGCATATATATTTACATATATATGGAGTGCATATATATTTACATATATATGGAGTGCATATATATTTACATATATATGGAGTGCATATATATTTACATATATATATGGAGTGCATATATATTTACATATATATATGGAGTGCATATATATTTACATATATATATGGAGTGCATATATATTTACATATATATGGAGTGCATATATATTTACATATATATGGAGTGCATATATATTTACATATATATGGAGTGCATATATATTTACATATATATATGGAGTGCATATATATTTACATATATATATGGAGTGCACATATATTTACATATATATATATGGAGTGCATATATATTTACATATATATATGGAGTGCATATATATTTATATATATATGGAGTGCATATATATATATGGAGTGCATATATATTTATATATATATATGGAGTGCATATATATTTATATATATATATGGAGTGCATATATATTTATATATATATATGGAGTGCATATATATTTATATATGTATATGGAGTGCATATATATATATGGCTGGAGTGCAGTGGCACAATCTCGGCTCACTGCAAACTCTGCCTCCCAGGTTCAAGCGATTCTCCTGCCTCAGCCTCCCACACAGCTGGGGTTACAGGCACTTGTCACCACTGCTGGCTAATCTTTGTATTTTTAGTAGAGACGGGGTTTCACCATGTTGGCCAGGCTAATCCAAACTCCTGACCTCAAGTGATCTGCCTGCCTCAACCTCCAAAAGTGCTGGGATTACAAGCCTGACCAGAGATCATGCCACAGCACTCCAGCCTGGGCAACAGAGCGCGACTCCATCTCAAAACGAAAAACAAACAAAGAATTGACTTTAGTTCTTAAGTTTTATCTTTTTTTAACCGAATGGTTCTTTTAGAGACAAGTTCTTAGGTTTGATCATGTGTCAAAGTTTCTATATTTCTTTGGAAATTTTTTCATCTATTTGAAATGTCTTTATTTCACCACTTGTCTTTTTTCTTTTTTTTTTTTTTTCCTGAGACAGAGTCCCGCTCTGTCGCCCAGGCTGGAGTGCAGTGGCGCGATCTCGGCTTGCTGCAAGCTCCGCCCCACAGGTTCACGCCATTCTCCTGCCTCAGCCTTCCCAGTAGCTGGGACTACAGGCACCCGCCACCACGCCCGGCTAATTTTTTGTATTTTTAGTAGAGACGGGGTTTCACCGTGTTAGCCAGGATGATCTTGATCTCCTGACCTCGTGATCCACCTGCCCCGGCCTCCCAAAGTGCTGGGATTACAGGCATTAGCCACCGCGCCCGGCCCACCACTTGTCTTAAATAATCTTTTGCTGGATTCAAATTCTGAAATTCTTTTTTTTTGAGACAGTCTTGCTGTGTCACTCAGGCTGGAGTACAGTAGTGTGGTCATGGCTCACTGTAGCATTGGCTTCCCAGGCTCAGGTGATTCCCCCACCTCAGCTTCCCAAGTAGCTAGGACCACAGATGTGTGCAACCATGCTCAGCTAATTTTTTTTTTTTTTTTGAAACACAGTCTCCCTATGTTGCCAGGGCTGGTCTCAAACTCCTCAAGCAATCCTTGAGGTGGAAGGACTCAAGCAATCCTTCCACCACCGCCTCCCAAAATGCTGGGATTACAGGCTTGAGACAATGCACCTAGCCCTGGATTTTTTTACAAAAGCTTTTAGCACTTTAAAGATAATGTCTTATGGCCTCCATTGTTTCTGATTAGAAGTCAGCAATAATTCAAATTGTTTTCCTATAGGTAATATATCATCTTGCTCTAGCTGCTTTAAAGATTTTCTCTTTAATCTTGGTCTTCAGCAATGATCTGCCTAGGTGTGGTTTTCATCGAATATGGCTTTTGGTTTGCTGGCATTTCTGAATCTGTTTATTTGTCTTTTATAAAATTTGGAGAAATTTTAGTTATTATTACCCTAAAGATGTTTTCTCTGTTCTTTTCTTTCATTCGGGGACTCAAATCACATGTATGTTAAATAGTTTTATATTGTCCCACAGGTCCCCGAGGCTCTGTATTTTAATTTTTTTTCTAGTAGTTTTCATCTGTGTTCTTCAGCTTGGAAAATTTCTATTAATCAATTTAAAATTTACTTACTCTTTGTTCTGTCATCTCCAATATGCTAGGCTCTAACAGTTTATTTCAGATATTATGTTTTTCAGTTATTGATATGGTTTGGACCTGTGTACCTGCCAAATCTTATTTTGAAATGTAATCTGCAGTGTTGGCAGTGGGGCCTGGTGGGAGGTGTTTGCATCGTGAGGACATATCACTCATGAAAGGCTTAGTGCCATGCCCTTGGTGATGAGTAAGTTCAAGGGAGATCTGGTTGTTTAAAAGTGTCTGGCACCTCCCTCTCTCTCTCTCCCGCTCTTGCCAGGTGAGATGCCTCCTCCAGCTTCATGATTGTAAGCTTCCTGAAGCCCTTAGCAGAAGCTGATGCTGGCACCATGCTTCCTGTAAATCCTGCGGAAACAAGAGCCAGTCAAACCTCTTTTTTAAATAAATTACCCAGTCCCAGATATTTCTTTATAGTAATGCAAGAATGGCCTAACACAGTTATGGACTTTATGTTAGGTTCATTTTTATTCTTATTTTGAGACAGGGTTTTGCTCTTTGTGCAGGCTGGAGTGCAGTGGCGCCATCTTGGCCCACCGCAACCTCCACCTCCAGGGTTCGAGCAATTCTCCCAATTAGCTGAGACCACAGGCTCATGCCACCATGCCCGGCTATTTTTTTTGTATTTTTTGTAGAGATGGGGTTTCACCATGTTGCCCAGGCTGGTCTCTAACTCCTGAGCCCAAGTGATCTGCCTGCGTGGGCCTCCCTTCTTGCAAGGGAATTACAGGCGTGAGCCATCATGCCCAGCCTGGGTTCATTTTTAAAGTTCTATTTCTCTGCTGAGATTTTCTTTCTTTTTACTCATTATAAGCATTTAAAAAATAAACCTTGACATCTGGGTCATCTTGAGGTTGGTCCCTGTAGATTGTTTTTTTTCTCTTCCTGGATAATGTTTTTAATTTCTTCATATGTTGAGTAATTTAAGATAGGATTGGAAACGTTGTGAATAATATCATAGAGATTCTGCATTCTGTTGTCTCTCTCTGAAGAGTATTAGTTTTTTTGTTTTTTTTTTTTTCAAGTAGTGCTTAACTTGACTAAACTCAACTTGATAAGTTTGTCCTCTCTGCAGTGGCTTACAGCTAAAATGTTAATTTGCGCCTTTTTTTAGCCTCACGTGGGCTACTTGGAGTCTTCCCTACTCGTGCACAGTTCAGGTATCAATTTGGGCAGAAGTTTTTTTGTTTTGTTTTGTTTTTAAACTTTCATTTTAAGTTCAGGGGTACATGTGCAGGTTTGTTATATAGGTAAGCTTGTGTCATGGGGGTTTGTCGTAGAGATTATTTCATCACCCAGGCATTAAGCCTAGTACCCATTAGTTATTTTTCCTGATCTTCTCCCTTCATTCTCCAATAGGCCTTAGTGTGTGTTGTTCCCCTCTGTGTGCCCATGGGTTCTCGTCATTTAGCTCCCACTTATAAGTGAGAACATGCATATTTGGTTTTCGGTTCCTGCCTTATTGGGCAGAATGTATACGCAGAAATGGGTGCTTCCATTTTCTGAATCTCTTCTTTTTGGAATTTTCTCCATTGTTTTCCCACATCTCTCGTTTCTCTAAACTTTGTCCTCTGGTACCTCAAGCCAATAAGACTACAGGTGTTCTGTCTGAATTTAGCCAGCAAGGAACAGACCAAAACTTAGCATCAGGCTGAAGGTTGTAAAAGATCAGGAAATTCATCCAGTACCCTTCCCTTCTTGCAAGGGATAATTCTCCTCCAGTATCACCTTCATCACTTTCCAGTGCCTCTAGATACTTGTTTTTATATTTCTATTTACGTAAGGGCATTGCCTGTTAGGAGCTACATGGTCATCACTAGAATCAGAATCCATGTATGTATTCTTGGTGCCTGTTTTTTTACCTTCTCTTGTGTATTCACTTATTATTGTATTGAGAACCTACATAATGTACTCACATTTTTCTCCTTGTTGTGGAATAGCCTTTACTGTTATCTTTCTGACAGTCTCAAAATCCTATGGAATAACTGCCAGATTCCCGACAGCTCAATGAAATACTGATACTCTCACCAATTAAAACTTAGAAGTGGATATTCAGACAGCTTTTTGGTTCAGACAGTTTATTCAGTGCCTGTGTCCTTGCTCTGTTGGCAAGGTGGAGGATATAATCTACTTACGGTAGAAATAAATATCTTTCCGTGTCAGGCAATCAGTTTCCCAAATCAGAGTTAAAAACTAGTATGAAACATACGTAAGGATTAAGCTAATCTTTATTTGAGTTCCATCTCTGCAACTTGTAAGTTGTGTGACTTTGGGCAAGTGGTCCTGGGCCTCAGTTTCATCATCTGCAAAACTTTAAAAAAAAAAATAGTTTTTGACACCTAGTAAACCATTACTAAATGTTTGCTGTATATATATTTTGCATTTATGTAGATTGATTACACTGATACATTTGATGTAGTTGGTTTATCAGTCAGGGTTCTCCAGAGGGACAGAACTAATAGGATATATGCATATATGATGGGGAGTCTTTTAGGGAGAACTGGCTCACACCATCACAAGACAAAGTCCCACAATAAGCTGTCTGCAAGCTGGGGAAGAGTAGTGGCTCAGTCCAAGTCCAAAAGCCTCAAAAGCAGGGAAGCTGACAGTACAGCCTTCAGTCTGTGGCTGAAGACCCAAGAGCCCCTGGCAAACCAGTGGTGTAACTCCAAGAGTCCAAAGGCTGAAGAACCTGGATTCTGATGTCCAAAGGCAGGAGGAGCGGAAGGAAGCATTCAGCACAGGAGAAAGAAGAAAGCCAGAAGACTCAGCAAGCCAGCTTAACCCACCTTCTTCTACCTGCTTTGTTCTAGTTGTTTTGATTGGATGGTGCCTACCCACACTGAGGGGGAGTCTTCCTCTCCAGTCCACTGACTCAAATGTCAGTCTCCTCTGGCAACACCGTCACAGCCACACCCAGAATAATACTTTACCAGCTATCTAGGCACTCTTCAATCCAATCAAGTTGACATCTAATATTAACCATCACAGTGGTGAATTGAATTATATGAAGACTTGATTTCAGACTCTGCCATATGATGGAATTTTGGCTATTGGTTTATTGGAAGGGATTTTATATTATATCATGATATAATATGATAATATGTTCTTACTGAAAAAAAACAAAACAAAATAAATTGTTTCTTCCCTTTAGAAGTGACTTACTGGGTCAGATGTGGTGGCTCATGCCTGTAATCCCAGCACTTTGGGAGGCCAAGGTGGGTGGATCACAAGGTCAGGATTTTGAGACCAGCCTGGCTAACATGGTGAAACCCCGTCTCTAATAAAAATACAGAAAAAAAAAAAAATTAGCCAGGTGTGATGGCGTGGGCCTGTAACCCCAGCTACTCCAGAGGCTGAGGCAGAAGAATTGCTTAAACCCAGAAGGCGGACATTGCAGTGAGCAGAGATCGTGCCACTGCACTCCAGCCAGGGTGACAGGGCAAGACTCCGTCTTGAGGGGGAGAACAAAAGTGATTTACTGTCATCTGTCATTGGGGACCAAGAGGAAGGGATTTATAGGCTCTTTGATGTCTCCTCGCTCATTGGTTCAGGACCAAAAATAGAAGGTGAAGAAGTTCTCTGTGTTCTGGGACGTGGAGCCCAGAGCAGTTTTGGAAAGCTGGAGAACAAGAACACACTGGACTTGGAAGTTTAAGTGTGACAAGTTGGGCCTTTCTAGAAGCTAGAGAAAGCTATTGGGGTTATTACAGAAAGCAGAATACCTAAGGTTTTCCTATATGCTTTCCCACATTCTGGCTTAAAATTTAATAAAAATATTTAAGTACTAAATTAAATAACTAAATTCTGTCAGTGGTATAGTACTTCATTACTACACATCACGCATTGTCTCTTTTAAAAGGAATCAAAGAGAACATGGAAGACTAGGATCTCTTAATTCTTGTAACTTTAGAAATCTTAGGAAAATAGAAGCCATTCAGCCAAAACATTTATTAAAATCTAACTTCTATTATAAAATAATTTCTGATACTAACTTATGCCATTATTATAGGCTAAATGTCTACTACATAATAATATTACATGTTAATTACTACCTCTTCATAAATGATCATTAATAATAATATCTTTCACTTTTCTTATGTTTTTCAAAGTAGCTTATTACACCAGCTCCTTGTTACAGTACAACCTTGAAAGGTAGATAGGACAGGTATTATTAGGACAGAAAGCTGGCACATAGGGAAACACAATTATTTTTTTTTCTTATCCTTAGAGAGAATTCAATAGCTGAGTCAGGTCTAGGACACTGTCTCCTTCAATTCAGATAGAATGAAACACAGTGTTCTGTCTCCTGAAGAGATAATTGCCATTTACATCATTTGTTACTCATATGAAAATAAATATGATAGGATATCATTTACTTTTTCTTATGAGAATGGTAATAAATGCTATGTGGAAAGTACAAAAGAATACAAGAATCAAATCGCCTTCCTATTACCCAAGATAATTTATTATTCCTCGATGTTTGTTTTCTGTGCATAAACATGGAGACTTACATAAAATTTATTTTACCGAATTGGAATATTGTGTAATACTCCTTTTTTTTTTTTTTTTTTTTTTTTGCTTTACTGTGTTGGAAAACTTTTCCATGTCATGAAAAGTTTTTCTGCAACATGGCTCTTAATAGCTCTTTAATTTTCCACCATGTGAACAGGCCAAAATTAATGCAATCCCAATTGTACTTTTAGTTTCTCTCTACTTTTCATACTATTATTGATAATATGGCATCAAGCATCCTCAATGCACATCTCTGATAATTTTATTAGGACATTTTTATAGAAGTAAGGCTACCAAAACAAAGGATGACCTATACAATTTTAAATACTATATTACTGATATGGTTTAATTAATAGACAAAGATTTGAAGGCTTCACTCACTAAAAGATATTGCTTTTTGAGCTTTTACAAAATGCCCTGGAATGCTGGCTTTCTGGATATGAGTCACCTTGCAGGAAAAAGACTTACATGTCATATTTCCCAAAATATGATTTAAACACTATAAATGTATATTAAAATGACTAAATTCAACCTAGATGTGTTTTTAAAATTTCATAATATCCCCTGTGATAATTGATGACAAATATATATCAAAATCAGGGTTGAGAATTAGTGGTCTAAAGCCCACGTAGCTCCAAAGGATTTATTTAGGCTGGTGACTTTGCTAAAAGGTTTCTAAAACTATTTCACTTTATATTGCTAATTTTTAACAGCTATCAAGTTCAGTAAACTATCTGTCCAATAGAAGTCAGCATTAAACCCTCTGCTCAATTACATACATCTAATGCCGGTTTTCATAGCTTTGGCACTTCTGCTATAATTTGAGTAGTTTAATATGATCAGAGTGCCAAAAAGCTTAATGTGCCTAGGTGATTTCACAGGATAGATGATGATCATTAAAATATTATGTTGTTTATTTCACTTGAGATAAAAATGAGTGATTAAGAGCTGAGAGATGGAAATGTCATTGAAGTGACCCATTTCTTCCATGACAGCAATAACAGGTTTTGTTTTCTGCATGGCAGTAGTGTGTTAGCTGGGACTTTTAGTCAAGCAGAGCAGAAATCCAGTGCAGGTAACACAAACAAAAGCAAAGGATTGTTATAAAGGATAGAGATGCAGTTGGCCTGAAAACTGAGCTAAAATCAGTGCCTTGAGCACAAGGAGAAATCCTGGGAGTCTTCTACATCTTTCATTTCTGTGATTCCTTTGTGTTTTAAGACTACATTGTGGCTTTTTTATACTTCTACCACAAAGCAGAAAATGGCCACCAACAATAGCTAAATTTACATTTTAGCCATTCAAGAGACTAGGTAAACTGAAGCTGAGATTGTTTCATCTTTATTTTAAATTTCCAAGATGAAATTTACAATAGCATCAAAAAGAATAAAATACTTAGGAATAAATTTAACAAAAGATATACAAACGTTCTCTGAATACTACAAAACATTGTTGCAATAAATTAGAGATCTAAATAAATGGTAACATATAATATCTTTCTCCCAAGTCTTCATGGATACAAAAGCATGGTATTTGTTAAGATGGTAATACTCCCCAAGTGGAACTACAGATCCAAAACAATCCCTATCAAAATTCCAGATGCCAGTTTGGCAGAAATTGATAAGCTCATCCTAAAATTTATATGGAAACGCAACAAACTCAATATAGCCAAAACTATCTTAAAGAAACAAAGTCAGAGGGCTCACACTTCCCCATTTCAAAACTTTCTATAAAGCTACAGTAATCAAGGAAGTGTGGTATCATAGATCAGTGGAATAGAATTGAAAATTCTATTCAAAAATAAACCCTGGCATTTACGGTCATTTGACTTTCTACAAAGGTGCCAAAACAACTGAATGAAGGAAGAGTAGCTTTCCAATAAATGGTACTGTGGCAACTGTTTATCCACATGCAGAAGAATGAAGTTGGACTCCTACCTTATTTCAAACACAAAAATTAACTCAAAATGGACCATAGACCTAAAACGATAAAACTATTAAAATAAAACACATAAATGTATCTTCATGACTTTGAATTATGCAATACCTTCTTCATGAGACATGAAAAGCCACAAGTGACAAAAGAAAGAGTAGATAAATTGAACTACATCAAAACTTCAAAAAACGTTCCTATTGTAAGAAAATGAAAAGAGGCTGAACACAGTGGCTAACTCCTGTAATCCCAGTGCTTTGGGCGGCTAAAGCAGGAGGATCACTTGAGGCCAGGAGTTTGAGACCAACCTGAGCAACATAGCAAGATTCTGTCTTTAAAAAAAATAAAAGAAAAAAATTAACTGGGCATGATGATGCACGGCTGTAGTCCTGGCTACTCAGGAGGCTGAGGCAGGAAAAATTGCTTGAGCCCAGGAATTCAAAGCTGTGGTAAGCTAGGATTGCACCACTACATGTTAGCCTGACAGACTGAGACCCTTTCTCTAAAAGGTAAGTGAAATAAAGAAATGAAAATACAATCTAATGAATGAGAGAAAATATTTGCAAATTACATACCTAATAAGAGACTTGTATCAAAAATATATAAATCTCAGGCTGGTATTGCTGTTTAAGAAAAAATATATTTTTTATTGAGTTGTAAGATATATATATAATAAATTCTATATTTATATAAGTTATATATGTAATATGTTATATATTAATACAATGCATAAGTTATATAAGTTGTAGATATATCTATATAGATATATGATATCTATAACTTACAACTCAATAAAAAATGAGCAAAGATTTCAATAGACATCTATATAAAGAAGATATACAAGTGACGAATAAGCACATGAAAAGATGCTCAACATCATTAGTAGTTAAGGAAATGCAAATCAAAACCACATAAGATGTCACTGCATACCCACTAGGATAGCTGCAATAAAAAAGATGGACCCACAAGTGTTGGTGAAGATGTGGAGAAATTAACACCCTCATTCTTTGTAGCTAGGAATGCAAACTGATGCAGCCATTTTGAAAAACAGTTTGGCATTTCCTCAAAATGTAAGCATAGAGTAATCACATGACTTACCAATTTTCCTCCTTGGGTAAATAACCAAGACAAATAAAAACATGTCCACACAAAAACTTATACACAAATGTTCATGGCAAGCACAACCCAAAGGTTCATCAACTGATAAATGAACTACGATATATCCATATAATGGGATATTATTCAGCCATAAAAAAGAATAAAATTAATATGTGCTACATCGTGGATGCACCTTACAAACATTATACTAAGTGAAAGAAGGCAGTCACAGAAGACCACATATTGTATGGCTACATTTTCGTGAAATACCCAGAATAGACAAATGTATAGAGACAGAAAGGAGAAATAGTGGTTGCCTAGGCCTGGGGATGGGAGACATTGCGGGGGGCTGGGGATGAGGAGGAGGCAGAATGAAGACTGATTTCTAATTGGTATAAGGTTTATTTCTGGGTGATATAAATGTCCTAAAATTGATTGTGAGGATGGTCGTACAACTCTGGGAATATACTAAAAGTCATTGAATTGGGAAAAAAAACCCTAGGGATAGAATCTGAATGACCTGGTTTGGGCTATATATCTACCCCTAGACCCATCAGCTATGGCCAGAAAGATGTTTAGTGAATATGTCTGCTTCCATAAATATGTGGACAGAAGGATGCAGGGGAGGAAGGGGTAATTTTCAAAAAGAAGCTGCCTAGATAGATAAGTAACACATCAGATGACTCAGAGCTAAATATTCTCTCTAACAGCAAGTTAGTAGATTAGTACGATGAATATGAATACGTTATTTAAACTTACCTTCCCCTCTTTTTTATTTAGTCCATTGCAGGGTAGCTAGAACTTGTTAAAAACATTACTGGATAATATAAGCAACATTTTAACTTACAGACAAGTTTTGACTCAGTATCGTTTTTCTTTTGTCTCTGAAAAGATATTTTTAACCAAAGGCTGTTAGTGAAAAGGCAACTGACGTTTGCTTTATTTGCCTGTCCTCTCAGAACACAAATACTCCTATGTGAAATGCCACCTGGAGACAGTGGCTATGGCCCATAAATTTAATTACTAACCTTTAATTCATAGCTGGCAAGATCAGTTCTGGAAGTATCTAAGCTAATCAGGCTTCTCTGACAATGCTAATCAATTGTTCAGCAGTCTACCTTTGGCTTAATTACTGTTGCACTACATTACATTTTCAAAATGTCAAGAATCCTCTTCTGGAAATGCAATAAATCATGCCTACATGGTGTCGTAGACAGCCTGTTATTCCCTCACACCTGACCTTGGCTGCGTGAAGTTGAAATTGATCATTTACTGCAGTGGTACAATGTTATACAGAAAGGAGCTTCAATAAGAATCATAGCACAAAAGAAAAAAAGAAAAAAAATAAGCTTTTCAGCACATCCTTTCTTCACCTGAAATGAACCAGGTGCCGTCAGATGTTGTTTTTAAAGGTTTGTACGTCCGCAGTAGTATTTTCTGAAACAGATGAGTGTTGAGGCTTTTACACTTCTGAAATCGTTATCTAAGCAGCATAAAACTACCACCTCAGCAGAAATCCAATTTCAGTCTCACTGTAAATTCAAATCCAAAAATGACTGCTTCTTTTTCTGCTACTTTTATGTAAATTTTCTTAAAAGTCATCCACAAATACTTCTCAGAAAATCAAAAGAAAGGAGACAGGCGGGAGAAGAAGTTTCAACATTGAGATTTAGTATACGGTTTAGAGTTGGACCTGGGTTCTATTCCTGTTGCACCACTCACTATCTGCATGAAGCAGAGCAAGTAATTTAACCTGTGTATGCTTCATTTGCCTCATTTGTGCACTGGGTGTGGTAATGGGTTCGTGCCTCTAAAAAAGTGGTTAACCAGCGGGCGAGGTGGCTCACGCCTGTAATCCCAGCACTTTGGGAGGCCAAGGCAGGCAGATCACGAGGTCAGGAGATCAAGACCATCCTGGCTAACACGCTGAAACCCATCTCTACTAAAAATACAAAAAATTAGCCGGGCGTGGTGGCGGGTGCCTGTAGTCCCAGCTACTCGGGAGGTTGAGACAGGAGAATGGCATGAACCCAGGAGGCAAAGCTTGCAGCAAGCCGAGATCCCACCATTGCATTCCAGCCTGGGCGACAGAGCAAGACTCTGTCTCAAAAAGAAAAAGAAGTGTTTAACCAGCGGTTATTTTGCCCTCCAGGGGACATTTTGCAATGTCTGGAGACATTTTTGGTAGTCACAGCTGGATGAGGGGTATATCAAGTGGGTAGGGACCAGGGATGATTCTAAACATTTTACAGTGCACAGGACAGCCCTCATTACAAAGAATTACCCAACCCCAAATGCCAATAGTGTAGGAGTTGAGAAGCTCTGCTCTAAAGCACTTAGCACAGTTCTTGATATAGAAGAAACATTCAGTGAATCATTACTATTAGTATTTTGATTTGTTTGATTTAAATAAAGCCACTCCCACCACAAATAAAAATTCCCTCTCTCTCCCCTTAGCTAATTGCTATTAATACATCATCAATAAAAGAAAGAAATATTCTATCTGTAGATAATATTAGAATTTTTTTCTTAATAAATGAAATAGGGCTTTTTCTCTCTACTAGCAATAGTTTCTTTAAATGATCTCAAAATAGTGATTGAGATAGTGATTTTTCAGTTTTAAAGTTGTCTACCATGCGTGAATACATAGATCAGCTTTTAAAATCTCATTCAGTCTTTCAAGGACAAATCTTTCTTTGACTCATAGACTCTTGGAGGCATGTCACAGGATGATATAACTCTTAGATGTCATTGGGTCTGATCTAACACACAAAGCAGAACTCCGTTGGGTTTAAAATAATTATTCCATGATTATAATAGAGCAATAGCTCTTTTAGTTGACTTCTTAGCTTACTGGTTCTCACACATAGGTTGGAAGAGAGAGAAGGCAGAGTTTCCATGGGTGCCCTGCCCGGTAGGCCTCACTACAAGTCACTCCCAGTGATTACCAGTACATCTGGCTTGGGTACTGTCCAGTTACCGTTCGCCACCCTTCATCTTTTCTCCTCTCCTCTCTATTACAGGGGTCTCTCTCTACCTATTACACTCTCTACGCTCCCTTGCTAACTGACCTCTGACTACATTAACCCATGACAGCCACTGATGGGAGACAAAACAGGAGAAGGCAAGAAGCCAGGGAGACGTCTTTCTGTCTCTCTCTCTGCTTCAAAAATCACCTCTCCATGGTCCCACCTCCAGCTAGGTGGCCCTGATTGCTGGATTCTGGTATCAAGCATCTCTTCACCTTGTCCCTCAGCCCGAAGGATGGTAGATACTTCCATTTTATTAATCCCTGAGTTGTCTCACCATCCCATTTGAGATCTTCCAGCATCTCTTTTTGCCAGCATTTATTTTATAAACTAATTTTTCCATGTTGAATATCCTCATTATATATGTTATATTAGAGAATATTTGATTCTGCAATAGGAAACAAGTAAAAAAGGATAGATAGAATTAGGTACAGAAACAAATATCTTACGATGTGTTAGGCATAGAACGACGTTGTCCAACCTGTGGCCTATGGCCCACATGCAGGCCAAGATGGCTTTGAGTGCGGCCCAACACAAATTTGTAAACTTTCTAAAAACATTGTGAGTGGTTTTTTTTGCGATTTAGCTATTATTAGTGTTAGTGTATTTTATGTGTGGCCCAAGACAATTCTTCCAGTGTGGCCCAGGGAAGCCAAAAGACCGGACACCCCTGTCATAGAAAATGTAAGCTGAGCACAAGTGTGCTTAACCTATATAAGAAGGCATAGAAGGACCAAGAAAACCTTAAATGTCTCTGAAGCACCAAATATTCACACTACACCAAATAAACGTGAGGCTCTGGAAGCTCTCAATATCTGTGATGCTGAAATTGGTGACACGCATTCTGGCCCCTCATCTCCTCTGCCCACAAAGCACTGGCTGATTGATGAGTCACATCTATAGCCCGGTGCACTTGACCGTGCACCTCTCCCACAGAGCGAGCATGTTGGCTCTGAGCTCCTTCCACCTGCCAGGCCCTTCACTCAAACTTTAACTCTGGTCCTTCTGGCCAGTGGGCAAGGCTGATGCAACACAGCTCCTAGCCTAGAGTAGGACATATAAACGTGGCATGTCCATGGTCAGGTGCAGTGGCTCACGCCTGTAGTCCCAGCACTTTGGGAGGCTGAGGCAGGCAGAATGCTCAAGCTCAGGAGTTCGATACCAGCCTAGACAACATGGCAAAACTCCATCTCTACCAAAAAAATTAGCTGGGTGTGGTGGCACCTGCCTGTAGTCCCGCTACTCAGGAGGCTGAAGTGGGAGGATCACTTGAACCCAGGAGGTCAAGGCTGCAGTGAACCATTATTGCTAATGACACAGGGAGATGCTAATGACACAGGGAGACACTGTTCCAGAAAAAAAAAAATTGCATATTCTAGGTGTCCTTCCAGCCTAATCTAAGTGTTAGTGTCCTCATCTCTCTCTTCTTACTCTTTGTTAAGCATTCTAGATTAATTCAAACCAGGTGCTTCCTGATTCTTAAGTAGGCCTATGAGCCTTTCTTTTCTATGGCTTCTAGGAGAACTCTCCTCTTAGTGTACTGGGAAGTTAACATCCATCAACGTAGTTTCCCACATGCCATTTTGAATCAGGCTTTGGTCCATGTAAAGACCCTGACATGTTTCTAGGGCCTGCATGTTGCCCCTCAGGAACCATCTCCCCACTCCAAATAAGAGACATTTTCCATCAGCTTTCTGAAGAGTGAAATCTCAGCATGTCAGAACTCAACTTGGATTTTATGTTCTCTAGTAAAGCACTGGGAACCTAATCTGGTAGGGCTTTTGACAAGTATGGTCAAAAAGTTCAACCTCTATGAGAAGCAAACAGGCCTGAAACTGAAGGCTGTTCACCAAAAGAACATACATACTACATCAGGCTGGCCAATAGTCTTTAAAACCTGTTGTGGGTCTTGGTTGGCAGAGATGAGACAGATATCCCAGGTGAATAACAAAGAAACTAGTTTAATGAGGTCAACGATGTACCTAAAATGTGCCCAGCTCTGTACTGGGCACTTTATATAAAGTATCTCACTTAATCCTTGAATAATCCGAAAAGTAGATAATATACCCTATTTCACAGAGGAGCATTAGAGGGTCTGAAAAGTTCATCCCACAGTCACTGAAGCAAGAAGTGGGCATTTAGCACTGGAAGCACAGACTATGGAACCAGTCTGTCTGCGTTCATTTCCCAGCTCTGCCACTTTCTAGTGGATAACCTTGGATGTTTTTATTTTGTTCTCTTGGTTTCTTCATTTGCAAAATGGCGCTAATTACAGCTTCTACTTCAGTTTCCTACTTCACTGAGTGAAGATTCGATTAATATTTTAAAAGAACATGTAACAGCTCCTGGCCTAAAATGTTGGTTAAATTTTTAAAAACCCAATTTTCTTGACCCCAAGTCCACTATTCAGCTTTAGCTCCCTCTAGAGCACTCTAGACTTGCTTGTCAGGGTATGGCCTGCAAATGTCTGTAGTGGGTTTCCTGGAAGCCTGGCTTGAGATAGGGTTTCATATGGAAGTACAAGGCAATGCCCTCTGGAGAAATCTTTCAGGAAGTGAGGGAAGCAAGATAGAGTAAGGTATGTGGTTTCAGATGAGGTTATCTCCAGCCTGCTCCCACTCTGCTGAGGAGCTCCGAAGCAGAAACTATACCCTGAGTTTGGCCCTCTTTGCGGCAAGGGGGCTGGGCTTTTGTGCCTCTGTATCTATGAGTCACTGGATACCAACTGCAGAGAATGAGGTGGTGGAGAGGGGCAAGACATTAACAATAGCCCAAGGTCAGTCCTTCAGAGACTTTAGCAGCAAAACAGATAACCACTGGGGAATGGGCACACTGAACCTGGTAAAAGGAATCCCAGTGGACCCATGTAAGGCACCAACAGCTAGACTCCTCCACTGCGGGAATCCGTGGCATTGGCATCACCTTTTGAAACAGAGAAAGTTTCCTTATCCCCCTTGCAGGGCAAGCGATGGGGGTGTGGCTCGCTTCGCTGGTGCCCCCCTGCTCCTACCTCTAGGGGGAGCATGCAGACGGTACGATTGTGGGGAGTGCTGATCCCGCAGCAGCGTCTAGGCTTGAGCGTTTACAGCTCTGGAGGCCCCAGTGAGTGTGTGTTACAGTGCGCGCTTTCAATTTTATCATCTGCCGGTGGCTTGTGTTAGTCAGCTCAATTAGACCCTCTGCCTTATTGCAAGGACAGAGGCCTTTCTGTATCCCACGTTCTTGCCTTAATGTACCAGAAAAATCCGATCACGTGTGGGCTTGGAGAATGAGTGCAAGGTTTTTTATTGAGTGGTGATAGCTCTCAGTGAGGTGGATATGGAGGTCAGAAAGGGAATGGGATGGGAAGGTGGTCTTCCCCTGGAGTCAGACCACCCAGCAATGGGACTCTCCTCCAACCGAATTCTCCTCGGCGTCCATGTTGTTCTGCCCTGGATGGCCTGTCGACGTGTGCCCGTGTGTTCCTCTCGATGTCCAGCTGCTTGTGTGTTCCTCTGCTAGTGTGTCCATCTCGACATCCAGCCGCTTGTGTCTGTGCCCGTTAGGGTCTCGGGTTTTTGTTTTTTTGTGTTTTTTTGAGATGGAGTCTTGCTCTGTCACCAGGCTTGAGTGCAGTGGCACGATCTTGGCTCACTGCAACCTCTGACTCCCAGGTTCAAGCAATTCTTCTGCCTCAGCCTCCCGAGTAGCTGGGACTACAGGCATGTGCCACCACGCCCAGCTAGTTTTTGTATTTTTAGTAGAGAGGGTGTTTCACCATGTTGTCCAGGATGGTCTCAATCTCTTGACCTCGTGATCCGCCTACCTCGGCTTCCCAAAATGCTGGGATTGCAGGCATGAGCCACCACACCCAGCCAAGTCTCGGGGTTTTTATAGGCACAGGATGGGGCATGGTGGGCCAGGGTGGTCTTGGAAAATGCAACATTTGGGCGCAAAATCAGGAGTGCCTGTCCTCACCTAGGTCCAGGGGCACAGGCCTGAGGGTGGAGCCCTAGCCAGGGACCCCACCTTTCTCTACCCAGCACCTCCCTGCCCCCTTCCTGTATCACTTTGAGTTTGTTGGAAACACAATTTCAGGATCCATCCCAGACCTTCTGGGTCAGTCTGGTTTACCAAGATCCCCAGAGGTTTGCTCGTTAAGGATTGAGAAACTCTTTTTCAAAGAACTTTACATAGTGTGTGTGTGTGTGTGTGTGTGTGCGCGTGTGTGTACACACATGCACATGGATAAAAATCTTCAGTATCACAGCCAACTCAAAAAACATTTCTATCAGAAAATACCTCTTATTTCCGTATTCCAGTATTTGGTAAACCACACCTGTAGCATTCCCTTCAACAAAATGGATAAGGAGGCAACAAATATTGTGTCTTAAAAACAACAAATTAGAAAACAAGAACCAGATAACAAGCTTTAACAGGGATCCGTGGCTAAACTTTGCAGAGTTTACCAGAGCTCACTGAACCATATGAGTAGGACGTGGCATGTGCCAGCAAAACACATGCTCTCCAGGGCCTGGGTCTGACCTGGCTTTAGAGTGGTGGTCGATGAGCTTCACAAATATTTGTATTCATTTTATTGGGGGCAGAGCTTCTCCCTGACATGGGGCCAACCGAAAGCTACAAAATGCCCTGGAAAGAAAGATCCAATTTAGAGTTCTGATCAGGGGAATTTTTACAGCCAAAGCAGATGGCCAGTATTTTGGATCATAATGTTTGTAAGGTCTGGCCTAGGGATTTAGAACGGTCATACTAAAAGAGGTGAATTCATAAGTTATCAGTAATTTTTGCCAGGCCTTTATACTTTAATAAGAATTTAGTGGAAAGGTTATTTGTGATATTCTTACTTTTTAACCACCCAGAATGCCTCCAAACTTCCTTTTCCCCCAAGATCCTACATTGCTGACATTTGCATACATCTTATAGTGATAATGCTTTAACTTTGTGCTTCTTATAAACCAGGCATAAACACACAGAAGAGGTGACAAGCGCCCATCCATCTCATTTCTCACTTACTCCCTGGAGAGTAGATTTTCTAGACCCTTTTAGTTTAGACACACCCATGTGACGCCTGGCCAATGAAATGTGAGTGGAAGTAACACATAAACCTTTCTGGACGGACGCATCTAAGAATCGGTGTGCTAGCCCACATCCTCTTTCTCACTGCTGTGGCGACTGAAGCCATCTGTTGATATGATAGTGATTCAAGTTGGAGAGGATCTGGTTCTCTATTTCACAGGACAGAGGGAGTGCCTTCTCACTGACCTGCGCTTGACTTTGCATGAGTGAATAATTTTCTTTGCTGAGCCACTGAGATTCAGTTTGTCTATGGTACAATCTCGCAGTTCCTTACCGTTTATTACAACATTAGCAATCAAGACCATGGAATTTTGTTGGCTAAAATATTAAGATGCCTAAGAGTGGTGGATTTGGAGTCAGAAGACACAGATTCAAGTCTCAGCTCCAGCACTTACCAAGTGTGTGACATTAAGAACACCATTAACAGTCTCTGGACTTAAGTAAAGTTAGATTGAGTTACAAATCTCTAAGATCCCTTCTTCCCCAACTCTAGCATTCTGTGATTCTTTAAAACCCCAAACCATGTTTTCTCTTTTAGACTAAAGCTACTCCCTACACACTTTTATTGGAAATGATTAAGTCATTGCATGTATACATGCAAGTGTATACACTATGCAAATTCTACAAGGATATTCTCTGTAAAGAGTCATGGAATCTGTTGGTGCCTGTAAAAATACAGTATATTTTCTGTGGAGAAAGTTTTATAGTTATATAAGCTATATTTACAAGGCCATGCCTTATATTTGCCTGACTTATTCATCTGCCTGATACACAACGGAGTCTAAAGGAGCCATTATTGTCACATTGAGTGGTCCGCCCAAAAACAAAACTAATATGAAACTGAGCTATTTTTGCTACCACTAAATGGATGACTTTCCATCTAGATTTAACCATATCCAATCTTCAACTTGAATACAGGAGATCAAGGTAGATTGCAGCTGAGAAATGTATTCTCGCTCAAATTTTAGGAGCTATATTGACCCTGACACCTTTGAGCTGCAGGTTGCTACTTAGTAAATTACTTGTATATAGATTGATTTGGGGGTCTTCAAGTCTTCCTCTCCAAATCCTCCTTTTGTTTCCAATGCTATTGCCATGACATTGAGTCTTTCCTCCTCATTCCATACATGCATGCACCACCTTCTCTTTTTACTCTTGCCTTTGATATGTCAGATCTTACACTCTAGAGTTCAGACTGCAACAGACAACAGACTTCTTATTTACCTTTGAAAAACAGACACAAACATTTGACATTGACGTGAAAAAAACAGCCTACTATAGGTTTTAAAACGCTGAGCTCTCGGCCAGGCGCGGTGGCTCACGCCTGTAATCCCAGCACTTTGGGAGGCCAAGGCGGGCAGATCACAAGCTCAGGAGTTCAAGACCAGCCTGGCCAATATGGTGACACCCCATCTCCTATAAAAATACAAAAAAAATAACGGGGCGTGCTGGCGGGTGCCTGTAGTCCCAGCTACTTGGGAGGCTGGGGCAGGAGAATTTCTTGGACCCCAGAGGCAGAGCTTGCAGTGAGCCAAGATCGCGCCACTGCACTCCAGCCTGGGCAACAGAGTGAGACTCCGTCTTAAAAACGCTGAGCTCTGAATACTGATCTGAGGGAAAACTCAGGGGATTGAACTGGGGGAAGGGAGAAATTAGGGTGAGGAGGGGCACGTAGGAATAGTGCAGTGATTATTTCAGATGGTATATTGTTCATGAAATGAATATATCCTCCCAACTTGCTTCATCTTTTCAGAGTTCTTCTGAAAACAGAATGTATTTGGTTAGTGCAAAAGTAAATGTGGTTTTGTCATTACTTTTAAGCAAAAACCGCAATTACTTTTGCACCACCTAATATTTGCTTTCTCATTGTCTATTTATGGTTTGTCCTCTCTGGGGCTGTTCCAGCCACTGCAGCCTCCATCCCTGCTGCTCCTAGATTAATTATCTTGGACCTCCTGTTTCAGTGAGCCGCTAATTCAGAGGGAAGCCCCTTTTGTCCCAACCTTCTCCGGGTTCACAGCTCAAATGCATATTCAGGAGTCCCAGAGAACAAAAAGCACTTCCATCTACAAGGAAATGCAGAGGCAACTGCTTTCTTGCTACAGGGCAGAAAGAAAATAGATTTTTCTCATCCTTTCACAGTGGGTGGAAGTCTGTGAGGACAGACTTTAAAGTAGCAGACAGCACAAAATATTGGTGGAGTTTTGGGGATTTTGTTTTTTTGCATTTGGTCCTTTTTTTGTGTGTGTTTCGGAACTCGATTGGAAATCTAGGTACTTCTAAGTTGTTCTTTATCAAGTTTGGATCAATAATAGCTACTGTTGTAAAAGGGAACATTTTCCCTAAAAACTCATGCTAAAAGGAACATTACATTTAGTTGTGTGTTCTACAGTAATTTACTCTCCTATAGTCTCTGAAGTCCTTGTAATCTTTAGAGCTAAACTTCAATCTTATTTTTATTCTTTGGCTTCAAGCACACATTTGTTGTTATTGAACCCCCTGATTTTGTCTTTCCCCATATTCAACAGACTTTGAAATTGTCTATCTCTGCAGCTTTCTATTGCCATCAGTCCTCTAGAGTTTGTTGTCTTCCTTCCTTCCTTTTTTGGAAACATTTCAATGTATCTCTTCTTTTAAATATTGTTTTGTTCTATGCCCCTTTCCTGTCTAACCCTATTTCCAAGTTCTTATTTATTCTTTGCCTTTTTCTTTCCAATTTCTCTCAGAATCCAAACCAAATCTTGCTTTTATCCCACTGTTAGTTGTTACGAATTATATTATAGTGTAGAATAACAAAATATTTGACTCATTTGTTTACCAAGAAATTTAAGTGTATGTGATTCTTGTAAGGATAACATTCCTCCTGTGTGCTGGTAGCATAAGGAAGATAAAATTCCATCAAACCAAACTCACCATAATCTTATTCTTCATGAAATATCACTAATTTATCTTGATAGCAAATTAAAGATGACCAAAAATGTTTGATCTCCCATTTAGAAATGGGATCTCCTCCTGAATTGGGATGGACTGTGACTTCTTTGACCCATAAAATTTGGTAGAAGTTTGACTGTGCTCAACCAATAGTTTGACAGCATGAGGGCTCAGGCCTAAGAGACTGACAGCTCTGCATCCTCTCTGTTGGGACACTCACTCTTAAAGCCCTAAGTCACGGCGAAAAAAAGTCCAACTCCACTTGATGGTGCTGGAGAAGCCATGTGTAGATGTTCCACTCAGTCGCCCCAGCTGAGCCCAGCCTTCTATGCAAGGCTCCAAACACACAAGTGAAGCTATCATGAGCTCCAGACCAGTCCATCCGTCAGCTGAATACCACCCAGGAACTTCCAGTTAATGCCATAGGGGGCAGAGGAAGCACCCTGTCAAGCCATACCCAAATTTCTGACCCACAGAATTCTGGAACATAATAAAATGGTTGTTTTGAGACATTATGTTTTGGAGTAATTTGTTACCTAGCCGTTTATAACTATCATACCTTTCTTTAATGCCACCAAACTTGACCATGAACTGGTGGGCCTAGAGGTACTCTTGAAGGAACATAGTTTTTCCCTTGGGCCAACATGGAGCCAGAGAAGAAGTTGACCGTACTTCTTCCTGGTCACTTGAGCAAAAAGATCATATCCTACTTGGCCTGAGGCTACTCTAGGTGATTTGAACCTCAATCTGCCATGTCATTGTGTGAGAGATTTACATTTATTTTTACCCAAACAACTTCTTTAAGCTTTTATTCCACTTGCACAGTGATCATGGAATCCTTCCCTTACCCTGGGATCAGCGAACTATGACCTATGGGCTGCCTGTTTTTTTAAGGTCCTCCAAGCTTAGAATGTTGTTGTTATTGTTTTACATTTTTAAGCTGTTGTTTTAAAAAAGAAAGAAAGAAAACTATGCAGCAGAGACAATATGTGGCCTGCAAAGTATAAAATATGTGCTATCTGACTCGTTACAGAAACAAGTTGCTAACCTTTGGTAATACCATGGGTATTGAGAATGATACGTTGAAGAGTGTGATGGTGAATATTTAGTGTCAACTGGACTGGATTGAAGGATGCAAAGTATTGTTCCTGGATGTATCTGTGAGGGTGTTGCCAAAGGAAATTAACATTTGAGTCAGTGGACTGGGAGAGGCAGACCCACTCTCAATCTGTGTGGGCACCATCTAATCAGCTGCCAGCCTGGCTAGAATAAAGCAGGCAGGAGAAGCTGGAGAGCAGACTTGCTGAGTCTTCTGGTCTCCATCTTTCTCCCATGCTGGAAGCTTCCTGCCCTCGTACATCAGACTCTAAGCTCTTCAGTTTTTGGACTCTTGGACTTAAACAAGTTTTGGCAGGGGCTTTCGGGCCTTTGGCCACAGACTAAAGGCTGCACTGTCGGCTTTCCTGCTTTTGAGGTTTTGGACCTTGGATTGATCCACCACTGGCTTCCTTTCTCCTCAACTTGCACATGGCCTATTTTGGACTCTACCTTGTGATTGTGTGAGTCAATTCTCCTTAATAAACTCCCTTTCATGTATACATCTATCCTATTAGTTCTGTCCCTCTAGAGAACCCTGACTACTACAAAGAAGCTCTGGATTCTGTTATGCCCCTTTGAAAACTATTGGTTATTTTTGTAAGCAGCAAGTTAACTTTGCTGAACACAAAACTGCAAACTATTTCTCCCCTGCTGTGAACAGCAGCTGGACTCTTAGTACAGTTCATTTAGCCTTAGCTGGATTTCTGGGCATCTGACCCATGCGTATATGACTCGGGACCAGCCACAGATTAGGACAGAATTTATACACAAAATTTGCAGCTCCCTCTCTGTGGCTCTCTCCTTCCTACTATATACCACACTCTTACCCCCAACCCTGCCATTTTCCAGCTGCCACAATCTGCTTGGACCCTGACATCTGATTTTTCAAGCTAGTATAACTGCACGTATTCTGAGTTTGAGTTGCCCTACATAGTAGACTAGAGACTGCCCTCAGACAAAAAAAAAAAATCTAAAAATATGGGAAACTTGCCAAGTACCATTCCCTTTTTTCGAGTGTCAACTCCAATGCAGTATTTGCTTTCTTCTGATTTTTATCCCATGCCTTTAGATAGTTGTTTTGTTGCATTTTGTCTAGAGTTTATAGTTGTTATCACCAGGAATGCTGGTCAAATTAAAAATACTCAAAAAATGCCCAAAACAGAACCCTCCCACTCTTTTTATAATTCTTCAGTTACTCATATATGTTCCATTCATTGGAGAGCCCTTTACGAGGCTGTATTTTGTTCATCTGTATTTATGATGCCAAGAGTCTTGCCACTCACTCTGTGATCCCTGGACTAGAAGCACTGGCTTCACCTGGGAGCTTATTAGAAATGCAAAGTCTCAGGCTCCATCCGAGAACTACTAAACCAGAATCTGTGCTATAACAATGTCCCAGGTGATATCTTTGCACATTAAAATTTCATAAGCACAGACACAGGGCACACTAAGGGCCACATCATGGCCACTTTGAAAATGTTTATTATAAAAGTAAATAAATTCCTCAGCTCAACATCTTTTTTCATTTTTTATAGTTTTATTAAGGTATTATTGACATGCAATAAATTACACATACCTGAAGTATAAAGCTTAGAGATTTTTGACATGTTTGTTCTGTGAAACCATCAAGTAATCAAAATAATAAGCATTTGTATACGTCCAAAAGTTTACATTTAATCTTTGTTATCTTTCTGTCCCATTGCACATCCCGTTCCAGGCAACTACTGATCTGCTTTCTGAGATTGTGTATTAGTTTCCATTTCATAGATGTTGATATGAATTTAATTGTGTAGTATACACTCTTTTCTGTCTGGCTTCTTTTATTCAGCATAGACATTTAAGATTCATCTTGTAGTAGTATATTTCAATGGTAAACTTTTATCGTTGTGTGGTATTTCATTATGGGGATACATCACAGTTTGTTTTATCCGTCCACCAGTTGATGGACATTCAGGTTGTTTCTAGTTTTTGACTTTTGCAAGAAAAACTGCTGTAAGTTTTTGTCTGAATATGTGGTATATCTAGGAATAGAATTCACTGGGTCATACAGTAAGTCTATGTTCAACTACTTACAAGCTGCCCAGTTGTTTTCAAAAGTGGTTGTATCATCATACGTGTCCACCAACACTGTATGAGAGTTGGGTAGAAGAATAACTTTTTCTCAAATCATAATCAAGAATTAGTACCTGGCTCCTCAGGGAATAGACATTAAAATCCTGGATAATAGTTCCTTGAGGACCTTTTGTCTTCTTTAAAAAATCATGTGCGGCCGGGCGTGGTGGCTCACGCCTATAATCCCAGCGCTTTAGGGGGCTGAGGCAGGCAGACTGCCTGAGGTCAGGAGCTCGAGACCAGCCTGGCTAACATGATGAAATCCCATCTCTACTAAAAATATAAAAATTAGCCAGGCGGGGTGGCGCACACCTGTAGTTCCAGCTACTCCAGAGGCTGAGGCAGGAGAATCGCTTGAATCCAGGAGGTGGAGGTTGCAGTGAGCCGAGATCATGCCACTGCACTCCAGCCTGGGTGACAGAGCAAGGCTCCATCTCCAAAAAAAAAAAAAAAAAAGCTAAATATACCAAGCAAGGTCTCCTGGAATGAAAGTTTTTTGATTCCAAAGAAAAATAAAAAATACATTTTGAATAAATTAAATAATTTGCTAATTATTTTGGAGATTGTTGACTAAGCCATGGAAATGCCTCTTCTGAACGGCTCATATCTTCTGAGGATCTCAGGTCACCATTTATGACTAAGTAAGGCATGCTTGCATTAAGAAATCATTTCCCTTTCAGATTTCAACGTCAACATCTAATTCCAATATGTCTTCCTCATCAGAAAACCCTTCCTAAACAGGTGAGAAATTTTGATTGGTAAATATGGGTGTAAACAATAAAGCAGAACTAATTTAAAGTTCTGTCTAAACACGGAAAATGTGACCAATGCCGGCCACTTTGTTTAGAGTGGTGCCAAGATCGTGTGTGGTTATAATTGAAATGAGAAACTTTATGGATCAATTTTTCCATCTACTTTTCTAAAAAGCTTTTCCCCCAACCTCTAGGCTGGAGATGAAAATCTCTCTCAAAAAAGAATCTTCCACCCCCACTCAATGCATAAATTCACCCAGATAAAAGCATTCTTCTTCATTGGCAAGCAAAGCTGATGATAATTATGGTCTCTGGCAAAGCAAACCCTGTCATAAAAATATTTCTGATATATGTTTATAGTTTAGGAAACTACAAAATAATTTGCAAATATAGAACACAGAAAAAGCTTGACACAAACCAGTTGAGTATACTCCCTTTACATTTAAAAATGATCCTACCCAGTTAAAATTTTCTTCACTGGCCTTCATCTAATGGTATCCTTGATGTGATTTTATGTGTTGCCTTCTTTAAAGGAAAATTATAATTTAGGAGCATCCAAATGAAAAGCCATGGCAGTGAACAAAAAGAACCAACAAATAGTGAAAAGTTACAGAGAAAGCAGACAAAAGAGACTTATCAGGAAGAATTTGTAAAATATATACAAAGAAGCAACAAAAACATGTTTCTGCATCTGAACCTTGCTCACTGTTTGGCCCACGAACAAGACGACAATGTCAAAATTCTTACCCATAATGAAATTAATTAGTCTGACATTCCTCCCTTTCAAAGTGATCTGTAATTCCTATTACTACATAGTAGGGATAAGCTAAAGTACTTATCTTTTTTTTTCCTGGGCATATAATGTTATTATGTAAGAATGATTTGTAAAAATGATGCTTCTAAATAAGAATGGAACAATACTTTTTTTGTTTGTTTTTTGTTTTTTGTTTTTGTTTTTAATTTTATTATTATTATACTTTAAGTTTTAGGGTACATGTGCACAACGTGCAGGTTTGTTACATATGTATACATGTGCCATGTTGGTGTGCTGCACCCATTAACTCGTCATTTAGCACTAGGTATATCTCCTAATGCTATCCCTCCCCCCTCCCCCCACCCCACAACAGTCCCCAGTGTGTGATGTTCCCCCTCCTGTGTCCATGTGTTCTCATTGTTCAATTCCCACCTATGAGTGAGAACATGAGGTGTTTGGTTTTTTGTTCTTGCGATAGTTTACTGAGAATGATGATTTCCAATTTCATCCATGTCCCTACAAAGGACATGAACTCATCATTTTTTGTGGCTGCATAGTATTCCATGGTGTATATGTGCCACATTTTCTTAATCCAGTCTATCATTGTTGGACATTTGGGTTGGTTCCAAGTCTTTGCTATTATGAATAATGCCACAATAAACATACGTGTGCATGTGTCTTTATAGCAGCACGATTTATAGTCCTTTGGGTATATACCCAGTAATTGGATGGCTGGGTCAAATGGTATTTCTAGTTCTAGATCCCTGAGGAATCGCCACACTGACTTCCACAAGGGTTGAACTAGTTTACAGTCCCACCAACAGTGTAAAAGTGTTCCTATTTCTCCACATCCTCTCCAGCACCTGTTGTTTCCTGACTTTTTAATGATTGCCATTCTAACTGGTGTGAGATGGTATCTCATTGTGGTTTTGATTTGCATTTCTCTGATGGCCAGTGATGGTGAGCATTTTTTCATGTGTTTTTTTGGCTGCATAAATGTCTTCTTTTGAGAAGTGTCTGTTCATGTTCTTCGCCCACTTTTTGATGGGGTTGTTTGTTTTTTTCTTGTAAATCTGTTTGAGTTCATTGTAGATTCTGGGTATTAGCCCTTTGTCAGATGAGTAGGTTGTGAAAATTTTCTCCCATTTTGTAGGTTGCCTGTTCACTCTGATGGTAGTTTCTTTTGCTGTGCAGAAGCTCTTTAGTTTAATTAGATCCCATTTGTCAATTTTGGCTATTGTTGCCATTGCTTTTGGTGTTTTAGACATGAAGTCCTTGCCCATGCCTATGTCCTGAATGGTGTTGCCTAGGTTTTCTTCTAGGGATTTTATGGTTTTAGGTCTAACATTTAAGTCTTTAATCCATCTTGAATTAATTTTTGTATAAGGTGTGAGGAAGGGATCCAGTTTCAGCTTTCTACATATGGCTAGCCAGTTTTCCCAGCACCATTTATTAAATAGGGAATCCTTTCCCCATTTCTTGTTTTTGTCAGGTTTGTCAAAGATCAGAGAGTTGTAGATATCCAGCATTATTTCTGAGGGCCCTGTTCTGTTCCATTGGTCTATATCTCTGTTTTCGTACCAGTACCATGCTGTTTTGGTTACTGTAGCCTTGTAGTATAGTTTGAAGTCAACTAGTGTGATGCCTCCAGCTTTGTTCTTTTGCCTTAGGATTGACTTGGCGATGCAGGCTCTTTTTGGGTTCCATATGAACTTTAAAGTAGTTTTTTCCAATTCTGTGAAGAAAGTCATTGGTAGCTTGATGGGGATTGCATTGAATCTATAAATTACCTTGGGCAGTATGGCCATTTTCACGATATTGATTCTTCCTACCCATGAGCATGGAATGTTCTTCCATTTGTTTGTATCCTCTTTTATTTCATTGAGCAGTGGTTTGTAGTTCTCCTTGAAGAGGTCCTTCACGTCCCTTGTAAGCTGGATTCCTAGGTATTCTCTTTGAAGCAATTGTGAATGGGAGTTCACTCATGATTTGGCTCTCTGTTTGTCTGTTTTTGGTGTATAACAATGATTTTGATTTTTGCACATTGATTTTGTATCCTGAGACTTTGCTGAAGTTCCTTATCAGCTTAAGGAGATTTTGGGCTGAGACGATGGGGTTTTCTAGATATACAATCATGTCATCTGCAAACAGGGACAATTTGACTTCCTCTTTTCCTAATTGAATACCCTTTATTTCCTTCTCCTGCCTGATTGCCCTGGCTAGAACTTTCAACGCTATGTTGAATAGGAGTGGTGAGACAGGGCATCCCTGTCTTGTGCCAGTTTTCAAAGGCAATGCTTCCAGTTTTTTCCCATTCAGTATGATATTGGCTGTGGGTTTGTCATAGATAGATCTTATTATTTTGAGATACGTCCCATCAAAACCTAATTTATTGAGAGTTTTTAGCATGAAGAGTTGTTGAATTTTGTCAAAGGCCTTTTCTGCATCTATTGAGATAATCATGTGGTTTTTGTCTTTGGTTCTGTTTATATGCTGGGTTACATTTATTGATTTGCGTATGTTGAACCATCCTTGCATCCCAGGGATGAAGCCCACTTGATCATGGTGGATAAGCTTTTTGATGTGCTGCTGGATTCAGTTTGCCAGTATTTTATTGAGGATTTTTGCATCAATGTTCATCAGGGATATTGGTCTAAAATTCTCTTTTTTTGTTGTGTCTCTGCCAGGCTTTGGTATCAGGATGATGCTGGCCTCATAAAATGAGTTAGGAAGGATTCCCTCTTTTTCTATTGATTGGAATAGTTTCAGAAGGAATGGTACCAGCTCCTCCTTGTACCTCAGGTAGAATTCCGCTGTGAATCCATCGGTCCTGGACTTTTTTTGGTTGGTAAGCTATTGATTATTGACTCAATTTCAGAGCCTGTTATTGGTCTATTCAGAGATTCAACTTTTTCCTGGTTTAGTCTTGGGAGGATGTATGTGTCGAGGAATTTATCCATTTCTTCTAGATTTTCTAGTTTATTTGCGTAGAGGTGTTTATAGTATTCTCTGATGGTAGTTTGTATTTCTGTGGGATCATTGGTGATATCCCCTTTATCATTTTTTATTGCCCCTATTTGATTCTTCTCTCTTTTCTTCTTTATTAGTCTTGCTAGTGGTCTATCAATCTTGTTGATCTTTTCAAAAAACCAGCTCCTAGATTCATTAATTTTTTGAAGGGTTTTTTGTGTCTCTATGTCCTTCAGTTCTGCTCTGATCTTAGTTATTTCTTGCCTTCTGCTAGCTTTTGAGTGTGTTTGCTCTTGCTTTTCTAGTTCTTTGAATTGTGATGTTAGGGTGTCAATTTTAGATCTTTCCTGCTTTCTCTTGTAGGCATTTAGTGCTATAAATTTCCCTCTACACACTGCTTTGAATGTGTCCCAGAGATTCTGGTATGTTGTGTCTTTGTTCTCGTTGGTTTCAAAGAACATCTTTATTTCTGCCTTCATTTTGTTATGTACCCAGTAGTCATTCAGGAGCAGGTTGTTCAGTTCCCACGTAGTTGAGCAGTTTTGAGTGAGTTTCTTAATCCTGAGTTCTAGCTTGATTGCACTGTGGTCCGAGAGACAGTTTGTTATTATTTCTGTTCTTTCATATTTGCTGAGGAGTGCTTTACTTCCAACTATATGGTCAATTTTGGAATATGTGTGGTGTGGTGCTGAAAAGAATGTATATTCTGTTGATTTGGGGTGGAGAGTTCTGTAGATGTCTATTAGGTCCGCTTGGTCCAGAGCTGAGTTCAATTCCTGGGTATCCTTGCTAACTTTCTCTCGCGTTGATTTGTCTAATGTTGACAGTGGGGTGTTAAAGTCTCCCATTATTATTGTGTGGGAGTCTAAGTCTCTTTGTAGGTCACTAAGGACTTACTTTATGAATCTGGGTGCTTCTGTGTTGGGTGCGTATATATTTAGGATAGTTAGCTCTTCTTGTTGAATTGATCCCTTTACCATTATGTAATGGCCTTCTTTGTCTCTTTTGATCTTTGTTGGTTTAAAGTCTGTTTCATTAGAGACTAGGATTGCAACCCCTGCCTTTTTCTGTTTTCCATTTGCTTGGTAGATCTTCCTCCATCCCTTTATTTTGAGCCTATGTGTGTCTCTGCACATGAGATGGGTTTCCTGAATACAGCACATGGATGGGTCTTCACTCTTGATCCAATTTGCCAGTCTGTGTCTTTTAATTGGAGCATTTAGCCCATTTACATTCAAAGTTAATATCGTTATCTGTGAATTCGATCCTGTCATTATGATGTCAGCTGGGTATTTTGCTCATTAGTTGATGCAGTTTCTTCGTAGCCTTGATGGTCTTTACAATTTGGCATGTTTTTGCAGTGGCTGGTACCAGTTGTTCCTTTTCATGTTTAGTGCTTCCTTCAGGAGGTCTTGTAGGGCAGGCCTGGTGGTGACAAAATCTCTCAGCATTTGCTTGTCTGTAAAGGATTTTATTTCTCCTTCACTTATGAAGCTTAGTTTGGCTGGATGTGAAATTCTGGGTTGAAAATTCTTTTCTTTAACAATGTTGAATATTGGCCCCCACTCTCTTCTGGCTTGTAGAGTTTCTGCCGAGAGATCAGCTGTTAGTCTGATGGGCTTCCCTTTGTGGGTAACCCGACCTTTCTCTCTGGCTGCCCTTAATATTTTTTTCCTTCATCTGAACTTTGGTGAATCTGACAATTATGTGTCTTGGAGTTGTTCTTCTCGAGGAGTATCTTTGTGGCGTTCTCTGTATTTCCTGAATTTGAAAGTTGGCCTGCCTTGCTGGGTTGGGGAAGTTCTCCTGGATAATATGCTGCAGAGTGTTTTCCAACTTGGTTCCATTCTCCCTGTCACTTTCAGGTACACAAATCAGATGTAGATTTGGTCTTTTCACATAGTCCCATGTTTCTTGGAGGCTTTGTTCGTTCTTTTTATTCTTTTTTCTCTAAACTTCTCTTCTCACTTCATTTCATTCATTTCGTCTTCTATCACTGTTACCCTTTCTTCCAGTTGATCGCATAGGCTACTGAGGCTTCCGCATTCGTCACTTAGTTCTCTTGCCTTGGTTTTCAGCTCCATCAGGTCCTTTAAGGACTTCTCTGCATTGGTTATTCTAGTTATCCATTCGTCTAATTTTTTTTCAAAGTTTTTAACTTCTTTGCCATTGGTTCGAACTTCCTCCTGTAGCTCAGAGTAGTTTGATCGTCTGAAGCCTTCTTCTCTCAACTCCTCAAAGTCATTCTCCGTCCAGCTTTGTTCCATTGCTGGTGAGGAGCTGCGTTCCTTTGGAGGAGGAGAGGTGCTCTGATTTTTAGAGTTTCCAGTTTTTCTGCTCTGTTTTTACCCCATCTTTGTGGTTTTATCTACCTTTGGTCTTTGATGATGGTGATGTACAGATGGGTTTTTGGTGTGGATGTCCTTCCCGTTTGTTAGTTTTCCTTCTAACAAACAGGACCCTCAGCTGCAGGTCTGTTGGAGTTTGCTAGAGGTCCACTCCAGACCCTGTTTGCCTGGGTATCAGCAGCAGTGGCTACAGAATAGCGGACGTTGGTGAACTGCAAATGCTGCTGCCTGATCGTTCCTCTGGAAGTTTTGTCTCAGAGGAGTACCCGGCCGTGTGAGGTGTCATTCCGCCCCTACTGGGGGTTGCCTCCCAGTTAGGCTACTCGGGGGTCAGGGACCCACTTGAGGAGGCAGTCTGCCCATTCTCAGATCTCAAGCTGCATGCTGGGAGAACCACTACTCTCTTCAAAGCTGTCAGACAGGGACATTTAAGTCTGCAGAGTTTACTGCTGCCTTTTTGTTTGTCTGTGTCCTGCCCCCAGAGGTGGAGCCTACAGAGGCAAGCAGGCCTCCTTGAGCTGTGGTGGGCTCCACCCAGTTTGAGCTTCCCGGCAGCTTTGTTTACCTAATCAAGTCTGGGCAATGGCAGGCGCCCCTCCCCCAGCCTCGCTGCCACCTTGCAGTTTGATCTCAGACTGCTGTGCTAGCAACGAATGAGATTCAGTGGGCGTAGGACCCTCTGAGCCAGGTGAGGGATGTAATCTCCTGGTGTGCCGCTTTTTAAGCCAATTGGGAAAGCGCAGTATTAGGGTGGGAGTGACCCGATTTTCCAAGTGGTGTCTGTCACTCATTTCTTTGACTAGGAAAGGGAATTCCCTGACCCCTTGCGCTTCCCGGGTGAGGCGATGCCTCGCCCTGCTTTGGCTTGCGCACGGTGCACTGCACCCACTGTCCTGCATCCACAGTCTGGCAACCCCAGTGAGATGAACCCGGTACCTCAGTTGGAAATGCAGAAATCACCCATCTTCTGCGTCGCTCACACTGGGAGCTGTAGACCGGAGCTGTTCCTATTTGGCCATCTTGGCTCCTCTGGAACAACACATTTAATAATAAACTCTGTTCAAGATAAAAAAAATGTCATTTCCATTTGAATGTCAAAGTAAATTCCTTTCTTAATAAATATTTGAAATAGGTATCAATATTTGCAATCAGCTAATACTTAGTAGCCATGAATTCTCAAATTCTAGAAAAGGAGAAGCAATGGAATGACAACAGAAATGAAGAAATAAGTTATCGACATTAAAATGGACAGTTTTCAGTTTTTAATCAAAGTGGGCATTAGGATTGGCCAAGAATATAACTTTTAGCTAATTGCACTAATTTGTTGGAAGTTTCAGCCAGATCCCAGTGGACTGAGGGCACAGAATCCCTTCCCCTTGACTTTCAGTGGGCTCACTGCTAATGGAGACTGGGGGTCCATTTCTGTGGATTTTCTGTTATTGAAAGATCATGAGTTAGGAGCATGAGTTCTAGGGTCAGACAGTTTAAACTGGCTCCACCGTCTATTAACGATGTGACCTTCTGCAATGTAATGAACTATTGGTTGTTTGTTTAAGACAAGGTCTTTCTCTATCACCCAGAGAATTGATAATTGAGTACAGTGGCATAATTATAGCTCACTATAACCTCAAACTCCTGGGTTCAAACAATCCTCCTGCCTTAGCCTCCTGAGTACGATGTAGTGAACTCTTAAACCTCCATTTATCTTTAGAATGGGGAGGAGTTATAATCTCCCTTATCTCATAGGACTGTTGAAAGAATTCAATGAGACAATTCATGGAATGTCGTTATTATATTATTATAGTGCTTGACACGAGTCAGCACTCTATGAGTGGTTTCTCCTCCTCCTCCTTCTCCTCTGTCTCATCCTCCTCCCTCTGCTCTTGCCATAAGATTTTCAGAATGTAAAATCTGTTCAGTGGGTGGTAAGTGATATGGAGGTAGGAATAATTTCATACTAGATGCCAGCCTTAATTCTAGAATAATGTCTAGAGCAGCATTGTCCAACAGACTCCCTGTGATGATGGAAATGTTCTAATCTGGGTTGCCCAATATGGTAGCCACTAACCACATGTGGCTAAGGAGCACTTGAAGTGTGGCTAGTGCAACTGAAGAGCTACATTTTAAATTTTATGAATTTAATTAATTTAAATATAAATGCAACTAGCTACATGTAGCTAGTGGCTACCATATTGGACAACGTAAATCTAGAGCAAGAATCACAAGCTCCGGTGCATGACAAGAGAAGACAAGTAGCATAAATACATGCAATGTGTTCAGTAGATAATAGAGCCCGTGGGACTTGTGTAAGTTACACACACACATCTTGTCTAAGGGAGTCAGCTGTTCTTAGCCTCAGCCAGTGCTGCTAGGTAGGTATAGGTCCAGTTTTCTAATGTTTGAGAAGCAGCTAGAAATGCATGTTTTCATGCAAGGTTTCCCTATTCTTTCAAGTATCAAATAACTAAAAAAAATTTGGAACACAGTGCAGGTCAAACAAAATATATTTACTAACCAAACGTAGGCCGCAGAACATCAGCATGCATCCTTTATTTTGGAACCTTCCCCTGAAATCACGGAAAAGTCTTCAAATTAGACTGTCCTAGGGAAAAGCAGGGAGCATCAATCTTGTTACACATGAGGCCAGATTTGGGAACTGCATTAATATTGACCTCACTGCCTACAGCAAACCTTCAGAAGCTATCTCAGTCCTGGGACCTCCTGAAATCAGCTAGTCTTAGAAGAATCTTGCAAAGACATTAGTGCTTCCTGGTCCAGGTAATCCCCAACAGTGAGTGTCTGCTGATGTCAGCATGTCCCCCAAAGAGGAGAGTGACAGGGACAGTAACTAGGTCAGACCTCCATTTTGGAAATCCTTAGGACTTGAAGGCAACTAACTCCCAATTGATGGAAAAATAAAAAAGATTTGTCTTGTTTTAAACATGAAGCTAACTGGAAACTATTAAGCTACCAGAGTTCCCGCCAGTGTATTTACTCGTTCCTTCATTGATTAAACACATATTTTTTTAAGCAGCCCTTCTGAATCACCAGAGCCATCTCCGAGCCCACCACATGGATCTGAATGGTCACAGAGTCAGCTTTCAGCCTGGTTTTCCTGGAGGAACTAGATACAAAGGCAACAGAGCACCGAGGCTAAGAACATTATCTTTGGCCTCAAACAGGCCTGAGATTCAGATTGCACATGTACTATCTATGTGGCCTTAAGCGAGAGACATCTTTACTTCTTAGTCACTCATCTACAAATAGGGAAAACTAAGAGTGCCTTCCTTATAAATTAGTGAGTAGATTAAATGAGAAAATTGTGTAAAGGGCTTAGCATAACCATAAGAAGCCCTCAATAAAGAAGACATTTCCAGTTAATAGACTAGTCTCTGCTCCACACAGTTGCATACTAAGGGCAGGCTGTGATGGGGGTTATCTGCCCCAGCCAGGAGGGGTATTTTTTCAGTGACTTTATTTAGAATTGCTGGTGTAGGTTGGTCCCCCTTGGAATCATCAGTCTGTTGTGTATATACTGGTGAGTTGAATATAGGTGTCATGCAAACGTAGACTAAGAACTTAGGACATAAGGTGACCAGCGTGTACCAGTATGCCTGAGACTTTCTCACATCGAGCACTGAGAGTCCCGTGTTCCCTCAGTCCTGTGCAATGGGGACAGTTGGTTACCCTGGACCTGTCATGCATTAAGTAAAGATGGTGGGGAAGATAAGAAGCCTGGGTTCAAACACCAAGAGTTTGAATGTCATTTGTATAACAACAAAGGAGAAAGAACTACTCACTAAATGTGTGCATGCATGTGCGCACACGTGCACACACACAGATACATAAGTTTCAGAGCTTGGCTCACATAGGCTTCGCCAGATCCCCTGCCTTTAGCCTCACACAAATGTCTGTCTCTACCCACTGATCACCTCCATATGCGCAGACTCATTTGGCTGAGCCTGGGAGTAGTGAGTTAGCAACCATCTCCTCATGCCCTTTCTTGTCTCATGTGTTTTGATGTGCCTGCTAAGGGAATGTTCAACACGTTCTCAAGGAGGCCACACAGACATGCCGCCTGAGCCAAACTGATCATTGCATAATTGTTAATAGGCCTTTTGTATTCACATTCTATTTAGATTATTGTATGGAGCAGGTGACAGGTGTTTGGAGAACATTACCCAAGCTGCCTGTTGCCGAGAACATCCTGAGACCAGCTGGGGCGAGGAGCCCAGAAGAAATCCCCATAGTAATTTAATAGTTCGCAGGGCTGTGTGTTTGTGAGGATTACAATGAAGAATTAAAGTGATATTGACCACCCACTGAAGAAGGGCCTTTGTGCTTTTCCCTTGATATTTCTACACTTGTTATTTTGTTCCCAAGGAAATTGCTACAGGGTGACCAAAAGCAAAAAAAAAATTTTTTTTTTTTTTTTTTTTTTGCAAAGGATGTACACTGTCACTTAACAGGAGGAACAGAAATCTTGTATTAATGTAAGTGAGAAGCCTGCTTTGAAATACCCAGCTTAGGGTATAACAGTTTAGGGGTGATGAGGATTGCTAACTATTTTTTTTCAAAGGATTTGTACCAGAGCCAGATATTTAAGGAAAATCGTAGAATGTGACTTTCAGAATTAGAAGTGGATTCTGAAACAGAAGTAGGAGGAACATTTCACTTGATTTCTCACAACTCATACTCTGGGTTCACAGACACCTTTTTCAAAGTTGATGGAGCCACTACCTGGCTCTGCATTCTACAGTTTAGTTTCAATTGGCCTCCCCTGCTTTCACAGGCAGTTTGGTTACTTAGAGCAAGTTTGGGTCAGAATTTATTCATTGGCTCATTCCACAAACATTCATCAAGTGTGCCAACTATATTAAATCCACTCTGTGAGACACAGTTCATTCAATATTCATCTCAGAGATGCTTCTGCAGCATCGGCTGTGTGACACACCCTCACCAAGCCAAGCACTGGAGACACAGTCTGCACTTGGAGCTTACGTTCAATGCGGCTCATGGAAACTTCTGATGATACTTGCTTTGGAGAAAAATTAAGTCAAGTAAAGAAAGGGGGCCGGGTGCGGTCGCTCACGCATGAAATCCCAGCACTTTGGGAGGCCGAGGTGGGCGAATCATGAGGTCAGGAGATTGAGACCATCCTGGCTAATACGGTGAAACCCCGTCTCTACTAAAAATATGAAAACAGAATTAGTGGGGCGTGGTGGCAGGAGCCTGTAGTCCCAGCTACTTGGGAGGCTGAGGCAGGAGAAAGGCGTGAACCCAGGAGGCGGAGCTTGCAGTGAGCCAAGATTGCACCACCTCACTCCAGCCTGGGCAACAGAGCAAGACTCTGTCTCAAAACAAAACAAAACAAAAACAAACAAAAAACAAAAAGGGTAGGAAGTGCTGGAGTAGGGAAATAGAAGGTAATATTTGAGCAAAAACTTGAAAAAGGTGAGTGAACTAGCTAAGTGGATATTTGGGTGGCGGAAATGTTCCTGACAGGGCAAAAAACCTGTGCAAAGGCCCCAGGGCAGAGAATACCGGCATGTTTGAAGCCATTGTGAGGACTTCAGCTTCACTCTAAGTGGAAAACCTTCATGGGGTTTGGACAAAGGAGTAGTGTGATCCAAGTGAGGTTTTAACAGGATCACCTCAGGGTGCTCCTTGAGAAATAACACAAGGGGAGAAAGACATATTCCACCCCTCAACAGGCAGAAACGGACATTTGTAACATTTTATTTTAAATGAGGCAGAAAGAAATAACAATGAAATAATAGAAAGCCTGCTGAGGAAAGGATGGTTAATTTCAAACATGAAGGACACCTTCTTGGAGGAGGTGACTATTTTTTCCTTCTCATTCTTTAAGTCCTCACTTCCTCTCTCTCTTCCTTCTTCCCTCTCGCCATCTTCCCATATGTCTTTCAAACATTCTCCAAAGTAGATAGGTATGTCGGTCTATCTACTTTTGTGAATGTTTGAAATTTTCTCCAATAAAATGTTTTTAAAACTCATTAGGTCATTCTCATGAAAAACTGCAATCCATAACATTAAAGGCTTGGCATGTTTTAGAAATTATACTTCTGAAAGCCTTTTTGTGGGGATCAATCTCTGAATGCAGTGGTTCATAAGAGCAAACATTTCAGGAAATAACCATTTTAAATACAGTCATGAGCCGTATGATGATGTTTCAGTTAGCAACAGAGCACATATACAGAAATGGTCATCTAGAAAACTAAGATCAATTTACTGTTGAAGAAAGAAAAAATATTTTTAATAAATCTAGAGTAACCTAAGTGTACAGTGCTTGTAAAGTCTACAGTAGTGTGCAGTAATGTCCTAAGCCTTCGCATTCACTCACAACTCACTGACTCACCCAGGGCAACTTCTTTTTTTTTTTTCTCAATTTTTAAAAAATTATACTTTAAGTTCTGGGATACATGTGCAGAACATGCAGGTTTGTTACATAGGTGCACACATGCCATGATGGTTTGCTGCATCCATCAACCCGTCATCTACATTAGGTATTTCTTCTAATGCGATCCCTCCCCTAGCCCCCACACTCCCCGACAGGCCCTAGTGTGTGATGTTCCCCTCACCCAGGGCAACTTGTAATCCTGCAAGCTCCATTCATGATAAGTGCCTTATAGAGCTGTATCATTGTTTATCTTTTATACTGCATTTTTACTGTACCTTTTCTACATTTAGGTATGTCTAGATACACAAATACTATTGTATTACAATTGCCTCTAGTATTCAGGACTGTTATATGCTGTACAGGTCTGTAGCCTAGGAGCAATAGGCTATACTACATAGCTTAGGTGTGTAGTAGACCATCTAGGTTTGTGTAAATACACTCTGTGATGTTTGCACAATGACAAAATGACCTAATGATGCATTTCAGAATGCATACCTCAGAACATACCCCCATCATTAAGCAACACATGGATGTATATAAACAGGATCGTGCATGTTTTTCTCTGTCTCTTGATTTAACTTAGTGATGTGCCACCCCTTATTTTACCTCCTTAGTTCCGTGATATTGTCTTAGTTCCGTAATATGTAATGCATACCCAACAGAGGTCCTTCAAAAGAAGGAGCATGGTTTGAGGCAGTCGTAGAATGAGGAAGATCTTAATCACCAGGTTGTAGCACTTGGTAGATACGTAACAAATATTTGTAGAACTGATCTTTGAAACAATTTGTATACAGATATCTAATCACTACTAGACTTAGTCTATTAATTCTTAAAAGAACAGAACACTAGAGGTCAGTCTTCACATTGAGAAAGAATGGAAAATACAGAAAGTGAGGAGAAGAAAGATAACATAATCTCTTTGAGTCTTTTAAATAGTGAGAAAATTATGTTAGAATAACCTTCACAAATATCATGCAACTTTCATTATTAATACAGTTTAGAGGTAATAAAATCATTTAGATACACAGTATATAAATGTATATGTGTTTACATTTTCATAGAGTATATGGGAAGTATTATATCACAAATTGGATGTTTTTTTCAGCATTTAGTCTAATACAACATAGGTTAAGAATCTTTTTTTTTTTTTTTTTTTTTTTTTGAGACAGAGTCTCATTCTGTCGCCAGGCTGGAGTGCAGTGGTGCCATCTTTGCTCACTGCAACCTCCGCCTCCTGGGTTCAAGCGATTCTCCTGCCTCAGCCTCCAAGTAGCTGGGACTACAGGCGTGCGCCATCACATACAGCTAATTTTTGTATTTTTAGTAGAGACAGGGTTTCACCATGTTGGCCAGGATGGTCTCGATATCTTGACCTCATGATCCACCCACCTTGGCCTCCCAAAGTGCTGGGATTACAGGCGTGAACCACCATGCCAGGCCTATTTTAAGAATCTTAAGCCTAAATTAGAAGATGGAAAATTGAAATGCAAAGCCAGACAGGTTAAATAAACTCTCTGCAAATGTACACTGTAAAATCCAGAGCAGTTTAAATGCTTCAGCAGAGACTGGCTTCTGTCACTGCTTCGTTTGAACCAGTTTTCCTTCCCAGGTAGTGGCTGGGACGGACCCGGGGCCCTCAGTTCCTCAGCTTCCAGATAACCAGAACTTTACCAGTTGTTTAAGGCTACCAGATTCTTCTCTCTTCAAATGCCCCATTTTCTTCCCTTTACACAGACTATATCTACCAAAGTCTTAGACACTAGCATATTTTCTCTGCTGAAATTCTGTCCATCTTCTTTTTCTGTACTAAAGAGTCTTCATTGTTAACTCTGCTGATGCTGAGACAGCATGTTAAATTCACACAAAGTAATTTCTCATTCTCTTATGAAACTATGTCCCTAATAATCTCCTAAGAGGAAAAAAAAACTCTTCATTCTATATTTACAGATCTGAAAGAGAAACAAAAAGCACTTTAAAAGGCAATAAATGTTAAATTACTAGCCAGGTGTGGTGGCTCACAAGTTTAATCCCAGCACTTTGGAAGGCTGAGGCAGGCAGATTGCTTGAGCCCACCAGTTTGAAACCAGCCTGGGCGACATGGTGAAACCCCATCTCTACAGCAAAATACAAAAGTATTAGCCAGGCATGGTGGTGCATACCTGTAGTCTCAGCTACTCAGGAGACTTTGGTAGGAGGATTGCTTGAGCCCAAAAGTTCAAGGCTGCTGTGAGCTGTGATTACACCACTGTACTCAAGCCTGGGCAACAGGGTTAGATCCTATCTTAAAAAAAAAAAAAAAAAAAAAAAAAATAGGCTGGGCGCGGTGGCTCACGCCTGTAATCCCAGCACTTTGGGAGGCCGAGGCAGGCAGATCACCTGAGGTCAGTAGTTCAAGACCAGCCTGACCAACATGGAGAAACCTCATCTCTACTAAAAGTACAAAAAACTAGCCAGGCATGGTGGCGCATGCCTGTAATCCCAGTTACTCAGAAAGCTGAGGCAGAAGAATCACTTGAACCCAGGAGGCGGAGGTTTCAGTGAGCCGAGATCGCGCCATTGCACTCCAGCCTGGGCAACAAGAGCGAAACTCCATCTCAAAAAAAAAAAAAAAAAAGTTAAATTACTAAGAAAAAATGAACATAGTTATTTTAATGCCTCAGAAACATACCTTTAAACTATAAGGCAAATGTTTCCTGAGAGAAAGCCTAGTTAAAGTGTGTGGGAAGACAAGCTATAGATTGGGAGGCAAATAAATATATGAGGAGCTCTCAAAACTCAACAGGAAAAAAAAACAATCCAATTAGAAAATGAATAAAACACAGAAATAGACATTTTCACGAAAAGGATGTACAGACAGAATATGAAAACATGTCCAAGCTCATTAGCCATCAGAGAAATGCGAGTTAATGAGTTATCACTACCCACCTGTCGGAATAGCTAAAACAAAAAGAGCAACAGCACCAAATGCTAGGGAGCATGAGGAAAAACTGGATCACTCAAATATTGCTAATGACAATGTAACGTGGTGCCCTTACTCTGGTAAACTGTTTGGCAGTTTCTCATTAACTAAATATAGTTACCAGAAAGCCCAGCAATCATACTTTTAAGTATTTATTCTAGAGAAATAAAAACTTATATCCGCGTGAAAACCTAAACAGGAACCGACATAGCAGCTTTATTGATACAGTCTCAAACTGGAAACAACCCAGATGTCCTTCACCAAGTGGATAGTTAAACAAGCTGTGGTGCATCCATACCAGGTGATATGGCTTGGGTCTGTGTCCCCACCCAAATCTCATATCAAATTGTAATCCCCAGTGTTGGAGGTGGGACCTGGTGGGAGGCAATTGGATCATGGGGGTGATCCTACACGAATGGGTTAGCATCATCTCCTTGGTGCTGTTGTCACGATAGTGAGTGAGTGAGACCGAGAGAGATCTGGTTGTTTAAAAGCGTGTAGCATCTCCCCACTCTCCCTCTTTCTGCTGCAGCCATGAGACATTCTGGCTCCCCTTTCGCCTTCCACCATGACTGTAAGTTTCCTGAGGCTTCCCCAGAAGCTGAGCAGATGCCAGAATCATGCTTCCTGGACAGCCTGTGGAATCATGAACCAATTAAACCCCTTTTCTTTATTAATTCCCCAGTCTCAGATATTTCTTTATAGCAGTGCAAGAATGGATTAATACACCAGGGAATACTACTTAGTAGTAAAGAAGAACAGACTATCAATATTGCAACAACTTGGATGAGTCTCCAGGGAGTCATGCTAAGTGAAAAAAAAAAAAAAAGCCCAAAAGATTACACACTGGTGCCTCCATTTATAGAACATTTATGAAATGATAAAAATTTTAGAAACCGAGAACAGATTAGTGGTTGCTAGGGAGATAAGAAACCATGGGAGGAGGACAAAGAGAGGGAGGGAGTTGGATGTGGTTGTAAAAAGTCAACATTGGGGATCCTTGTGGTGATGGAAATGTTCTCTGCCTTGATTGTTGTGGCGAATATATGAACCTGCAATGTGAAAAATTATATAGAACTAAATACAAACACAGCAGCACAAATGAGTCCAAGTAAAACTGGGAAAATCTGAATATGATTGGTGGATTATATCTATGTCAATTGCGTGGTTGTAAAATTACACTATAGTTCTGCAAAATGTCAGCATTGGGGGAAACTGGGTAACAGGGATACAGAATCAGTCTCTCTCTATTATTTCTTATGCCTAAATGTGAACCTTCAATTATAGCCAGAAAAAATTTCAATTAAAAGTATGTATAAAACAATGGTTAAATAATTCAATCAATGCAGCCAGTCGATGAATGGAGATTTAAATATGGCTTCAGACTCTTAACCAATTTTTTCTGCTTGTTCAGACTTAAATTCTGTATGACATTATCTGCAAATTGGTTGTTTCCATGTCCTGAGATTACTGCTAAAGTGTTGATCAAAATAATCTGAGATGACAGTTCTCTAAGGCAAAAGAAAAAAAAGTAATTTTCCAAGTAGATTGGTCATTTGAAGAATTGCCACCAAAATTACAGTACTAGAGAAGGAAAGTGGTAATGTTGTGGCAGCACAAATATTTCCTCGCTTATGCTTTCAGAATATTTTGCCAGGCTGTGTAGATGAGAACGAGAAATGGAGTCTCGAATTGGCATGTTCATTCACGTCATGTGGGGAGTGTTGGCATTAAAATCTTTTTTTTTTCTCGCCTTCCACATAATAAGCCCATCTATGCTTCTGTCGCCACCCTTCTTCTCACATTATTATCAGGTCTGTTAAACACTGAATTTCCCAGGCATTCACTTCTCGAGAGGCCTCATTTTCCCAAACCAATTCAAGTAACATAAATTGTTTCCTAAATACCTAAAAGCAAAGGAAAAAGTATACATGTTTCCCCCAACCCCTCCTACCATCCCGGAATCACTTCTGATCTCCCAAATGACCAGAAGAAACACTTTAATCAGTAATTTCTGGCCAAAATATGACTTTCCAGGAGTCAGGTGGCCTTTAAGATCACACCTAAATGTGGAAGAGGTTGGGTGGATCAGGCAGGGTAGGGAATCTCTGCTGTGATAATAACATCAAAATCTTACAATGACAGGGTTAAGCTGTACATGGGATCAAATCACATAGTACCTCCCTCTCCCCCACTCCCCCCCCCACACAAAGGACTCCTGGTAAAACTGGAAAAAATTGCATAAAGTCTTTAGCTAATAGTGCTATACTAATGTCAGTTTCCTGGTTGATATCGTACTACAGCCATATACCATGTCACCACTGGGGGAAGCTGGATGAAGGGTTCCTGGAACACTGCATACTATTTTTGCAACTTTCTGGAAATCTATAATGATCCCAGATAAAACATGCCAGGGTTTCCTTCTCACTCACACAATTCTCCCTCTGCAATGGGGCCAAGTGTTCTCTAGGCTGAGGCTGAGAGGACAGTTCCCATCTGAAATGTTGCCCAGGGAAAGCAAGCTTAGAAGTATCCAGCCCTGGCCAGAAGCAACACGCAAAACCATTTCTCACCACTTGTTGCCTGATCTCCTAGTCACAAGGGTGGGCAGAAGGGGGAAGGAGGAGGGAATTATGTAATCTTTCTAAGTGCTCAGAAGGTAAAAACCTGAGAATATTTGGTGGATGGCACAAAGTATGAACACACTGAATCAAGCGACAAGCTGAAAAACAAGCTGTCCCTGTTCTAAATATAAATTCTGAGTCCCTAAAAAAGAAATTAAGAAAGGACCTACTCACCTTATTAGAAAATAAACCAATTTTTCCCCCTAGGTGAATTCAGGTTTCACTTCTTATTAGCGATGTGACTTTGAGCATATTACATACACCAGGTGCCTCTGACCTTTAGTTTCTTCATCTGTGAAATGGGCTTGTGGGGAAGATTAAAGGAGATGATATATGCAAAATGCTCAGTGTGCAGTCTGCAGGGAGGCATTCAAACAGTAAATACACAATACATGTTAGCAGTTACTGTTACCATTACTATTTTGCTATCATTATTTTGTTATTAGTTGTCTGCACTATCACTTCCCCTTCCAGGAAGCAATTAGAACCCAAGACTTAATATTGAAGGAGAAAAAGGGAGAGGCATGCTGGAAGTTGAAGGACATCCAATTATAAATAATTTGATTTAACTATTATTCACTCCTCTTAAACCTTGATTCTTATACTCTCACACATCCAGTGCAATCTCTCTGAAACCCTATGAATCTTGGTATGTTAGTAATATTAATATGGTAAGAAGGAATATAGAACAGTGGTTAAGATTGATTCTGCAGCCTCACCACCTGGGTTTGAATGCACTTTTGTCATTTATTAGCTATGTGACCCAGAGCAGGTTACTTAACCTCTCTATGTCTCAATTTCCTCATCTAGAAAACTGGCTGTTATGAGATTAATTTGGGTTTATATTTTGCACCAAATACCAGGGAAACAGCATCAGCCACACAAGACATGATGTCCCTTTCTCCTCTCACTGATCAAATAGACAAATATTCGGAAAACATACAAATTCACTCATACATAATGGTACAGTTCTCTCAAAATTTAAGAACTCCAGTTTTAGGTGGTGAGAAAAGCAAAGGTGTATAGCTGAATAGAAAGGAGCTCATTTTAGAACTTTTTTTGTTTTTTAATTAAGGAAACCTAGGATTCACTCTGGGCGGTGAATAATCTCAGAGTTCACAAAAGTAACTCCTTTTTTTGGTTAATGGTATGTCACCTTTGCACAAGGCAGGAATGACCATCTTTATTCTGGGAGAAAAGGGACTGCTGTTTCTCTGTCATGGTGCAAAGGAGTAACACCTGTTCATAGGTAGAAATTCTCTGGAAACGCCCCGAGGACTCCTTCACTTCCTCATGGCTGCTGGTGGAGTTGGAGGCTAGTCCCGGAACCTTTTATTCAGATGACATTTTAACAACTGTGTCCCCTGTGCTCTTGCTGCATTTCCTCAAAGGCTAAAAAAAAAGCCTATCTAATCTGTCAGAAGGGCCAATCTAATCTGCCTTGTTAACTGTGTTTATGGAATAAAATGTTTTATAACATTATATATCATAAAACTCAACACATAAAGCAGATGCAAAATGTCCCTGAAATTGCAAATATTGACCAATCTCTTTTCCTCCCCAAGCAGATAAATGTGTGACATGAGAAATATATTTTCTGTCATCAAAGGAGAATAATAGAGAAAGTCACAGTTGGACTGTTTCACCCACCACATCCACTTATTCAGTAATGGCCGTTATGGCCCAAGCTGCCTGGAAACATTTTATAATAAAGCATGGTTTTTAAATGTTTTTTCAAAATTACATTGGCTACTTTAAATCTGCATGTAGTCAAGTGCACCAGATCTAAAGCTCTAGTCAGATGTTTCCCATTACCTGCTATTATTTCTTCACCTCCAACCTAGTTTCTCTCAAAGTATAGCCCACACAGCTGAATAACTGGGGAAGCTTGTTAAAGACGCAGGGTCCCAGGCCTTCTGAATCAGAATCTCTGGGATTGGGGCCCAGGAAACGTCATCTTGGAATTGCTGCAAGCCCACCAAATATTTAATAATATATTAATAGTTATAATTTAAATATAATTTTAAATGTTTTAAATAGATAAATTTGTACTACATTTCCTCCTTTAAAAAATGCCGTTTTGGTTTTTACCATTTCATGTCTCCGTGTGCCTTGTTAATTCTTTTGCATACATCATCTCTTTCAATCTTCTCAACAAACCCGTTTCACAGATGAAGAAACTAAAGCTCAGAGACAGCTGGTATAATATGCTCAAAGTCACATAATTAATAAGTAGCAGAGCCTGAATTCACACGGGGAGAAAAGTAGATTTATTTTTTAATAAGGTGAGTAGGTCCTTTCTGAATTTCTTTGTTAGAGGCTCAGAATTTGTTATTGTTAATTCTTTCTTAGAGTTATATACTTTACCGTCTAGACCATATAAACACTGTAGATAGATAGATAGTAATAAATAGCTATAAATTTAGATGGCTATATAGAGAACTTTAGCTAACTCTAAAAATTAAATTCCCTACAGTGCAAATAGTAAATACTTTTTAAAAGAAAAAATAACAAGTACATTACCCAAAAGTAAGTTTTTTTTGGCGACCCTTATTAAGCCTGATAAGAACGTGTATTTTTGAAATTTAAGAGACTAAGGGGATTGTTGTTAGTTGTTGTTATTTGTTTTTTATTTTCTTTTGTTTGACTTAAGGCATTTTCTCTCATGAGCAGTGTGGTAGTTTTAAAAAGATTAAAATGCTAAAAAAAATCAGTGACTCCAGTTAAAATGCAAGTCTTAGTAAAAAGAGAAAGGGCAACTATCACCCTTAATTTCGCTGAATGACAGCTCAAGTCTGGTGACAACCTCATCCTAAACCAATGCTTTCCAAAGCAGTTTCCAAGAACACTGGCCCCAAGGGGTGCACCTCTAGGGAAGGGTCCTTGTGCCCAAATATGTTTGCAAATTGTGCCAAACTCTCTCTCCTGTCCACCACCACAGTGCTTCACAAAAGTACCTGTTCACATGATCATCTCTGTAAAGTCCCACAGTAAAGCAACTTGGTGAATTTTGATCAGGCAAGCATTTTTCAAGCTTATTTGTCCCCAAACCCCCCTTATTTTAAATTGCTTATATCACTTTGTGAACATTTCTACAGAGCAAGGGTACTTTGAGGTTGCGGTAAGCAGCTCTGAATGTGTCTGTTGAGTCAGGGCTGTGGGGTTAAATTTCATTTCTGTACGTGTCAGTTGGATAAATCCTGTTCCACAGGCAGAGACTTTACCCTTCCCCCTCATCTTTTAAATCCAGGCCACTGGTCATTAGTGGCAGGAACCTCCAAAGCACCCACATTCCCACTGCCAGAAAGCAGGCTGGAAGCCTGTGCCCTGTTTACCAATGACACAGCCTGGCACAAGCAGGACAAGGTGTCAGCATTGTGGCTCTAGGCTGATATCTAGACCTCTTTAAGGACTCCCAAAAAGGTGATTTCCTAGGCTCCCTTCCTAAAGGATGTATCTCATTTCTCTCAGAAATCAGAGATTTCTGTCTAATAAGCTCCAAATTACATGTGGTCAATGTGGTCACCTAGGGCCATACGTTCCAAGGCCCTGTATTAGCAGTTCTGGAATAGCTGAGTTGTGAAATACTACACGTGGGTAGTCTTTCAACTTTGCAGTTTAATACTTCTTAAATGATCTGTCTAGCTCTGGGGTCCAACAGCAAGAACTTCCCCCTACCCATAGCCCATTGGATTTCCAGTTTTTGTCAGCACATCTTGTTCACCACTATCCCTGATGCCTAGAACAGTAATGTAGCCTGTAATTGGCATACAGTGGACATTGGATGAATATTTGTTGAAATAATGAATTAAGCAGAAAGACTCTTAATCTAGAGCAGGGATCCCTAACCCCCCCGCTCTCCCCACACCCCTGGCTATGGACCAGTACCGGTCTGTGGCCTGTTAGGAACTGGAACTGGGCTGCCCAGCAGGAGGTGAGCAGCAGTTGAGCGAGCATTACCACCTGAGCTCCACCTCCTGTCAGATTTGCAGCAGCAGTAGATTCTCATAGGAGCACAAACCCTATTGTGAACTGTGCATGCGAGGGATCTAGGTTGCGTGCTCCTTACGAGACTCTAACTAATGGCTGATGATCTGAGGTGGAACAGTTTATCCTGAAACCATGCCCCCTGACTTCAATCCGTAGAAAAAATTGCCTTCCACAAAACCTGTCCCTTGTGCCAAAAAAGCTGGGGACTGCTGCTCTGGAGCATCTCTGGGGCTGACCCATCAAAATCATACCTATTCCCTTAGGATGGGCAAACCTCCTGAAACTTGTGGCCATCTTCCATACACTCCTTCCACTTCCACAGCTCTTGTTGCCTTAGGGTGGGGGTGGTGTCCTTAAGATCCTGTCTGAAGGCCCCTAGAGTACTGAGTGAGTGTACAAAACCAATGCTTGCAGTCAAATGAATAAAACTGGTTCTTGTTCCATCCATCACTAAAGGAAAATCACTAAGCAAATTCAGTGATTTATTAGAACAGGATAAAGGAGAAATAAAGTCCAGATTGGAGAAATGACCACTGGGCTGCCAAGAGTGCAAAGGTCTTTATGCAGCCAGGCTCTCTCTTGAACCTATGTCATGCCCATGTCCACCCAAATATGCTGGGGCATGTCTGGCAAACTGATGAAGGAGCTCCACATTTTCTCTGATTCTGGGCTTTTTTGCTTCCTCCAAGAGGACTCCCCTCAAAATAAAAAGATAAGTGGCACAATAAACTAAATAATAAACCTAGTAATCAGAGGACTGAAAAGATTCCAGGGAAAGCTTGTTGACCATTACTCCAGGGACTCATCTCCAGAGGAGCCCTCTGAGGACATGTTTAGGTTCAAGAGAGAGGGACTCTGGTAAACACTGGAAGTGCCATTTCCCTGCATTTTAGGTCAAATTAGTTGTGAATCCCTGTTTGGGGCCTTGTATTAGTTCATTTTCATGCTGCTGATAAAGACATACCCAAGACTGGGCAATTTATGAAGAAAAGGAGGTTTAGAATACTCACAGTTCCATGCGGTTGGGGAGGCCTCACAATCATGGTGGAAGGTGAAAGGCACGTCTTACATGGCAGCAAACGAGAGAATGAGAGACAAGCAAAAGGGGATTCCCCTTATAAAACCATCAGATCTCGTGAGACTTATTCACTACCCTGAGAACAGTATGGGAGGTTCCATACCGATTCAATTATCAGTATGGAATTAGCCCCCACGATTCAATTATCTCCCACTAGGTCCCTCCCACAATATGTGGGAATTATGGGAGTAACAATTCAAGATGAGATTTGGGTAGGGGCACAGCCAAACCATATCAGGCCCCTTTAACAGAGCATCACAAAAATGAAAAAGTCATTCTTTTCTCCTTCCCCCAGGCTCATGCACAATTTTTGTGCATGGAGAGCTCAATGTGGCTCTCTCGGCAGGGAGCTGCAGTTTTTGACACATCAGAAGGAGTGCTTCCTTCCTTGAGAAACAGACCAAGTTCTTTATAGTGCCTGGAGGCCGGGCAGCCACCACCTGCAAAGAGCTCCCTGCTCAGTAGAGCAAAGACTGGTGCTTGAAGCCTCTCAGATACCATGGGGTAAACTTGTTCCCACAGATACTTGTGGGGAGGACTCTGTGGGAAGGTGGACATCTTGTATGTGCACAGGCACAGGTAGGGGTCAGGGATTGGGTTGTTTCATTGCAAAATAAGAAGTTGACTTTAGGATGACAAGACCTTGATAGCCAGTAAGTTTGGGCTTTAAGGACCTCCTCCTTTGGGATATCTTGGGCATGTCTATGTGGATTGGGAAACTAGCGTTTTAGAATAAATGTTCTGAGAGAGGAACTACAGACTCTGGTTATAAAAATTGAATAATCTCAGTTGTAAGATGGACTTTGAAGGTGATTTCATTCAAATCTGTTATTTTACAGATGAGGAAACTGATGCAAAAAAGGAAGGATGGAAGGTCATTTAGTTAGGGGAAGGAATAATTGCTTTTTCCTCAAAACCATAGTATTAAGTGATGGTTCTATTTCAGTGAATCCTGCCATGGCCCTGACATTTCAAGCTGGGCTCTGAGCCTGGTGGTAGACCACTGTGCAGCATATAGAGCAGCCAATGCGATTAATACAAAGTCCATGACTGGGGAAAGAGCCTTGTTGCCCTGGAGATATCTAAGCCCACAGTCATTGATCTCCAGAGCAAGGCACCTACTCCAGGCATAGTGGGAAACACCACCCTTCAACCCTAAGTCCAGAGTTCTGCTAGAAAAGCTGCTTGTGACTGCAGTGCCAGTCAATTGGCCCCAAGAGGTGTCCTGGGAAGTCAATGCCTCTGGTAACACACTAAGCTGTCCACTATTAGAAGCCTCTGGGCCCCTGGGCCCCTGGGTTATGTTAGCACAAGAATATACTTCTCTTTCCTTTCCCATGTGAGCCGCACCGTGGCAGTGAGTTGGCGTGAAACAAACCCTTGGCAGCCATCTGCAAGGGGTAAAAAAGACTTCAGCTAATCACACTTGCAGATAAAAAGTCCAACTCCTCCCTGATCCCAGGGGAATCTTCAAAAAGGCCCCTGCTTGGGCCAGGCACAGTGGCTCACGCCTATAATTTCAGCACTTCGGGAGGCCTAGGTGGGCAGATCACTTGAGGTCAGGAGTTTGAGACCAGCCTGGCCAACATGGTGAAACCCTGTCTCTACTAAAATTATAAAAATTAGCCAGGCATGGTGGCACATGCCTGTAATCCTAGCTACTGGGGAGGCTGAGGCAGGAGAATCACTTGAACATGGGAGGTTGCAGTGAGCCAAGATCGTGCCACCACACTCCAGCCTGGGCAACAGAGTGAGATTCCATCTAAAAAGAAAAAAACAAAAAAAAAACGGAAGGCCCTTGCTCGGCCTATTCTGGGAAGAGTCCTCCAGCAGACCCAGAGAGAAATTGTGTGGGGGGTTCTCTTAAGCATTTCCGTACTAAACTACTCATGGCTTTGTTGCAGGCCTCTGCAGAAATTCAAAATCATACGAATTTGAAGAACAGACATCGTAAGGTTCACAGGAGGATAAGCACACAGAGAGGGTCAGTTGGGGTCTAGGCATCACAGACCCACTCCACCAGCTTTTTTTTTTTTTTAAGAGACTAGTCTCACTCTGCCGCCCAGGCTTGACTGCAGTGGCATGATTATGGTTCACTGTAACCTTGAACTCCTGGTCTCAAGCGATCCTCCCACGTCAGCTTCCTGAGTTGCTGGAATTACGGGCACATGCTGCCACACCTGGCTCCCCCATCCCCTCTTCTACCAGTTCTCCACCTGCGCAAACTGGGTCTTCTTTAACTCTCATTTTTTTAAGACAGAATACTTGTCCAGTAATCCATTTATCCATTCACTATTTATTTAGTGAGTCCCAGACACTGTGCTAAACATCAGGGATGCAACCATGACATGACATATGTTCCTGTCCGCAATGAGCCTGCAGTGTGCTGGAGATCTCGATGACTGCACCACAGGTAACAAATGCTGGGATTGGCATCAGTAGAGAATGACAGGATAATGCACTGGAAGAGCACCTAACCCAGTCTTGGAGGGTCAGGAAGGGCATCTTAGAATAAGTGATTTTTTAACCAGGATCTTAAGAGTAATCCAGTCACTTGTCAAAGGTGAAGGTACAAGGGTGATATAAGATGGTGGAATTGCACATAGAGGAAACGGTTTGTAAACTAAAGCTCAGAGGCGAGAAAGGATTTCTAGTTCATCCAGAAATCTGAAAGATTAAGATGATTTAGATTAATGAAAAGAAAATAACATAGAGATGGGAGTCCCAGGTCCACGGCTCTGGGACTGGCACAGTGATGTACTAGCAGTGTGACCTTACACAAGTCACTTCTCTTGGGGCCTCAATTTCCTCATCTGTAATACAAAGGGATTGGCCTAGGAGACAGTGGAGAGTAGAGGAACATAAAGCCCCCACCTCATGTCCCTGGCACAAAGATTCTTGAGGGACTTGTGTTGGAGGGGCAAGGCCGGTCACCTTGGTCTCCGTCTTTAGAACTACTTCATGTTCCTGCAGTCATGTGGGAAGGAGGGCACCAGGGAGGCCGTGGAAACTTTCCCAGGACCTGGGCCACTGAAGTCGCCACCGAGTTCTATTATCAGAAGGAGACATTTGTACAGTCCTCGCTCTTTGATAGTCTGTGTCTAAAATGTTTTGTTAAGCCTGGAAAAAGGCAAATACTTACGTGTGATTAGATGGCATGCTGAAAGAACTTTCAATGTTTAATGAATGGAAAGCAAATATTGATTGGAACTTTTAAAATGGTGTATAGCATAAAAAACAATGTTTACTAAGGCACTTACACTTGTCCTGCACATAGTAGGTGCTTAGTAATGATCTTGATTTAAATAAACGTATAATACACCTAGTAACCCTGATACTAGATGTTTGTTACATAGGACTTGTTACTATTTGATTTCCAAAAAAAAAAAAAAAAAAAAAAAAAAAAGCCACCTAGTTTTAGGGCAAGTTCCCAATGTATTAACTTAAGCTCATGGGATGTTTTTCTCCATGTAAATTTCTTCTGACTTGAAACAGTACCCATGGCAGTGGCCAAACAAATGTCAGTCAAGGCAAAGCCATATCGTCACATCACAACATGTTGTAATCAAGGTCACAGACCAAACTCATGCTTTATCTCTCAACTGCTAAGGTCTTTGTGCTGCTGAGAACAACTGTTACAAATACTGGAAGATATTGCTTAAAGGCAAACAGAATGAGTACTTGGAGGAGTTGGCCCCATAAATGATATATTTCATAACTGATTCCACTTTTAAAGGAAGCTGCTTCTGTTGTTAAATACCCATAAGATAGGTGCCCCCTGCATAGCTATAACCTATAGTCTTTTAAACTATACATAAGAACCATTTAAAATACTTTGGTAGGTAAGACTGCATTAACAGAAACAAAGAGGTTAATTTGGGAAGGTTATACTTTGGTTTCACGAAAACACGTCAAGCTGTTCAGCCCACATTACACCTGGTGCAGACATCACACCGTAATCACACAGGCCATGCGTCATTTCATCTCTGCTCACCCAAAACAAGAGATGTCGCCAGTGAAAAATATTTTCTAGGTGGGAGATGTTCAGGTAAGGATTTCAGAGGCAAGAGAATTTAAAAGCAGCTAGTGTGAACTTTTTCTCAAAAAACCCTAAAAATTAGAGAAGGCCATATGCGGTCTTTGGAACAGACACATAACTGGAATGTCGCCACCCCTTTCTTGAGTTTGAGAGGCACCAATATGCATTCCCAGACCATGTGTTTTCAAGCACCCTTACTTGTCTAAGGGCCACCTAGGAGACAGCTGATAACAGCTCCAGAAATCACCACAAGGGGGAGCATTGACCTGGCGAGTCAGGTGGAGTCTATAGTCTGGACTTTTAGGGCACCTCATGAAGCCAACTTGCAACATTCACAGGTTCAGCCATTACCCAAGCTGGAAGCCAGCCCTGTAACACTTAGTCCGTGTGAGCTGAACATCTACCACCTTTTAGGATCCCAACCAAACTCTTATCCTACAAGTCACCCCAGGGGTCTGGAAGCTTCTCAAGCAAAATGTTTTCTTTACTCCCTGTTCTGAACATTGGGAGTGTGCTGCGTAAACCTCCCGAGAAAGCTCAATTCAAATGTCTGCAATCCTTCTTAGAAAGGGGAGGATCTGTCTTTTGGGCCCTGCGGGTAATTCCTCTTCCTAATGCTGACCACGGGGACTCCCCAAGAACATTTCCACTTCAGCAAGAATGTTGAACAATTTGCGTAACCTTTCCCAGGTACCTGCTATAACCCATTCTAGAAATCTAAATAGAAAACTCTATTTTTCCATCTAGTGTCCATGCAAGGATGGTGCATTTCTGCCAAAAATAAGTTTGGGGTCTGGCGTGTTATCTCCAGTTGATTCTTACAAATGACTGACCAAAGAAAGTGAAAGAGAAAAGAAAACAATTCGTGGAAAACTCATAAATAACTGTTTGTCCCCCTCCCCCAAAGCTCTGTAAATGTAAAGAACACAACATATATGGAAAATACACCCAAATTTAATGTGCAGTTTGCTTGCCATGTAACTGTTCATACATATTTTGCCACCTAAAGAAAACTGTGCAGCTTCTAATTGTTTTGTTCCATTTTGTTTTGTTTGACACGGAATTTCACTCTTATTGCCCAGGCTGGAGTACAATGGCTCAATCTCGGCTCACTGCAACCTCCGCATCCCGGGTTCAAGTGATTCTCCTGCCTGAGTCTCCCAAGTAGCTGGGATTACAGGCATGTGCCACTATGCACAGCTAATTTTTGTATTTTTAGTAGAGATGGGGTTTCTCCATGTTGGTCAGGCTGGTCTCGAACTCCCAACCTCAGGTGATCCTCCCACCTCGGCTTCCCAAAGTGCTGGGATTACAGGTGTGAGCCACCGTGCCTGGCCTCTAATTGTTATTGTGACATATTTTCTTCTGGCTTTACAATTTATTTTTGTAACTGAGGCCTTAGACCCTAGGTGCTAAGACGGTGCAGGTCATTTTTGTGTAGAAAGTTACACTAATGTTGACAATTCACTTGCACTTGACAATTCACTTTTTGGCCAAAGAGGAAATAAAAAGAAAGTATATTGGTGTGCAATATACTAGCTTTGGAAAATGAGAACAGTTTAAGGATCTGGTTAGAATTTACAGGTCTCCCAACCTAAAACTCACTGTTATTCCTATTATTGCAGTTTCATTGGAGCAGAAAATTTAACCCAATGACCAGGAAACTGAAGAGACTCCGTAGCCTGAGAAGGGAATTATTCAAAGGAAAAAGGTCCTAACTTACGTGTTGAAACTCTGTTCAAAACTTCTAAGGGAAAGAATAGGCCATATAGGAACATTCCTGATATTGGTCATTTGTATTTCTGAAACTCTTCACAGTAAACCATCTCGGCGTACGTTGTTACTTTGAATTTTCACAGCAACCCTGAGAAACTGGCTTGAGGGCAGTTATTATTCTTTACAAATAAGGAAATTCTAGATGTCAGGCTCACAGTCACCCAAATAACTGGCAGAATCAGCCCTCAAGTCCAGACCTTCTGAATTTGAAAGTTCACTGCTTTTTTTTGTATTCTTGCTGCTACTTTCTAAGAAGCAGAAAACAGGCTCATTTGATTGTGAGACCTTTCAAGGTAACTATACTTGCAGGCAAATAGTGTCTTCACAATAAAGCTGCCTACTTCTTTGCAAGAGATTTCACAAAAAAAGGGCTTTTTCTACTCATGCTTACTGTCAGTGGTGAGACATAAAACTGAAAATGTCTTAAAGGACTAAGTTAGCATTTTGATGCTGTGAGCCTTTTAAATACCCCATTGTCTCTGAAGAGAAGGACAATCAGCCTTTGTACTGCCAGGGCATTTTTCATCCATCCCGGATCCCTGGAAGGCCCCATTCCTCAGAAGGGCTGTTGTCTTTTTCCTGCCACAACATCAGTGCAACATATCTCACATTTAAGACGGCAGCCTACTCAGTCCCCATTCATAGATTCCTCTGGAAATTAATGTCTGCTACCTCCACCCCCTCAAAAAGAAAAAAAAAAAAAAAAGCTCTGGCTTTGTCAAAAGAGTTATTGGAAATAGAACTTGTGAAAAACCCTTACTATGCAATGGGAACTCAGACAATAATGTTTTGTAACAGTTCTGTTTGATGTGTACTGACGGGAATTAATCATTTTAGTTAACAGAATTGCTCTTTGTTATGTAAACTTTGTAAAGTCCACCTCATATGACCTCTTGCATTTGGGGAATCCAGTGTTCAAAACTGTCATCTTTCTGTGGACAGCAGTATTCCTGTGGCAACTTATGGGACTACATTACTACTTGAATTCAAAATCTGTCCCGCTGCTGTGTTGGATGCCAAGCTAAGCAAAGATGAAAATACGGTAAAATATGTACACACACAAGTCCCATTCCCCAAGAATTGATTAAGTGGAATGAGTATTTGTTTTCCCATTTCACCTTTTCATAAATAGCCAGCCTGTATCAAAAATGACCACAACCCTAAAAATACACCATTTCTAGATTAACACACTTCTGTTCACTTTAGATCTCTGTCTCTCTAAATGTATAAAATGAATAAATTTAGTCCCTTGGAGAACATAAATAGTTTGTCCTGGGATTGTGTGCTTTTAGATTGGATATTTAGGTAGGTTCCCACCAAAATCACCATCTCCCCAGTCCCTCTAAAGGTGGAATTCTCTCCTCATACGGTTTCCCTAACCTCTCTGATATGGCTTGAGCCAGCTCTTCCCATCTTAGCTAGTAGATTTGTATTCTATAAAACAGCCCCACCGCCATCATCACAAAGACCATCATCAGACTGTTAGAATCCATTTTTCAGTCTCTTTGTGCCCATGAGAATCTAGAATGACTTAACTAACAACCAAGATTGATCAAGACTCCTTGAACTAGAGCTAGACTCTGTCTCCTAGGTTGTTAACCTCCTACAGTTGGCTGTGAAGTAGTCAGTCCTTATATTTACCAAAAGTGTGTAGCTGATAAGCCCATTGTTAGCCCCAAATTGTTTATCTGCAAGTGCAACGGACATATCAATACATCAACATAACATACAGAGAAAGAAAGCAGGTGTCAGACTAAAAAAGATCTGAGGTTGCATTCTTCTTCTGCTACTTACATATGACCTGTGTGATATTGCAAAGAAATGTCTCAGGACTTATTTCTCTCTTGTATAGTAAGAACGACACATGGTAGAAATTGAACTAACACATACTAAAGTAGAACTTAACACATGGAGCATAGTAGGTGTTCAATAAATGACAGCTGCTATAATTACTATTGTTATAGTCTCTACTATGACTCCTTTCTGTTATTAAAATAAAGTCAATTTTCCACGTGGTTTTCAAGAGAAAATTAGGAAACCATCCCAGGAAATAGATCATTATTCTTTTTAAATTCTAGCTTCTTTTTTTTTTTTCCTTTTCTACCCCAGGTTTTCAGATATGTAAATCTTTAAACCCACTGTGGAATGCTCATTGACATCAATAAGGACACATGATAATGTAATCATGTGTTCTTGATTCAGCTGGTTTTTGAAAGAAAAGGATAACATAATGGAAAATTACAAAAGCAAAGCCCTTAGCCCCTAATACCCCTTTCTTTGAGGTGACAGAAAAAGCCCTTACTGGTTTCACACAAACTTTATCTGCCATCTAAGTGAAACGAGATTAAAGTTCTCATCTATGCATTTAGCACAACTGATAATTTTGTGAATGCAAAAAATCTAGTGGGAGCGTGCTATTTGTCAAGCACGACGGTTGCCTTGTAACCCTACCTGGGTCTTCAGTGATCCCGCAACCTTATCAGAAGCTGATGAGAAATACAGGGCCCTTGTTCACAACCTGCAGGGGGATACTGTGGCTCCTCCGAATAAAGGTAATGACAGGCATAGTCATTTGAATACTTATCTACCAAGGTATCTGCCAGCCCATCAAATGTTCGCTGGTAAACAGTTAATCTGAACTGGTGGATTCCTGCAGACAGGGAGCAATTGAGGTCCCCTTGCCAGAGAGGGAGAGAAGAATTTGTCTGATTCAGAATGTAGATGCTGGGCCTGCTGGCTGCTGAATAGCCTCCCATTAAAGAGCACAGAAGCTTTTGCATTGGTATCGAAAGCTTGGGCATGTGGGCACTGAGCCCAGCCGGGGCCTGAGGTATCTTCCTGCAAGGGCATCTGAGACCAGGCTAAGCCACCAAAGCTGGATCCCAGGCTTCCTAGGAGGAGACCTCCTTCTGCTCTTGCAAAGGAAACCTTTGGCACAGATGTTATTTAGTTTTTCTAACTCCGTTGACTACAACAATGTAAAAACAGACGTATTTGAAACACACATTTGGAGAAAAAAAATATGGAGTTTATTCTGTTTTTATTTATCTTTACAAGATGTGTTAATTTAATACAGGGAAAGGGAAAACAAATGGTCTATAATCTTACTGCCCAATAATTTCTCTTGGCATCACTTTTGGAACTTTTTTCCCAGCTTAACACGTGCAGAAATATGTACAAATCAAAAGCATAGAGCTTGATGAATTTTCACACACTAAACACACCTTTGTTGCTGGTACAAGCTCCCAGATCAAGAGAAAACATCATCAACCCTCCTCCAAGTCTCCTTGGTGGAGACTTCTTCTAGGCATGACCCACATCCAAGGGCAATCTTGAGCTGAACTTCTCGCAGCATAGATTAGTTTTGCCTTGGCATTTTTTCCTTAATTGACACAAATAATACAGTTCTGTGTAATCAGAGGAACTTAGAAATACAGAAATACAAACTTGAAAGCAAAGCCCTCCCTTTCTTCTTACCTCCTTGTCCCTCAATGCAACTTCCATTAATAGACTTTTTGTTTCTGTTTTATTTTTGCCTTTTTTCAGGGAAATGTGTATGCTGTTTGCTAACATTATTATGTTTTCTTCTTTTTCTCCTCCTGCCCTCCTCTTCCCTCTCCTTCCCCTTCCTCCTCCTCCTCCTTCTTGTTCTTTTACTTTACACACAGCACATCATATATATGTATTGTCCTATTAGTTGCTTACCTTATTTGTACCATTTTTTCCTCATCAAAGGCTATTTGTACAGATCGTATACTAGTCTGATAATAATACTTCAGTAGGGAGTTTGGGAGACAAGGAGGAGGGACATTTCATGTTTTATAACCAAAATAAATTATGTTCTTGAATAGTAGAAAGAAGAAAATTTTTTAAAGATACCTTTTTGTCTCCTTCTGTAAAAAGGCAAACAGTGGCTCACACCTGTAATCTCAGTACTTCAGGAGGCTGAGGTGGGAGGATTGCTTGAGGCCAGGGTTTGAGACCAGCCTGGACAATGCAGCAAGACCTCATCTCTACAAAAAAAATTTAAAAATTAGCTAGGCGTGGTGGTGCACACCTGTAGCCCCAGCTACTTGGGAAGCTGAAGTGAGAGGATGGCTTGAGGCTGCAATGTGCTACTATCACCCTACTGCTCTCCAGCCTGGGCAACAGAGCAAGATCCTGTTTCAAAAAAAAAAAAAGTAAACTAAGTTCCCTGTGGCAATTCCTTTCTCTTCTCCAGATTTCTGGGTTCCTCTATAACAGACATGAGAAAAGAAAGCCCCCTCAAACCATGCAATGGACCCTCTGTGCTCAGACCCCAGGAAACTCAGCCCCATCAGGGGTAATCCTGCAACAACTCTAGAAAAGCCCATTCCTGAACTATGGTGTTAGTTGGTCTAATATTTCATTATTATTTAATATTTTCTTTGCTATCAGGATGAAAAATGAAAGCCTTTCTTTCCAAAACAAAATACCTAGAGATCACCTAAGTTTCCTTCAGTGAGCTGGTTTAACTCTGTTTTTCTTTGGCAGAGGAAATTGCCGTCCTAGAGAGGCATTTTTCAGTATTGCAGACTTAAAGCCTGCAACTTAATTTTAATTAAAATATATTTTTTTCCAGTAGGTGGCACTAGTGTGTTTAGCTAGAGTTAATATGTGCCCATTGAGGGGAATTGTGCAGTTCAAAGTAGCAGCACTTAGCACTTATCAACACGTTCCCCCTACACTCCTAGAGGCTGTCTTGACTTCTCAGCACTTCGAATGAGATTGCAAGATACCCAGACAAGCATTTCAGAAACTGGCCCTTGACTTGTGGCTAATGAAAAATAGATTACAGAAAGGGGAGAATGGATCGCCACTGAAGAATATTCCCTTTGCCCTTTAGTTCATTTAAGGAAATATAATATCTGAAATTTAAAGTCCGGAATTGACATTTTCCTTGTACATACAACTAAACACCGATGAAACAGTAAAAGACTAGCAGGCCTAAAAGTCAGCTACTTAACACGAACATCCAAAGACAGCCATGCACTTTGCTTCTGTTTCAGATTTTCCATTTGTGAGAAAAACGTAATAGTGTCTTTCCCCAAAGAATCATTGTATTTGATGATGTCTCAAGAGAAGACATCAAGAATGCACTCCATTCAAGGTCAATTTATATAATGCTGTCCAAAAGACTTTAGCCTTCACCACCTTTCAGCAATATTGTAAAGGGAAAATTAGAGCTACTCTGTGCATCACAGAGTCTGGGAGAATATAAGACGATACGCTGTGTGGGTGCTTGAATTGTGTTGAGTACGATCCCAGTTTCTTCCCTTTTCTGACTGTATCACCATGGAAGAGTCATCTAAACTCTTTGCTTATTATCCATCTGAAAAATGGAATTCAATATAATAACTTCTATTATTATTATTATTATTATTATTTTGAGATGGAGTCTTGCTCTGTCACCCAGGCTAGAGTTCAGTGGCATGATGTCGGCTCACTGCAGCCTCTGCCTCCTGGGTCCAAGCAGTTCTCCTGCCTCAGCCTCCTATGTAGCTGGGATTACAGGCACCTGCCACCGTGCCCGGCTAATTTTTGTATTTTTAGTAGAGACAGGGTTACACCGTCTTGGCCAGAGTGGTCTCAAACTCCTGACCTCATGGTCCACTCGCCTCGGCCTCCCAAAATGCTGGGATTACAGGCATGAGCCACCGCGCCCAGCCTCCTTTTGTTATTAAGAGTAAAACAAAAAGCCAGGTCTTTACAAAGCGTCAGGCTTGAGTTGTGGATACGGTGTTGTTTTTTCATAGATATAATATTGTGAAATATATATCTGGTCTTCGCCCAGTTTTCTGTCCTGTAGCTCCTAAAATCCTTGGACTCTCCAGAGTGATGAGCGTCTTTTGTATGCTAATGAGATGACTGGCAGCCTGGGGCTTGCTGGGTAGCTTCAGGATGGGGGCTGGTCATCAGGAAGAACAAGCCACCCTTAGAGGGTCAGCCCCACCCCCCAATCTCCAGGGAGAGAAAAGGGCTGAAGGTTAAATTGTCCAGTGGTTTAATCAATCCTGACTATGTAATGAAGTCTCCTTAAAAACCCAAAAGGACAGGGTTCAGAGAGCTTCTGGATAGCTAATACCTGGGAATTCCTAAAAAGTGGCTCGCCGTGGGAGGGGATGAAAACTCCATGCCCCTTCCGGTATGCCTTGACCTATGCGTCTCTTCATCTATATCCTTTGTGAAATCTGTTATAATAAACCAATACATCTAAGTGTTTTCCTGAGTTCTGTAAGCTGCTCTAGCAAATTAATGGAATCCATAGATAGGGTAATGGGAACACTGACTGATAGCCAATTGGTCAGAGGTTATCACAGGTAAAAACAACTTGGGGTTTGCCATTGGCACGGAAGTTGGGGGCAGTCTTGTGGACTGAGCCCTCAACCAATGGGATCTGATGCTGTCTCCAGGTAGATAGTGTCAGAATTGAATTGAATTGGAGAACATCCCACTGGTGTCTACAAGAGATTTCCCACAGAGTCCACTGGAGAACTAATTGGTTCTGGTGGGGAGAACACATTTTGGTGACCAGAGATGAAGTCTTGTGTGTTGGCTATGTGAGAGTAGAGAAAATACTTTGGTGGGATTGTTTTTCTCCAATATCTCTTTAAAATACTGGTTTTTTATATTTGATGTATTTCATAATCAAACATTAAATCATTAATTTTTTTTTCTTTTTTTTTTGAGACAGAGTCTCGCTCTGTCGCCCAGGCTGGAGTTCAGTGGCATGATCTCGGCTCACTGCAAACTCCGCCACCCGGGTTCACACCATTCTTCTGCCTCAGCCTCCTGAGTAGCTGGGACTACAGGTGCCCACCACCTCGCCTGGCTAATTTTTTGTATTTTTAGTAGAGACGGGGTTTCACTGTGTTAGCCAGGATGGTCTCGATCTCCTGACCTCATGATCCGCCTGCCTCGGCCTCCCAAAGTGCTGGGATTACAGGCGTGAGCCACCACGCCGGGCCAATTTTTTTTTTTTTTTTGAGATGAAGTTTCTCTCTTGTCCCCCAGGCTGGAGTGGAATGGCGTGATCTTGGCTTACTGCAACCTCCACCTCCCAGGTTCAACCTCCCAGGTTCTCCTGCCTCAGTCTCACAAGTAGCTGGGATTACAAGCATGCACCACCATGCCCAGCTAATTTTTATATTTTTAGTAGAGATGAGGTTTCATCATGTTGGCCAGGCTGGTCTCGAACTTTTGACTTCAAGTGATCCACCCGCCTTAGCCTCCCAAAGTTCTGGGATGACAGGCATGAGCCACCGCACCTGGCCAATCATTAATTTTTAATAAGCATCACGGGAAGACAATATAGAAATCACTGAAAAGACCCTATATGAATTCAAAGTAACTTTATGAAACTTTTATTCATAAAAGTGACACCTGATAATTATAAGAAATTTGGGAAATGATGAAGTGGAAGATGGGGTGGGGGGAATCACTCACCATAGGAGAGATATACACAGTTACCATAACCTTGAATACTTTTGGGAATTGTGAGTAGCATTTTTCAGAACAGTGCTTGTGAGGGTGTAGCAAATACAGAAAAATAAGGCTGCTTTAGATTGCTGAAGCCCAGGACAAGCCCTGCACCTTATCGATTCACTTAAATCGTTGAGAATGTTGCATGAGGCAGAAGATTCAAGTAGATGGCTTCTAAGATCTTCTCCAAAACTAAAATTTTGTCATGTTATACTTCCATTCAACAAGTATGTATTGGGCACCTACTACATGGAAGACACTGTGCTGGTAATAGCCTATATACCAGTGAGCAAGTGGCAGGAAGAGAGGCATTAAATAATGCATCAGATAATTCATAATTGGTTATAATGTAGTCAGTGAGGTTATTGTGAGATTGTTGTGATAGACAAGGTGTCCTATCTGGTAGAGGGAACAAGGCAGCTGAGCTTTGAACACTACAGGAGAATCAACTAGATAAATGGAGGAAGGTGAAATGAAGGAGAGAAATGGTCTGTGCAAAGGCCCTGTGGCAGGAAAGCGATCCATATTCTCTGAGAACAGACCACAGAGATTAGAGTGATGATGGGTACAGGGTATGTCACAGATGACACTAGAGAGTTATCAGGAGCTCTTTGGATTGTAAGTGGACTCCTTAGACTAACACTTTGGCTTTTATTCAAAATAAAGTGAGAGTCCATTGAGGAGTTTTAAGTAGGGAGTGCCTGCTGTTCAGATCGGGCTTCCCTGATGAGTCTGAATTAGATGGTGACAGAGTGACTATATGTGGAGACCGAGAGTCTGCTGAAATAATTCAGACAAGAAGTCACAGTGGCAGAAGTGGATGTGGAGAATGGTATTTAAAATAACATCACTAGGACTGGGTGCAATTGAATATATGTAGAGGGGGATGGCTGTAGAAAGGATGACTTCCAGGCCAAACGTATTAAATCTGGTTGTTCATGTGTAAAGTTTCAGGAATGTGACTTTGTAAAGTCAAGAAACACATATTAAGCCCTTGTTATAATTCAGGCCCTATTTTAGGCACAGAAAATACTACAGTGAACAAAGCAAATTCCCATAGCACCTATGAAACCACATTATGACAAAACTTAGACCAGATGTCAGTGAACTACAGTCAGGGCCAAACTTGGCCTGCTGCCTGTTTTTGTAAGTAAAGTTTTATTGGAACACAGCCATGCCCATTCATTCACATATTGTTTATGACTACTTTCTCCTGGAAATGTCAGAGTTAAGAAGTTGCAGTGGAGACTGCATGACCCACAAAGACGAAAGCATTTACTGTCTGGACCTTTACAGACAGTTTGTGAACCTTTAACTTAGATAATCTACATGTTAATCTTATCTTTCACTCTGATTTCCTGCTAACTTGGGAAAACTGGGTAACCTCTCTGACTCAATTTTCCTAGATGTAAAATAGAGCTAGTAATAGCTATGTTATTTGTCCATGTGAACAAATTGAGAAAATATCAGTGAGGGCTTTGGAATATAAAAAACTAACATGCTAGGCTGGGTGCGATGGCTCACACCTGTAATTCTGGCACTTTGGGAGGCCGAGGTGGGTGGATCACGAGGTCAGAAGATCGAGACCATCCCGGCTAACACGGTGAAACCCTGTCTCTACTAAAAATACAAAAAATTAGCCGGGCGTGGTGGCAGGCACCTGCAGTCCCAGCTACTCGGGAGGCTAAGGCAGGAGAATGGTGTGAACCCGGGAAGCAGAGCTTGCAGTGAGCCGAGATCTCGCCACTGTACTCCAGCCTGGGCCACACAGCGAGACTCCGCCTCAAAAAAAAAAAAAGTAACATGCTAATAGATGGTGTCAAGGTATATTATGAGAGTATGCTATTTTGATTTTAATCTTCCTTTTTTCTAGCATTTGAGGCCCTCAACCTACTTTTCCAACCTGATACTGCTCCACCTTCTAAAAGTATTTTCTACAGCAGCCAAGCTGAAAACTGTCTCAAGTGTAGGCCCTCATTTATACTGTTCCCTTTTCTCTCGCCTCCCCTTCCTTAAGTTTACTAAAATCCTGCCCTACCATGGTCTTTCATAAGTGTCACCTTCTTAATGAAGACTTTCCAAATGGACTCACCCAGATGCCTCTCCTTTGTTCATATACACTTCGTACTAAGTCTGTCTGTCCCTTTCTTAACTGCCTATCCCCATTCTGTTATGGCATTGTACTATTTGTCTTGTTCTGACTTATGAGATAGGAGAGAAGATGAGCATCGAAACTTGCTCTTATCTATAGTCCTATAGTGCTTAGCGCAATGTCTTGTCCTAGCAGAAGCTTTGAGTTGCAAGTAGGGACTTGAAAACACAATCCAAACCACAAAGATAAGTCATTGACTGAAATCAAATATATACCTAATCATGATTTGGAGTTTTAAATTGCAATCCTAGGACTGGTTCCTCCATAGGAAGGCTATGCAGAAATAGAGGCTTCCCAGCAACCTAAAGACAAATAACAACAGTGTCTTCAAAAGATTCTTCATGTGAATACAGAGATGACAACCTGATGATCTACAAGTTTATTTCGGCCTCCAGAGCTCTTCTTTTTCTCTAGAACTGTATAGACCCATGAAGGGATATATATATATATATATATATATATATATATATATATATATATATATATATATATTTTTTTTTTTTTTTTTTTTAAGTTACCAGCATTTTAAAATGGGAAGATTTCGTACAAAAATCTAGATTTCTGACTTCTTTTAGAAGAAGCCTGGGTTCCCACGTGGCAACTATCTATAGTAGCATAGTAGTGACTGCTCTCTGTATATGAAGTATATGATCTCCAACTTGCCACAGTCCCCACCAATCCCTGTTGTATGTCTGATGTTGTAGCTCCAACACAGTAGCTATTTATCTTTGTGCTTGCTCTGTTTATGTCAGTCTGTTTTCAAAAATAGAATTGAAAGAAAAATTTTTACCCATATTTTTAATAAAAATATAAAACTAAAAATAGTCTGAGAAGCAGCTGGTAACATATAATTAAGCTTGTGGATTCAAAAGTCAGACTATCTGGACCCAAATCTGGTAGCCTCTTCTAGTTGAGTTGCCAGATAAAATATAGAAAACACAGTTAAATATGAATTTCAGATAAATAATGAATAATTTTTAGTATAATTGTATCTCATGTATTTTTATTTGCCAAATCTGAGAACCCTACTTCTACTTACTATGTGACATCAGGCAAATGAGTTAGCCTCTCTGTGTCTCAGTTTCCTCATAAGTAAACTGGGGATAATAAAGGAACATTGTGAGTATAAAATAAATATTAACTACTATCATTGTTAATTTATTTAAGAAATAATAGCAGACAGAATATTCTCTTGGGACAGTGAAGAACATGTCTTTATATTTGATAAAGTGTGTCTTATCCTAAAATATACAACTGAAGATGTTGCATTTGAGTAGCAGCTGCTCTAGACAAATCTTGAAAATCTCAGTGGCCTCATGCTGAAGATTTATTTCTACTTTATGTAATGTGGACTATAGGTCAAAGGCCAGATAGCTCTCTCTTATATGGAAGATGTGGCCTCCAAAGTCACTACAGCAGAGGAAGGAGATGGAGAAGGCAGGCCCCCTGTTAGCAACCTTGACCTGAAAGTGATACGAGAAGCTTCCCCTAACAGCCCATTGGCCAGAACTAGTCACATGGTCCTAAGCTAACTGCAACGGAGACTGGGAAATACAGGGGAGCATATAGATTGGTGAACAGTAACCACTTATCTGCCTGGCTGCTATAGACAACTCGACTTTTAACTCCAGTGTATGCAACGGATTCAAAATCAGAAGACCCTCCTTGTTCTGCTCTTTCTCAAGCAAGAGAAATATAGCCAAAGGATTTTTCTTTCCCTGGGAGGTTCGTTTACTCCCCAACCACTGGAGAAACAAAGAGATTTCTTTTTTTCTTCCTGTCAGGAGCAGGAAGTTGTTCTAAGTTCAGTTGATTATATTGTTGACTTAGAAACTTTGAAACAGAATCCAAAGTCAAACAAGAGAAAAGGGAAGCGGGAAATTAAAGTTTTCTGATTAAGGGCCCACGGATATCACAAGCAGTAAGGTCTTTCCAATTTGTAGCACATATGCCAGATCTCATTTTTCATTTTGGATTTGGAGCTTCCTAAACCCTGATTCTTCCAGCATTTGCAGAGTAATTCTCAGAAGATAGACAAAAGCCTGCACAGGTCCAATCACTGGGGTGAATCCAGGTGTTTGCCTGGAATGGAATTTCACCAAAAGGAATTCAGTCTGCAGCTTTGCTTTCAGGAGAATGACACATGGATCAATACAGCAGCCAGCACCAGGCTCACTGGCTGGTCCCGGGTTGAAGGCCAATGCCATCTGCCAGGCTGCCAAGGTTAATGAAGCTGTGTTGTTCTAATCTCATCTTAAATGAGGTTTTTGAGCTGTGAACAGGGAAGGAGAGCGGGTGAGCCTATCATGAGTGATGAGGCTTTGTCAGTTATACCCCATGTGTACGATTCATAAATCAGGTAATATTTCCTGATCTGAAAATCTGTATTTGCAGCTTTGGTAATGATTTTTAGATAAGTTTTGAGGAGTTGCAAGTAGGGACTTGAAGAAAACCGCCAACTGATAAGCCATCTGTGTGTGCTAGGAAGAAGTTCATTTAATCTTTCTACTCTGAAAGAAAAGGAAGGTACTGTTGGCAGATCCATACAATATGTGTGATGGCCAGCGTGGCAGAGACTCAAAGTTGGGAGGAAAATCGTTTACCCAACATTATCATTCTGCCTGAATCATCATCTAAAATTTCATAAGCATTAATTCTGGTGCCATAATAGTCTTTAAAAAGAAAACTTTCCCAAAATGATAGACTTGTTCTGTATTTACTAACATCACTGTGAGGCATTTGCTAGAAGTTTGGTAAAGTCAAGGAGACTTAGTGGCACTTAAATTCTTTTGAGAGCTATATTGATCCCTTTCACCTATCCTTGGCTTTGCCTCTGTCCAAAATCCAGAAACCTCTTACAGTTCCAGGTTCATAAGACATGCTAAAAACTTTCTCCTTAGGGGAAGTAATAATTTTTAATATGAAGGCTATTAAAATGCCAACAAGGAGTTTTTCATAATATGCTAAATTGTTTTACCTCTACCTAAGCAATCTTTACTTAACTGAAATGTTGATTTTTTTTTATGTCATGGTTTCTTTCATGAAGAGTCTGTGCATTTCACCTACTTGAATGTAATCCTTCCCAGACCAGCTACCTTGTGCACAGAATTGGAAGAGCTATAAAGTCACATTTTTATCCAGACCCTTTTACTTGACGTTAATATGGCAGTTGACACTGAGATTATTCTACTCTAGTTGAATTTCTAAAGAACTCTATCTGCTCTTCAGCAGACCCATTAATCAGTTTGATTCCCAAGTCTGACCTCTCCAATACATGGCGTTATGTTTTCTCAGCACTTCCTCCTCCTTGGTATTGCACCGGATTCTTTTGAATCTCATCCTGTCTGTTCTCTTTTTTTTTTTTTTTTTTTTTTTTGGAGACAGAGTCTCACTCTGTCACCCAGGCTGGAGTGCAGTGGTGCGATCTCAGGTCACTGCAACCTCTGCCTCCCGGGTTTGAGCAATTCTTCTGCCTCAGCCTCCCGAGTAGCTGGGACTACAGGTGCGTGCCACCACATCCAGCTATTTTTTTTTTTTTTGTATTTTTAGTAGAGATGGGGTTTCACTGTGTTAGCCAGGATGGTCTCGATCTCCTGACCTTGTGATCTGCCTGCCTCGGCCTCCCCAAGTGCTGGGATTATAGGCATGAGCCACCGCGACCAGCTCTGTTTGTTTTTAATACTGACATCAATTTTTTTGGATTTGGTCAGAAATTTGCATCCCTAGATTAACCTCGAATATAATATTGTCAAAGTGGCAAATAGGAATTAGTTTTGTTTTTAGTGTTTAAAAAGTCCTGGATCCCCACCAAAAGCTTTACCCAGGAACTGCTGTAGTTAAAATAGAATCCACTCATCTTTCAAGAGTTGTTAATTGGGGGCTTACCATGGGTAGGATTTACTCAGATGTTAGACTGATTTAGAGACAAATGTAGTGTGTCCACCCCTGTTGTAGAAGCTCAAGAGAATAAAATTATCTATAGAAGATCATTTTTATTTCAGACTCACTTTACCAGTCATGATTTTGAGTATAAATATAAGTGTCCCAAGGTCTCCAAGGTGACAGGAAAGGGTGGAGGAAAGGAGGGAAAAGAGAAGATGGTCGTAAGGCAAAGAGGCTGGTTAAGCATTATTTCAGTCTCCTCAGTCCTCTGGAATTCTTCTCATGCAATTTCACAGATAATAGAAACATCAGCTTAAAGAAGTCTGGCAACATTTCCCTGGTCACACAGCTACAGTGTCCGAGCCACTTGGTGAACTGCAAAGCCTATGCTCTTACATCTCATCTCATCTTTTTTTTTTTTTTTTTTTTTTTTTTTTTTGAGACCAAGTCTAACTCTGTTGCCCAGGCTGGAGTGCAGTGGCCTGATCTTGGCTCACTGCAACCCCCGCCTCCTGGGTTCAAGTGATTCTCTTGCCTCAGCCTCCTGAGTAGCCTGGATTACAGGTGTGCGCCACCATGCCCCGCTAATTTTTGTATTTTCAGTAGAGACGAGGTGTCACCATATTGCCCAGGCTGGTCTTGAACTCCTGGGCTCAAGTGATCTGCCCGCCTTGGCCTCCCAAAGTGCTGGGATTACAGGCGTGAGCCACTGTGCCCAGCCTCTTCCATCTCATCTACCAAACTGCCCCACAGATGGGGAGTGGAGTGTGGAGGATGATGGGTGAAAAACCAGAACAAGTGGCTCTGACCAGTTGAAAGGCCTCTTATTCTTACTCTTACAGAATCTGAAAAGTTAAGTAAAGTCAAAGAAAGAGTAGTGAAATGATTTTAACTTTTGACTATTGTTAACAACCAAATTAGAAGGCATTGGTACAATCTGTTAGATTTCTAGATGTGCTTATCTTTACCAGTCATTCTACATCTTGGTGTCTCCCTGAGAGAGATACTTGCACATTGGTAGAAAGAAGCATGCACACTAATAGTGAAATTGTACCTAATGTGCACAAATTAGAAACAACAGAAATATTCATTAATGGAATAATTAAATAAATTTTGATAAATCTGTAGTATTGAATACTATGGAGATAAGGTAGGTCCATATATGTTGAACTGAAAAAGGATTTTCAAGATATATTAAGTGGAAAAAAATCAAGTAGCAGAATACATATAGAATGATCATACTTACGTAAAAAATTAATTTAAAAGTCTACATTTCAGAAAAGGGAGTGAAGAGTTAAGAGGGAAATAATGCTTTCAAATTTGGGAGGGAGAGAGCACAGGTGGTTTCACGTAGAGAAAATATTTCAATTGGGCCTTGGAGGATGGTGAAATGTAGATATGGTCAGGATTTACCCTAGGCTACCTCGCTAATAAGGGGTGGAGTCAACATATGAACTCAGTTCTGTCTGAATCCAGAGTTGGTGCTTTTAACTAAGATTCTTCTCACAACACAATTGTAAACTGAATATAAGAGGTAGCTATAACTCACATATGTAGGTACACGATATGCACGTGGATTTTTTAGGTATGGTAGGTACTCTCCTAGAAATCCTGTGGAATACCCAGATGAATTAGAGCACCTGGCCTTAATAGCTTCAAGTCTAGTAGAGCAAAGAAGATGCGTTTACAAATCTTTTTAATATATGAAAGAAAGTTAGCCAGGCTCTAAAGCAAAATCATAGGGAAATTCAAAAAATGATTGGTAAACCTAGAGAAAAGAAACATACTCCCAGCTGAGGGGCTGGAAGATGTACCAAGTATAATGTATTCAGCTACAAGAAATAAATGAAGTAATAGTGATTTAAACCATAAGGTTTAGTTTCTTAGCAAGAAATCAAATGGTACAATTGTGTACCACATTCATCTCAACAATGTCACTGAGGACATAAGTTCTGTGATGGTTAATTTTATGTGTCACCTTGGGTAGGCCACGGGATGCCCAGATATATGATTAAATGTTATTTTGGGGCATGTCTTTGAGAAATAAGCATTTGTATTGGACTGAGTAAAGCAGGTGGCCCTCCCCAGTGTGAATGGGTGTCACCAATCTGCTGAGGGCCTGACTAGAATAAAAAGGCAGACAAAGGCTAGATTTGCCCCTTCTGTTAAGTGGAAAAAAAATCAAATAGCAGAATACATATAGAATGATCATACTTATGTAAAAAATTAATCTAACTAATTGACTACTTGAGCTGGGACAAGAATCATCTCCTGCCCTTGGTGTGCTGGTTCTCAGCCTTCAGATTCAGACTGGAATCTACACCATCAGCTACCTGCTCCTCATGACTTTGAACTACATACACTACTGGCTTTCCTAGGTCTCCACCTTACAGATGGCAGATCTTGGGACTTCTCAGCCACCATAATCATGTGAGCCAATGCCTTTTAATAAATATCTCTCAGGTCAGGGGCAGTGGCTTACACCTGTAATCCCAGCACTTTGGGAGGCAGAGGAGGAGGATTGCTTGAGGCCAAGAGTTTGAGGCCAGCCTGGGCAACATAGCGACACCCCATCTCTACAAAAATTAAAATTAAAATAAATTAGCTAGGCATGGTGGCACACACCTGTAGTCCTAGCTACTTGGGAGGCTGAGATGGGAGGATCGCTTGAGTCCAGGAGTTTGAGGCTGATGGGAGCTATGCTCAAGTTACTGCACTTCAGCCTGGGTGACAGAGTGAGACCCCATCTCTGAAAAAAATATAGATAGATAGATAGATAGATAGATAGATAGATAGATAATCTCCTGATGGTTCTGTTTCTCTGAAGCACTGTGACTAATACAGATTACCCCTGTCCTTTCCAGTCATCCTTCATCTTGTCATAGTCCAACATGGCAGCCACAGCTTCCGGTGTCTCAACCACATTCAAGGGCAGGAAGCAGAAGGTAGCCAGGGAAGCAAAAAAGGTTGGGGAGCTTAATGAAGGACACTCTGCAAGTCTGAAAATAACTTTTTCTCAGATGCCTCCTCCAGAAGTTTCCTTTTATATTTCTTTGGCCAGAACTAGGTCATAAGTCCTGGCTCTCCCCTGTATACTTCCTGACGGGACACTGACAGTGAGAGCAGGATTCTGGCTTTCCTACCCTCTGTAAGAAAACACCAGCTAGGAAGAAAGAGCTTCTTGGTACTGGGAAGCATCCAAGAGTGTCTGCCACCGCAGCTTATGGGGAGGAAGCCATAGCTGGGTTGGGTCTTAAACAGTAATGAAAAGGACATTTATTAGATTGTCTCCCCAGTGTAAGTAGGAGCTGCCCAAGCCATATAGTCTTTTCCCATTCTCTGGGGATACATTGTAATAGGTTTTAATAGATCCTGCCAAATTACCCTTTTCTTTTGTTTGTTCCCCTCTAGGGGCATTTCTCACTTTCTTCCTTCTATTGAAGCTAATTGTGTAAGCATCTAATTCCTGCTCTGCTGTCGGTTTGACATTGTTAATTCTCTGCGCTCAGTTTCCTGTGTTAGTCAAGATCCCACTTATTGTATTAGAGTTTAACACCAAGTATTATTAAACATGTCTTAGAAAACTGAAAAGGCAAAAAAGGAGCCCAGAGTATCCCACAGGAAGTAATCGCAGGAAGCTGCTACCACCCCAGCTGTTGGAGGGACAAAGAGGTCAGGATTGTTAAAACGTAACAGAAAACCTTAAAAGAGAGAGATGGGGGTAGAAACGGGAAGAGAAGGTAAAAGACTTGGGAGAGGGACCCCACAATGCTGGATCTTAGGCTTTTGAGGAGGGGATACCTGCTGGTGTTGGCATCTCTGAGAGAGTTTGATGCACCTGGTTCTGATAGTGGGAAAAACTGCAACTTGGAACGAGCTACTACTCCTGGAACCAAGGACTTGCCAGCTTTAAACCCCTGATGCTAGAGAGATCCCGACAGTAATAGCAAGCCAGACCAAGAAGAACAAGTCCCTTTTCTCTCCATCCTGCAAGCTCCCTCTAGTGCCCCTTACTGGTGACCTAACAAAGAGCAGCTGGCAAAACAGAAATTAGGTTTGTAGAGTATCAGCTCCAGCATCACATGATGGCAGAGGATGGTAGATTTGGAGCTAAGAGCTCCAAACAGCACAGCCTTTGTTATTATTATCACATCCTTATTAAGTAGAAGTAATAATAGAAGCTACCTAATAGTGTTACTCTGAGGGTTAGATGATGTAAACCATGAGAAGTAAACAGCAGAGTACCTAGAGCCTAATAAGCCCTCAGGAGGTATTAGCAGATGTTTTGGTTTTGTTGTTTTCTTTTGTTTTTTGCTATACTGTATTCTTTTATTTCATGTGTGCAAATTTAAGTCAATCAGTAGTGCTACAACTACAGACATATAGCTATACTGACAATTTTTAATATTTAGTTCACTTTTAATAGTAAACAACATCTCAGTATAATGTTCAGAATTTTTTTTTCTTTTTTTTTTTTTTTTGAGATTGAGTCTCGCTCTGTCACCCAAGCTGGAGTGCAGTGGCGCGATCTCAGCTCAATGCAAGCTCTGCCTCCTGGGTTCACACCATTCTCCTGCCTCAGCCTCCTGAGTAGCTGGGAATACAGGTGCCCGCCACCACGCCCAGCTAATTTTTGGTATTTTTTTTTTTTTAGTAGACACGGGGTTTCACCATGTTAGCCAGGATGGTCTCGATCTCCTGACCTCGTGATCCGCCCGCCTTGGCCTCCCAAAGTGCTGGGATTACAGGCATGAGACACCGCGCCCGGCCCAATGTTCAGAAATTTATCTAACTGTTAGACGTTAGCTAACATGGATCTTTTTCTGAAACAGCGCTGCCAGGTTTAAAAAAATTAATAGACATTGTGTAGAACAGATTTGAATTAACATAAAAATTGAAGAGGTAGTGCTAAAAGTTCTCGTATTACTTTTACACTATTTTTTTTTAAACTGCATCCTTTCGAAAATTTCAACTTTTATTTTAGATTCAGGGGTACATATACAGGTTTGTTACCTAGGTATAATATTGCATGATGCTAAGGTTTGGGTCACTCAGATAGTGAACATAGTACCCAGTAGACAAGTTTTTCAGTCCTTGTCTCCCTCCCTCTCTCCTGTCAATAGACACCTGTAGTCCCCACTATCAATTGTTCCCATCTGTATGTCCCTGTGTACCCAATGTTTAGCTTCCACTTATGAGAACATGCTATATTTGGTTTTCTGTTTCTGCATTAATATCTTAGGATAATGGCCTCCAGCTTGCATCCACGTTGCTGCAAATGACATGGTTTCATCCTTTTTTATGGCTATGAGGTATTCCATGGTGTATTTTTATGGCTATGAGGTATTCCATGGTGTATATGTACCACATTTTCTTTATCCAGTCCACCACTGATGGGCACCCAGGTTGATTCCATGTCTTTGTTATTGTCAATAGTGCTGTGATTAACATATGAGTGCATGTATCTTTCTTGTAGAATGATTTCTTTTCCTTTGGGCATATACCCAGTAATGGGATTGCTGGGTCGAATGGTGGTTCTAGTTTTAGTCCTTTGAGAAATCTCCAAACTGTTTTCCTGTTAGTGGATGTTATCACTGTTTATTCAACAATTATTTCTTGTGTGCCTACTACGTGCCAGGCACAGATCTAAGTCTTGAGAATACAGTGGTGATTCAGATAGGTGAGGTCACTGGCCTTGTGGAACTTGCAATCTGGTAAGGGGGTGTCTGTAGTAAACAAAATCATTTCAGAAAGTGATCGGTGGTGAGGAGAGAATAAAACAGTCCGGCAGCTTTGAGATGCAGAGAAGAAAGTAGCTACACTTCGAACAACAATGAAAAGACAAGCCACAGACTGGGAGAAACCGTATATGAAACACATATCTGATAAAGGACTTGTAACCAGAATACAGTCATGTGCCACTTAATAGTGGGGCTACATCTGAGAAACATGTTGCTAGGTGATTTTGTCAATGTGCAGGCATCATAGAGTGTACCTCCACAAACCTAGATGGTATAGCCTACTACACACCAAGGCTATATGCTACAGCCCATTGTTCCTTGGCTCAAACCTGTACAGCATGTTACTATCCTGAATACCCTAGACAATTGTAACACAATGGTAAGCATTTGTGTATCTGAACACACCTAAATATAGAAAAGACACAGTAAAACTATAGTATAAAGGAGAAACAGTGGTACACCTGTGTCGTGCACTTACCATGAAAGGAGCTTGCAGGACTGGAAGTTTCTCTGGGTGAGTCAGTGAGTGAGTGGTGAATGAATGTGAAGGCCTAGGACATGACTGTATGCTTTATACACTGTAGACTTTATAAACACTGTACACTAAGGCTACACTAAACTTATTAAAAATGTTTTTCATTCTTCACTAATAAATTAACTTTAGCATACTGTAACCTTTTGGCTTTTTGTAAAGCTGTACAAAAATATTTTCTTTATATCCTTATTCTATAAGCTTTTTTCCTATTTTAAAAACTACATTTGTAGTCCTTAAACGTTTCTTATTAAAAACTAAGACACAAACACACCCTAGGCCTACACAGGGTCAAGATCATCAATATCACTGTCTTCCACCTCCACATCTTGTCCCACTGGAAGGTCTTCAGTGGCAATAACATGCAGGGAGCTGTCATCTCCTATGCTGACAATGCCTTCGGAATACCTCCTGAAGGACCTGCCTGAAAGTGTTTCACAGTTAAATTTGTTTTAAAGTAGGAGTATACTCTAAAATGATAATAATAAGTATAGTATATTAAATATATAAACCAGTAATATAGTCATTTATTATCAAGTATTATGTACTGCACATAATTTTATGTGCTAGACTTTATACAAGGGGCAGCCCAGTAGCTTTGTTTACACCAGCCTCGACACAAACATGTGAATAATGCATTGCACTACAATGCTAGGATGGCCATGACCTAACTAGGCAATAGGAATTTTTCAGCTTCATTATATTCTTACGGGACCACCGTCGTATAGGCAGTCCGTCATTGACTAAAATGTTGTCATGTGGCACATGACTATATATAAAGAACTGTCAAAACTCAATCATAAGAAAACAATCCAGTTTAAAAATGGGCAAAAGGTTTGAACAGACACTGCATTAAAGCAGATCTACAGATGGCAAATAAGCCCATAAAAAGAGACAAAACCCTGTTAGACATTAGGGAAATGAAATAAAAACCACAATGAGATTCCACCACACGGGTACTGAAGTGCGTTTTTAAAAAACTGACAATACTGCTGACAAGGATACAGAGCAACTGGAACTCTCATATATTGCAGATCGGAATGCAAAATCGCACAGCCACTTTGGAAAACACTTTGGCAGTTTCCTAGAAAGTTACACATACACTAACCATATGACCTAGCTATTCCTCTCCTAGGGAAGAATAGTTTGACATATTCATTATTTTTTTCTCTATATATACATTTTCCCCTTACTCTTCCCCTCATTTAAGCAGGTAGCAGGTTCTGGGCTTCTGAGCCCCAACTAAATTTTGTGGCAGAGCAGAAAGCAGAGTTAGCCTGTCTTTTTAAGGGCAGAGGCAAAGAGGGTAGCAGTTGAGAGTGGGCTTGGAGAGGCATGAAGAAGGGTCCTATGGGGCCAGCAGGAAGAAGGACCAGGGTTCAACTTCCTGGCAGCACTCTGAGAAGATGGTAGAATCCCAGAGAAAAATGGCTCCATGGAGCATCTCAGGCAGCACAGCAAAGGAGTTCTAGTCCCCAAACTTCACACCGAAGAAGCCACCATCTTTGGAACCAGCCTCCGTGGATGATGACAATGGTAAAGCTTTGTGGCTATCTGGCTGTGTGACCTTGGAAAAAGTCACTTAATATCTCTAAGCCTCAGTTTCCAAAATCAGTGGAGAGGAGGAGGTGAACCTTACACCCGGAGCTACCATGAATGGTTGGGCAAACCATACTTTGCAAGCATGGTAGCTCACACCTGTATTCCCAGCACTTTGGGAGGCCGAGGCAGGCAGAGCACTTGAGGTCAGGAGTTCAAGACCAGCCTGGCCAACATGGTGAAACCCTATCTCTACTAAAAATACAAAAATTAGCCAGGCGTGGTCGCATATGATTGTAATCCCAGCTACTTGGGAGGCTGAGGCAGAAGAATCACCTGAACCCGGGAGGCAGAGGTTGCAATGAGCCGAGATGGCACCACTGCACCCCAGCCTGGGTAACAGAGTGAGACTCTGTCTCAAAAAAAAAAAAAAAAAAAGAATGCCCTGCCAAGGGGGCACAGAAAAAAACAAGTCCAGAAGTCCAGCCTTTCCTCCACTCATCAGCCCTGAGTCCTGGGACAGCGTTGGGTCATTGCTTTCCTGGCCCACGTAGAGAAAGTAGCGTGGGCTACCCATGGCCTTCACTGTAGCTGCACAATACAGCTTTGATATTGTGTAATTTGAATTTTTTCCCCTCTAAATGACTATTTCTAGCAGTCTCTCTGAAAAAAAAAAAAAAAAAAACTTTCATAAATATATTCCTTTTCCCCCCAAACACACACGTACATAAATTTCATTATAAGAAAGTTTTTACCATATCAGGTACAACCTCCAAGCACCCCAAAGATATCTGCAAAGTAAGACTATTTCCTTTTTTTCCACCCTAATTTATTGATACAACAAATGAACAGGGAGATTTGTCCAGCCAATAGCAAATGAAATTGGATAGTAATCCACCTTCAGGTTTCTGGGTAGCAGGCCTTGAGGGAAACTGAGGCTACAGGGGAATTTCAGATCCAGCCAACGTGTCTCCAGGAAAATATGCCCTTTTAGTTCTGTTTCTGAAAACCACACTGACTGTCTCAAGCTGTGGGGATCGGGAAACTGTTGATTGCCTCCTTCCAGAAGGCCTCCTCCCTCACTTGGAGAAACAGTTCTGAAGTTGCAACAACTCCGCTCAGCTGGAGTTTCTCAGAAGCCCGGCATTCACCCATGACTGAGTCCTGACGGAGCGCTCTGTGGGGAAGCCAGGCAGCGAACACATCCTGGGGAAATCATTGTCCTGCCCCCTGCTTGGCCGCGGAAGGCGGACACCCGGTTTCAATGTTGTCTTTGTTACCAGCTCCAGTAGGCGCTCTGATGTGCATTTTAATGAAAATGGGACACCTGCGGCAGCGCTCCCGATCAACAGCAAGGAGGGAGAAACCCCAGATCTGGACCGGAGTCCTGGGGATCCCCTTTCAAAAGGCAGCCGGGCATTCCAAAGAGGCTGGGAAGAAACAGCCCTTTATCCGCATCGGGGGGCCCCCTGGCGTGTCGCCGGGACCCTCAGCGGCGTGTCCCCCACCTCCTCCTGGCCCCCTCACAGGGCTCCCAGGAGCAGCCGTAGGAGCGGCCTGGGATATTTTTTCTATCTTCCAGCCTGAGCTACACGAGGCAGTTGAATTAGAGTCATTACTGTAATTTAATTTCTCCAAATTCAGAGCAATTTTCTTTCCAAATATATCAGGGGCCAGCAAAGGTTCAAAGAATTGGAGAAACCATTCCAAATTCAGAAAGGTTAAAAGAAAGACCAGTCATAGGGTGAACACTACTACTACTATCATATTTCATAATAATTGTATATTATACAACTGAATGTATTATATGGCACGTAATATATATTATTACATATGACAATGTATAGTAATAATCCCATAAAGATATATCACAGTTATCATAGTATTATATATTTATGTATAGACACATAATGTGTCTAACATTCCACCCTAATTTATTGATACAACAAATGAACAGGGAGATTTGTCCAGCCAATAGCAAGTAAAATTGGATAGTAATCCACCTTCAGGTCTCTGGTTAGCAGGCCTTGAGGGAAACTGAGGCTACAGGGGAATTTCACGTTGAGCCAACGTGTCTCCAGGAAAATATGCCCTTTTAGTTCTGTTTCTGAACACCACATTGATTGTCTCAAGCTGTGGGGATCGGGTCCTGTCTATATTATGTATAGACACATTATACATAATGTGTCTATACATAATATATAATATACTATGATAGATACGTTGTATATATTAGGTAATATATATAACATTCAAAATGTTCAAAAGTAATTTTGATAATGTTAAAAAAAATTGGAGGATCAACCCAGAATCAAAGTTTTAAGAGGAGGAAGAGACAGAGGGTGAAAAAAAATATTATTTTTATAATTATTTTATGATAATATAGACTTAACATATAGTTACACGGAATATTGTGTATCATATAATTATTGTTTTATATGATACTATAAGATATAACTACATATTTTTATTATTACTAATATTGTTGTTGAAGATAACATCGATTGCTTGTCAGATGCTATGCTAGACACTTTCGAGGCATTATATTATTGAATTTTCACAATAGCCTCTATGATGTAGGTACTATGGGTTTTGTATCCCTTTAAAAAAATATAGTTTTATTGAGATATAATTCACATACCATACAATTCACCAATTTAAAATATACAATTCAGTGGATTATATTCAGTGAATATATTGAAGTATATCACAGAGTTTGTAGTCATCACCATAGTCAATGTTAGAACATTTCATCACCCAAAAGGAAATCCCATATGCATTAGCAGTCATTTCCCCGTTTCCCCCTCCCTACAACCCTAGACAACTCTGATCTGTTTCCTATCTATAGATTTGCCTGTTCTGGGCATTTTATATAAACAGAATTACACAATATGTCATCCTTTGCATCTGACTTCTTTCACTGAGCATGTTTCCAAAATTCATCTATGTTGGAACATGTATCAGTACTTCATTCTTTTTGATAGCTGCATAGTAGTCATTGTATGGACATACCACATTTTGTTTATCCACTCATCACTTAATAGATATTTGAGTTGTTTCCACTTTGGGGCTATTACAAATAACGCTGCTATGAATACTTATGTGCAAGTTTTTATATGGATGTATGCTTCTGTTTCTCTTAGACATTCTGTGTTTCACCCCATTTTACAGATGAGGAAATTGAGGTTCAGAGATGCTACATAACTTGCCCAAGGTCACACAGCCTGTGAATGCTCTGAGAGTCAAACTTAGCTCTGTGTAATGCTCTTAGTTACTCTGCTCTGTTGCACTCCATTTCATCAGAGGTTAAAATATGGAGGGCAGAGACACCCATCCCTCCTGGGTCTCTGGAGAGGTACTGAAGAAAAACAAAGCAGGAAGAGTTTCTGTTGCAGCTGAGAATGAACTTTCTCCTGTTAAGGGTAGTTAGTTAAGCCTGGAAGTGATTGCCAAGAAAGCAGTGAATTCCCTTTTGGGGATGAAAGATCCTCTGTGGGGTCTTTCAGACACAGCAGGGATGCCTCACTCCCAGGAATGGGGTTTGGCTCAAGCCTGTCCAAATGGCAGCCCTCATTCTGCGTCAGGTGCCCAAATGGTATGAGAGGGGCCAGGCCGCATTTCAGGCCTCTCTCACTGCTTCTCACCCTGACCCCACCCCAGCCCCCCAAGCCTGTTTCCAGGGTCTTGTCTCCACACGAGGTCCCCTAAACCTCCTCCCCATACGGCTGGAGCCCTGACCTGTCCTGTTCCAGTTCCCTCCCACTGTGGAGGCAACAAAGGGAGATGGCCAAAGCCTAGCTAAACCAGGGCTGGGGTTGGGTGTTGGTGGGGGAGAAAGGTGATGCAGTGCAGGGAGGGAGGGAAGGATTGGGGGAAGGTCCCAAAAGGGCCCAGGAGCCTCAGATTACCCAGGGCAGGGCAGGGCATCGGGAGAGAACCCACAATGCCTCCCCAGGGGAGATGTTGTTCATCCGAGCTCATGGTTATAAAATGAGACCTCTGTGCCTATGTGGCTGATGAAACCAGTGCCGTTTGATATATTTCAACAGAGCATGGGGTTTTTAAAAAACAATCCTACCATAAACATCCTGAATCCTAAAATTGTTATTGTACCAGTCATAGAAAAAGCAAAATCCACTTTTTTTTTGGTGTGGGGGTGGTGCGGACCTAGTCATGAAATGTAGTAGAAACCATTTCAGTTTTAAAGTCAGTGAAGCACCTGTCCCCCATCTGGCTATATGAGCCTGAGCAATTTTCTTAACCTTGCAGACCCTCAGTTGTTTTCACACATAAAATGGGAATAATAACAGCAGTACCTGCCTTTCACAGTTTCTGGTGCAGGATCAAATGGACTTATGCAGCTTTCCCCAGTGTACTTAGCAACCACACTTCTACAGGTTATTGTAATGTGAGGAGCACACACAGACTGGTGATTTGGGGGAGCAGTCATTTAAATCAAGCTAAATAGTTTCCATTCTGACACGACTTCTCCGAGCATTTAATGTATTGATCTTCATCAAGAATATTGAAGAAAGATCCCATTCTGTTGCATTTTGCAAATCTATTTAACCACAGAAATCTTGATATAACATCCAGCGTAGAGACTGAAAGCTAGCGGTCCATGGGCCAAATCTGGCCCACAGATGTAGAGTTTTTTGGCCAGCACAGTTTTGCCTTTCAAAGTTTCCCGTATTTAAATATAGTGAGATTTCACACATACATCACAAGATTTCACATAAAAATTAACTTTCAGCTTCTCTTGAAAAAACCTAAAGATTAGGACAAACTGGGTCCTCATTTTCACATGGTGACACTTAACCAGAGTGGGTGGTCCACCCAGGCATCCAGTTTGCCACTCTTGAGGGTCTAGTGCTGCTTAAATGCTGAGATAAGACATGTAAAAGAGTTAGTTTTGGCCTGGTGCGGTGGTTCATGTCTGTAATCCCAGCACTTTGGGAGGCCGAGTCGGGTGAATTCCTTGAGCTCAGGAGTTCGCGACCAGCCTGGGCAACATGGTGAGACCCCATCTCTATAAAAAATACAAAAATGTGCCAGGCATGGTGGCACATGCCTGTAGTCCTAGCTACTCAGGAGGCCGATGTGGAAGGATTGCTTGAGCCCGGGAGGCAGAGGTTGCAGCAAGCCAAGATCGTACCACTGCACCCTAGCCTGGGTGACAGAGTGAGAACCTGTCTCAAAAAAACAAAAAAGGGTGAGTTTTATCTACACACCCCTGCATTTAAATATTGTTGAATATCTGCTTATTATATCTTAGTCATGCATTATTGAACATGATATGTACATTATAAAGAATAATTTAACCAAGCATAATTTAACAAGATGAGATTAAAAATAAGTACAAATCAGAAGTTTTAGTCTTCACACTTAACCCTTTAGAGGCCACCGATACAGCTCCTCATACAGAGTTGGTGCTCATTTAATGATTATACTTACATGTAATTCTTGGTTCATGGGACCTGAAGATGTCCACCTTCCCCATGAAAATGAAAAGCTGAGCATGCAACCACCACCCCTACTGCTGACACTGAATGTGGATCTTGTGTTTTGGCACTCATCAGTCCTTACACGGAGATTGTGGATCGAGTGCTATTTAGCTTTTAGTTTGCCCTGGAGGGTATTTTTTCTTTCTTTTAACTATGCCCAGTAGCATAAACAATAGTCTTTTGAACCCAGGCTGTGCGTGAAATACTAATTTAGGCAAACGCCAATCTAAACAAACAAACAAAAAATAGGTTCACAACATTTTTTCTTTCAAATATTAGTGAAGTGCATGCGTTAGCCAGAAAGAGCCAGGAGAAAATTATACAATTTAAAGGGACTCTTCAAGTCTCGAAGCAGCCACACTCCATTATAGTTCCCAAGGGAGTAATATAATAGTAAATAGTAACTGCTTGTGAAGTCGTCTGAGAGTTTTGGATGAAAGACCATGCAGAAACGTGAAAAAGTGTTATTTAGTATGCCAGTTTCAGGGTTAAATGTTGGATGTTTCAACCTTATCCCCTACCACATTTTCAAAATAGCAAGCAGCAATGTGACTGGCAATATTAGGTTTTCCTCCTCTTAAAACCTAGTAATGAGGCCAAGGGAAGCAATTATGACTGGGCAGTGAAGTCTTCCCCTCCCCACCTCGCACCAGAACATTTTCAGTGCAACTTCAGGGGCCTCCCAAAGACTTAAGGAATCCCAGTTTCTGGGGATCCTGCTGTAGCTGCAGCCCATGCTAAGACTTTGGGTGTCACTGATTTGAGCAGTTGAAAAAGCAGCCATTCCGTGTTTCCTATGACATGGAGCCTGTCAACAGGATAGCCTCATGGTCAAGACTTTGGGCTCTAAAGTCACCCCTGTGTTCCAATTCTCACCCTACCACTTATCAGCTGGATGACCAGAGCAAGTGACTCAACATCTCCAGGCCTCAGTTTTCACAGCTGTAAAATGATGACAGTAATATACCTCACTTGTAGAATTTAAAAGAGAGAATGTATGTAAAGTGCTTGGCACAGTAGTCAGGCACATGAAAAGTACCCAGTATGTATTCCTTCATGTATTGCAAACCAGCCATTTCTCTTGCTTTTTTGCTCTCAGGATCAGAAATCTAGTTGTCCTCCTTTAATTTTTGAAGTTCCTATTTTTCAGCTGCTCTGACCCATGTTTCAGCAGCTTTGATCCATTTATTTAGCTGCTCTGTCTCCTTTATTTAAGCAGGGAGTTAGAAAACTTTTTCCATAAGGGGCCGAATAGAAAATGCTTTCACCTTTGTATTCCATACAATCCCTGTTGCAGCTACTCAACTCTGCCTTTGTAGCTAAAAAGTAGCTAGGGTCAACAAGTAAATTAATGGGTATGGCTATGTTCTAATAAAACTTTATTTACTAAAATAGGTAGCAGTAGGATTTGGCCCACAGGCCAAAGTTTGCTGCCTCCTGATTTAAGCTCTGTTTCTCCCTTAAATGTGCAAAAAGCAGGCAGGAGGCCACTTGCGAGAACCAAGTGTTCAGCACATTTTCTTCCAAAGGAACCAGGGAAATGAGAGTAACTTGTGTGGTTTTTTTTAAAGGGAGAAATTGAGACCTCTCTCCCAGCAAAAAAGTCACCTAGACTCTCTCTGCAGAGCAGAACAGTCTAGAAGTGGAAAGACAGGGGCCACTGGGGTGGGGAAAGTGGAAGTGGTGTTTGGTGCACATCAGACACCAAACTCTTAGACTCTGCTCACAGGGATCCATGCTCCTAGCACATGGTGCTACAGTCCCCAGTGTTCAAAATCCCTGGCAGATGGAGGAGACATCTGCAAATGTCTGCAACAACAGGAGCTTTGAAAGGGTTCCAGAACAATCCCCTCAAAATGCTCTTGGTTTTGCTATATGGAGAAGGTGCCAGACATTCCCAGAAGCCTGCTGAAATCTTTAAGAAATGGGCATTTGAAAAAAATACTTCCTAGTACCTGGTTGTGTCCCTCTCTAACAACCCTATACCTTTGACTTCCTCTGACATTATCTGCATAGGGCAAATATCTTCTCAAATCATCAGTTCCCCATGATGGAAATCATTTATGCCTGCTCTGTCTCCATTTTTCTCTGGAAGGAGAAAAGTCTTTTCTCGCTGCCCCCCACAACCCGCCCCCTTCAAGCTCTTGAGTAGAGAAAGAAATACTTTCGCAGGATGAACCAGGGAGCTTCTCCTCAGAAGTGGCACTATCTCCAATGTTCTTCTCTTCTTTTCATCTGCCCTGCCTTTGAGACCAGAAAACATCTGGAAGCACTGATTGCCTGGTGTGTCACAGATCCCTGAATTGGGATCTTCATGTTTGGGGAAGGCTCTCCAAAATGAAGTAAGGCTTCTCTACCTCCCCCCCACCTTTGGTCCCGTTGATCTCCCCCACTAACCCTCAACATCTGGCATAGCTCAGGTTTTTGGTGTCACTCTTCTGACACTCCAGAAGGTATCTCTGTGGTGGCATGCAGGGCACAGGCTCTTGGTGGTTTGCTTACTTATGTGTGACTCTTGGAAGGGTCCCTGTGGTACCAAGCTGATAATAGAACTGGGATTCCGCCTTGAGTGGAGATGCTTATTTTCCAACTCTCCTAACTGGGATAGATGTTTGATTAAAAGATTACGGGTCCCCATGGGAGCACGGATTCTGGTTTATTTGATGTGGGCTCAGGTAATAATCAAGCTATGAAATTTCCAGAAAATTATATGCCCACCCTCTGGGCTGCGCAGACAAAAGCTCTGCTTCTGCACACAAGAATGATAATACTAGAAGCAATTTTCCATTATCAAGAAGTTTTCAGACTTGAGTGTGTGTTAGAATAATCCAGAATGTATCTGGAATAGAAGAAAGACAGACAAAAGAAAGTCACTGGGCCCACCTTTGATTCCCTAGGACTGGGGGAGAACCTAAGGAACCCCATGTTCAACATGCACTCTGTCCACCCTCTCACCCACCTAGGTCATCCTAATGTGGTGAGTTAGGAACCACAGCTAGAGACGTGCTTGCTTTACCTGAGGATAGGGAAAATGATGGGCTAACTCTGAGACCTGATTCTTCAGACCTCAAGTGGATATTAATGACCTGTGTTGTAAGGATGGTTCTTGCCGAAACCTAACAACTCCCAAAAATTTCTCAAGGAAACTGACATAGGAGGAATCTAAAGATACAAAGAAACTTGAACCAGATGGCTTATTTGAGAATCTTTCTCTATCTTTCAAATTCATCAAACCACAGAGTTTACAAAGCATTTTCACATACATTATCTCATTTTTATTAGAGTTTCTTGATTCCTGGAGTCTGTGGACCCACAGGAATATGTGAATCAATTTTAGGGAGACTAAACTTGGATGATAAATTTTTTTTCCACTAAACTCTAACTAAAACTTAGCATTTTTTAAAATTATGAATGTAAGTAACAAGTCACAGTCCCGGCAGTACCTGTGACTTTGTCACCAAATGAAATCAGATACTTTCATATTACATCACTACTATTGTAGATATCTCAAAGTATCATTTAGGCTCATCACTAGCTTGAAAACACTGTGGTTTTTAGACCCACTGCTAAATCTTGTTATTTAATGCACTAACATAAATTTATTTTTATATTAATTGATTTAATACTTTGAAAATTGTATTTTAATACAATTGGTTTTGTTGGCAGTCCCATATATTTTATTTTTTTAAAAACACAATTCCAAGAAGGGATTTTTAAAAAATGATTTAAAATCCCTCATCAGATTATTACAATTACTTCTCGAAGATGGCCAAGTAGTTACTATTATCCTCTCTCCAAAGATGAGGAAGCTTAGGGAAATCTCAATTGACATGTCCAAGATGGCAAAACTAGTGGGTGACAGGGCCTGAACTCAAATTAGGTCCTCGGGGTTCCTTACTGACCAGTCAGCAATGTGGGGGAGAACCACAGCCCCTTTCGGTGCAGTAGCCAGCACATGGAGCAATAGTGAAGAAAAAAACATTGAGAAATTCTTGCATCTGGGGAAGGCTTTAGAGTAATCACTGGAACAGCCGGAGGATGAGCTGCCGCAAAGAGCTGGGCCTGTCACATTGGGGTATGGTGATTAATTGGTGCGGGGGAACACAGCCAAGAGCAGAGAAGCCACACCAGGCCACCATCCATTTGTCCATGCCCTGGGGTCAGAAATGGAGCAAATGGAATCTTTTATAAGAGAGGAAAGGGTGGATTGTAGCCATGGGGGAGTTCTGCAAGGAAATCACAGGTGTTTTCTTATTGCATTTCCCCCTCCCTAAGGACCTCTGTGTGTGCAGTTAGCAACAGAGAGGAGAGGTGGGGGTGTGGCTGGGCTGGGCTCTGCAATCTGTCATGCAACCCTCCTCCAGCTCTGTGAGCTATGGTAGTTTCAAATGAAATAGCAGAAACCATGTTCAACTCACAGGGAGCTGGGTCACTGGGAAACTCATTGAATTCTTTAGTTAATTTCAATAGGTGGACATGGTGGGCCTTGGGTTTTTGAGGCAGCCATTTCAGTAGGGTCACTCTAATCTGGGCCATGAGCAGACCTCTTCCCCACTCTGTAAGTCACCCCATCGCGGTGGTTCTGCAGATTCCAGTTCATGAGCAATTCTGCAAACTTTCCTTTCTCTTGAAGAAAGCAAGCAACCTACAGGGTTGGTTCAGTTCATTTCTTCCCATTGAAATGCTGGCGAGAGCATGTTGGTAATTGATATTCAGAAGCGTTATTGATGTGGAGGCACAGCTGCTGTGGATCAGGAGGTCATTGTTTTCCCTAACATTTTTTTGAATTATGAAATGATAGAAGATTTGGGAAAGTTTAAAAAAAAAAAACAAAGACAAAAATCACTTTTAATCTTACCCAGAAAAGCCAGTATTACTATTTTGGTGCATTTTTTTCTGGACAGGTAAGAAGAGAGGCAACTTCCCTATGCCCATTATGTTTAGAAAGCAGGCAAGTACAACCATTAGGTCTATTTAAAAAAAAAATCTCATTAGTAGGCTATAATGAACACAGAGTCCTACTATGTTGCCTTTTATGCCAGACAAAATCAGGTGACAGATTTTTATTTTATTTTATTTTATTTTATTTTATTTTATTTTATTTTATTTTATTTTGAGACGGCGTCTCACTCTGTCGCCTAGGCTGGAGTGCAGTGGTGCAGTCTCAGCTCACTGAAACCTCCACCTCCTGGGTTCAAGCTGATTCTCCTGCCTCAGCCTCCCAAGTAGCTGGCATTACAGGCGCATGCCACACACCCGGCTGATTTTTGTATTTTTAGTAGAGATGGGGTTTCACCATGTTGGCCAGGCTGGTCTCGAACTCCTGACCTCAGGTGATCCACCCACCTCGGCCCCCCAAAGTGTTAGATTACAGGCATGAGCAACCGCTCCCGGCCAGGTTCACAGATGTATTGAGAGGTCTTCCTTCTTTCTGTTACCCTTCTCTTCCTCTGTTCACCTCTCCATAGCTTCTCAGCTTCATCTTCTATCCTTCAAACTGCTACTACCAGAGACTTAGAACATAAATTCTAATCTAGATCCTCTAATTTGGGAGCCCTTATCTGCAGCAGACCATATTTTCCCTGTAGTCAGCAGTTGCCTCCAAGGGACCAGGACCAGGCTAAGGGTTTCAGATTCTTTGGATGAGAAAAGGTATGAGACTAATAAACCCCTGCCTCTTATTGCAGTATCAGTCATCTCTCACTAACCTAACTTGTTATGCTAAAAGACCCTTCCTTCCTGCTAGAGAAAGGAAAAGATGGAAGTGGGTGGTGAGGACAGAGCATCCCCCAGCTACATTATGTAATAAAACCTGACTTTTTAGGCAGTTAACATGTGCTAAGTACTATTCTAATTGCTTGATATGTAACTCACTGAATCTTCACATCAATACTATGAGGAAATTGAGGTCCAGGGAGTTCAAGTCATTTACTAGCCCAAGGTCATACTCGCCCAAGGTTAGCAAGTAGCACAGCAAGAGTTCCAACCCAAGCCATCTCACCCTGGGAGGCCCTATCTTGTCATGTTGTCTTTTCCAAAGATGGCAGCATCAAAATAGATATCTCATCCCACATGACATTTTACAATGTATTGTGATACCCCTTCATCCGGCAGGGGGGTCTATGTTTCCTCTCTTTGAACCTGGGTAGACTCTGCTAAGTGTCTTGACCAAGAGAAACTGAAGGAAGTGATGCTGTGTGACTTCCAAGGACAGATTATAAAAGGCAATATAATTTCGGCCCAGCTCTCCTTCTTTCTTGAAACACTTCCCCTTAGAATCCAGCCACCATGTTGTAAGGAAGCTCATGCCACATGGAAAGGCCCTACATGGTTTGTTCTGGCTGACAGCCCCAATAAGGCTTCCAATCAAGAGCCAGCATCAACCACCAGAAACGTGAGTAAATGGGCTTTTAGATTATTCCAGGCTCTAGGTTTTGAGTCTTTCCCCTGAGGCTGTAGACACCAGTGAGCAGACACAAGCTGAACTTACTGTGCCCTGTTCGAATTCCTGATCCACAAAAATTTTGAGAGATAATAAATGATTACCATTGCTCGAAACCACTAGGTTTTGGGCTAATTTGTTACATAGCCAGAGCATGGGAATGGTGCTCCTAACTATTACAGTAAGACTAGCATATGCTTTCAGCAGCTCTCCATCCCCATCTTTATCCTGACTGACTCAGGCAGCACCAAGCTTAAGGTTGCCATGGGAGAAATTTTGCATAGATTTTTCTTGGTCCAACTCCTTCCAGGGAATTAGTCCCATTAGACTTTCTATTGTTTAAGTCTTTACATTTTCCTCAGTCTTCACAGGTCTTTTCTTGGGGAATGAGAAGAGGTTGCCTCAGAGCCTGTAAGCCAAATGCCATTTTAAGCCAGATGTTAAATTGGCCTCTAATAGGAAAGTGTAGCCCTTCCTTCAATAATTGTTGAGTAAGGACTTGCTGAGACCAGTGCTGGGCTTTGTCCAAGTGCGTTTTTCAGGCAAGAGAAACTGTACAATAATATTCTTTTTATAAAAAGTAGAAATGTGCCATGTGCTTAAAAACTTGACCATTAGATCTTCTCTATACTGCTCTGTTCTGAAAAAAGAAAAAGAAAGATGGAGGTGGTAGGTGGGGAATTAGCTAACCAAAAGAAAAATATAAAGGCCCAAGAACCAAGTGAGAGCAATCTGCTGATGTTAAACTGGATTGCAGGAGATTCAGAATGTTTATTTGCAAGGCTTTGGACTCTAAGCTTGTTCCCCAACCCCCACCCCACTTCCAGAGCTTTTGTACATCTTTAGAGTTTCGTCATCAGATATAAGTAAGGTTCGCTTCTTTTAGCCCTCTGCTCAGATTTCTTTATAAAATGTTGATAGGTGATGATACACTTTCAATGGTTTTGTGGGGAAATAGGGAGTAAAGATGTTAGCAGATAATCTTCTCCCACTAATATAAGGCAAATCTGTGTGCCAGTTTCACATGGATTTTAATGCCCAAATAGGCACCTCTAGGTTTACTCTATTCGTTTATTTTATATCCCAGGTTGGAGAGTTGTACTCCTGGATAAATTACCTCCTGAAATCCTGTGTATGTCTCTTTATACATATTCTTACACCCTCACAGGTCATAAGACTGGAGGGGAAGGGAAGAGGACAACTAGAAAAGGCAAGTAGACCAAAATTAAATGCGTGAATACCCTGGTTTAAGTTTTTAAAGATTCAGTATCACTGTACTGGCTCAGGGTCCCAACAGGGGCAGATGGCACATGCAAAATGAGATTGAGGAGGAGGTTTTATTTGCAAAGAGTCTGTTTACAGTGGTATGAGTGTAGGGAACCACAGGGGATAGTGCATAAATTGGGGACTCGCACTAGTGAAGTTGTCATCACCCATAGGCCTAATGGGGACACAGAGGCTACTGGAACTTAGAGTCATGTAGAACAGGCTGCTTTGACCTTCTGTCATGAGATAGTTGTGAAAAGAGGGGACCAGGGGAATGAGTACCCTGATCTTACTCTCCTCCCTCTGTTTTATCTGCTGGAACTTTCCATTGGCCACCTACCTGAAAGCCAGAGGTCCAGGAGGTTATGGAACTAGCATATAGAAATAGTTCCTGGGGCACATAGCAGGATATGGAAGGAGAGTAGAGCCTGGGGGTTAAAAGGGAACAATCCATCACAATTGCCATCCCACACATAGAAAAGTTTTTTCAAAAGCAGAGAATGCTTGCTTGGAGACAGTGCTAAACATTATTAAGAATGCCTAAAAAGTACAAATGCAACTTTAAACCAAATACAGATTCTAGAAAGACATTTACAAGAGCCCAAGGTTTATCACTCATCCCTTGGCTCAAATATAATTGAGTACTCTGGGTGTGTAGCAATAAACACCATTCCGATTTATCTCCATGTGGTTGATCTTCACAGTGATAGCAACTACACTATAAACTCCTGGGCATTGTGCCTCAGTAAGTGATCATTTTAAGATATAAGTCCAATAAAATTTCTTTTCTCTTAACCACCCTCCCTCATGGCTTGGAATAAAAACTATAGTCTTTACAATGGCTTACAAGACGCTCGATGATAAGCCCCTGGCTACTTCTCTGTACTTAACCACTACTGCTATTCTCTCTCTTGTCTTCTTGACTCCAGCCAAACGAGTTCAAACACATCCATTATAATCTGCCCCAGGGCCTTTGCACTTGTTTTCACCACTCTTTCCCGAATACAATGTGACTCACTCCCTCACTTTTATGGGTATTCAGATGCCACCTTTGGAGAAGCCTGTCTGACAACACTGTGTAAAATAGTAACTATAACAAACGTCTTTCCAAAAATGGCCATACCAATATTTCCAGTCCCACATGATCTTCTGGAAATTGCCACTTGCCATTAACAGGTGGAGTCTGTTTTCCCTCCCCTTGGGAAAGACTTGCAACTATCTCAGCAAATAGAATGTAGTATAAATAATGCTGTGGACTTACAAAACTAGGTCATAAAAGGTGATATGGCTTCCTTCTGATGCTCTCTTTTTTTGGGAAATTGGCTCTTGGAACTCACCCACCATTTTGTAAAGACGCCAAGGCCACATGAATAGACCACATATAGATGTTTCATTCAGCAACCCTAGCTGAGGTCTCAGGAATAGCCATCATCAACCAGCAGACATGGAAGTGAGTGAGACATCAAGTGGTTCCAGCCCACAGCCTTCAAGCTACCCCAGCCAAGGCCAATGGAGTAGACAGAAGCTATCTCTACCAAGACCTATCTATGTTATAGATTCATGAGTAAAATAAATGATTATTTATGCCACGTTTTCTGGAGTAATTGCTTTACAGCCATAGCTGTAACCATATTTTTTGTGTCGTATTTTTTGTGTCAAATAAGATGTGGTGGCAATAAAAAACCATGTGAGAGTGGCTTTGGGACCAAGTAGTGGGCAGAAAAGGACTCTAAGGAGAATGTTAGTGAAAGTCTAAAGGATCTTAAAGAGGCTATTAGAGGAAGCCTCATAACCCTTGATGAAGCTGTTAATTAGGGCTTAATTAAAAGTGAGGAAAATGTTATTGGAAACTGGGAGAAAGGAAATCCTTGTTAGTAGTGAGAGAAAGTTTAGCAACATTGTTCCCACAATAATTTAGAAAATCGAAGACATTCCTAATTAATCAGATGATCTAGCTAAAGAAGTTTCAGGCAGAATACTAAAAGTGCCTCTTGGCTTCTTCACATTGTCTGTAATAAATACAAGAGGAAAAAGATGACCTTTTTAAAAAGGAATTATTTACTCTTCAAGTAAAATTTAGAGAAAATTTAGGAGCCAGGACTTGCAGTGTTCAAAAATAAAACTCTTTTTTAATCCCATCCTCTCTAATATTCTGAAATTAAGAGAGGGCTTCAGAGCAAAGATTAAAGACTATGCCCATAATATTATTTGTTAAAACCTCAGAAATACCTAGGACACTGCCTCAAGAACTGTTTTGTTGAGACCAAGGGACCTCTAAAGATCTTCAAGAAGTGCTTCTAGATTCTCTCTGTTAACTACTAGAACTCTTAAGAATTTAAGGAGCACTGTCCTTCTGCAGCTTTATAGCAAGCCCAAGGTGGAAAATCTTGGCGAGATTTGTGGATGTAGCTTTTGTCTGATGGAGTGTATCAGAAATCAATTCATAAGAAACCCACAGGGTTTTTAAAAGAATTATATCAGCTTACATGGAAAGATGATTTAATCAACATTTTACATGCAGGAAGCTGACTGAGAAAACTATTCAACTGCAAAATGGGCCACTTTTTATTGAAAAGGAAAGAGGATATGGAGGGCATAACGCAGAGCCACAGTGAATTATATCCAGGCAGTAGGACTGCACCCTCACCAAGGAACTGGCAACGGGAACCCTGCTGGATTTCAAAATGGTTACAGATTCCTGAGTGCCTCCTGTTTTTGAAGAGGAGGCTGGGTGGTAGTTACCCTATGCCTGTTTCACCATTACATGTTGCATCTCTAGGGAGAAAGCAAATTGTTTCTTTTTTTGAGGTAGAGTTTCACTCTTGTCCCCCAGGCTGGAGTGCAGTGGCGAGATCTCGGCTCACTGCAACCTCCGCCTCCCAGGTGCAAGTGATTCTCCTGCCTCAGGCTCCCAAGTAGCTGGGATTACAGGTGCCCGCCATCACGCCCAGCTAATTTTTTTATTTTTTATTTTTAGTAGAGACAGGGTTTCACCACGTTGGCCAGACTCCTGACCAACTCCTGAGGTCGAACTCCTGACCTCAGGTGATCCACCCACCTCAGCCTCCCAAAATGCTGGGATCACAGGCATGAGCCACCACGCCTGGCTGCAAATTGTTTCTTGAGGTGACAAATCTTAAGATAAGCAGGAACTATCTCCAGACGCTCTCTTTGAGGAGCCAAGCTTAAGGAGCTTCAGTTGCACGTGAACGTGATCTTAATGGCAAGATCTTAGACTGTGAGCCTGAGCTTTGCAGATTCTAGGGAAGAAGGTGGGGGTTTTCTTTTGCATATGACAAGGACATAAATTATTGTGGCCAGAGGATAGACAATAGCAAAGTGTATTTTCCAAGAATAGCAACAAAAGTATTTCCGGAGCCACATAATTTTCCAGAAGCCTGCCACTTGCCATCAAGAGGTGGGGTCTATTTCTCCTCCCTTTGGACAGAACTTGAGAAACATGACACCCATATAAAAGCAATGATAAACTGTTGTTGAAATGCTTAAAAGAATACTGAAATAAATGAAGAAATATTTATGGATAGGATGCCTCAATGTCATCAAAATGTATATTATCCCCAAATTAATTTATAAATTCAAAAATTTTAAGTACCGTTTTAATAGGGACTTTTCATAGAACAAACCAAGCTTATCCTAAAGTTCATGTGGATGAGGAAACCGCTATGTAAAGTCAAGGCAGGGAAGGAGGTATTTGCACTGGCAAATAATAAGATTATAGAGCTAAAGTAATAAAAACATTGTGTAATTAAGACACAGATAGATAGACCAACAAAACAGACTTGAGAATCTGGAGATATCCCCTTGGACATATGCACACTTGATTTATGATAAATGTGGCCATACGGAGCAGTGGGGAATGACAATCTTTTCAATAAACAGTGTTGGGACATTTGGGTATCCGTAAGGAAAAAAATTAAATACAAGTTCTCCATTCTAATTCCAGGTGGATTTTAGACCTAACTGTAGGTAAAACTATAAAATTTTCAGGATATTATGTAGAAGGATGTATGAATGCCTTCGGGATATGGAAGGATTTCCTAAATAATACACAAAATGCACTAACTATAAATAGGTTGATTAAATTGACTACACTAAAATTCAGAACTTCCACTCCTCCAAGGACACCAAAAATAAGATGCAAAGAAGCTCACTGACTAGGAGGAAATATTTGCAATGTATATGAAACCCACAAATAATTATCATCCAAGATATATAAATAATCCCTTTTCATCACTAGGAATTAGGAAAATGCAAATTGAAACAAAGATAAAATACTATTCAGAGCCCTCAGGTTGGCAAAAAATTTTAGTCTGTCCACACCAAATGTAGGCAAGAATGTGGGAGAAAGAGAAATTTCAAATATGTTGATGGATTATAAATAGTTCTTTACAGAGCAACTGGGCAGTCTCTAATAAAGTTGAAGCAGCACACGGTATATACCTAGCATTTCTACTTCTAAGCATGTACCTTACAAGAAATTTCTGCATATATGCACAAAGCATCATGTTCAAGAATATTTTGTAGAGGCATTTTTTATTATAAGAAAACACTGGAAACAATCTAAATGTTCATCGGCTGGAGAATGGAAAAATAAATTTTGGTTTGTTCATACAATGGAATGTTTTATAGCAGTTAAAATAAGGGAGCTAAATTCTACATATAAACATGGGTAAGTCTCTATAATATCGAGTCAAAAATCAAGTTGCAGACTGATGTAAACAGAATAATCCACTTCTATAAAGTTTAAAGACATTCAAAGCAATACTATAGTCTGTGATACCATCTGTGTAGTAAAAGTATTAAAACATCCTTAAGAATGACAAAAATAAAATCCAGGAGAAAAACGAAGTCCATCTGGGAAAGAAAGGGAATAGGAATGAAGGAAGTAAAAGAGAGTTTCAAGCATATTTGTGATGTTTTGTTTCTTTAAAAGGAAAAGGGGTGCTATGTCAAAATGTTACGATTTCATCAAGTTTTGCTGTGGGTAAGTGAGCAGTCCATATATCATTATGCTTTTCTGCTGACATACTTTTTTAAAAAGCTTAATGGGAGTCATAAGCTTCCGTGAGCTCATATGGCTTGTGGTCTTATTTGTGGATCTAGTAATACACTTGTTATATAACTTCTGCAGACAATATTCTAAAGGTATGTATGAAATTCTGTTCATATTTTACTCTGAAGTCAAGTCTACACATTGTCACGAAAGCTCTCCCATTTTAGGTAAAATGAACAATCGGTTATTCTCCCTTTCCTGGCAGAGGAGTTTCTTTGAAATTTATCATCAGAAAATCCACTCAACAACCAGTTCAATCTACATAAGAAAGATAAGATGTAATCAAACTACCCCCCAAATTGTCTAAAGACCAGAATGAAAAGAAGATCTCAGCATATCCACTGTGGCTACTAGGCCATATTAAACATCAATTTTTGATTTTCCGGAATGAGAAGAAAGGTTGAATCATCAAAGATGACTATGGGGGCTTGCACTAAGAGTCTACAAAGTCTTCATTATTGGAAAGTTTCTAAGAGGTTAGTCCTTCTCCCTGGCTGCTTCTACATCTGGATTCACCTTACCATTTTAAGAATAAGAGTAGTACAGGATTGGATGTGATTATCTGGAAACAATAGCAAGTAGATAGCTTTGTTTTATGTTATTTCTTTCTTTGTTTTTTTCATTTTTAGATACAAAACCGGAAGATATGCTCTTTGGTTGTATTCTCTAAAAGCAAACCCTTAGGAAAGGGTTCAGGTGAAAGCAATTCATCTGGGGAGGAAATCCCAGGCAAGACAATGAAGAAGTCAGAGAATGAGACTAGGAAATGAGGAAAGGTAATATAGAAAATGTGAATGAGCAGGTTGCTGCTGTGGGCATCGGGGTCTCATTTTTGCAGAAGACTCTTTGAGAGACTACATAGAACAATCCTTACAATCGGCCCAACAAAGCATAAGGAAGCAGGGTATTTATCCACCAACTCATGATGTGATGGCTGTTCTTGGGGATTTAACTCTCCACTTCAGGCCTGGCCCTCCGTCATGTTAGCCACGCAGGCTCTTATGGGCCACAGAAAGACCTCAAGAGTTCAGAAGCCAGCTGCATGCAAGGGAATGGTACAAAAACTTCAGATGACATCCTGCATAGGCCAAAGGAATCTGCCAACAACATCTGTCAAAGCTATCTACAATACAGTACGTTGTATCATGTTTTCCCAAGCATGAGACAAGTACCACCAGTGGTTCAGGAGATGATTTTAGGTGGTTCTGGGTCATGGAATTAAATAACATTGAATTACATGGTTGGGGAGTTCTTTTCTTTTCACTTCTCTCTCAATCCTTCTGACTATCCAAAGACAACCTCTCTTTTTGGTACTAATTATGGCTTTATTATACCTCCAATCCTTGCAAGCTTCCAGTTTAAGCAGAGAGTCAGCCTTGGGCCCCAGATATTTACTGACAACCACATTTGGCCAAAATGTGCTGACATGTTCCTCTTTTCATTGTATTTACATTTCCAATTACCTTCAATCCATGGCAAGTGGTATTATTTCTTCATTACTAGCAACAATGCAAAGTTTGCTTTTTGAATAAATTTATTTCATCTTTTAAGTCAGCCAATTTAAAGAATAATATTGAGCAAATAATAGAATCATAAAGATGGTATGAAATGCTAAAATTGGGGAAATTCCATGAGCTCACGAGCTGCATATTATGATGGAAAGGATGTGACTTTGGGGAGATCACCTAACCCCTCTAAGCTTGACCCTCCCTAATATTGCAACCCTTCATTGGGTTGTTGGGAAAATTCAAATGGGATATTTGTCAGGCAACAAGCCCTCCACCTGGAAGTAATACAAAATCAGTAGATGTTAGTTCTCTTTTCTTGAAATGTTTATAAGAAAATATAGGTATTTTAAAAAATAGACCCTAGGGAATTTATTAATCAGATATCAGGACACTATTAATCAGATATTTATCAGGTTTAATGTGATTTTCTTTAGAAAAGCCCCTTTCCCATCATTTTTTCCCATCATAAGGAACTAGGTACTGCCAGCTGGGCATAGTGGCTCACGCCTGTAATCCCAGCACTTTGGGAGGCCGAGGCAGGCAGATCACTTGAAGTCAGGAGTTTGAGACCAGCCTGGCCAACATGGTAAAACCCTGTCTCTACTAAAAATACAAAAATTAGCCAGGCGTGGTGGCAAGCACCTGTAAGCTACTCAGGAGGCTGAGGCAGGAGAATCGCTTGAACCCGGGAGGCAGAGGTTGCAGCAGTGAGCCAAGATCATACCACTGCACTCCAGTCTGGACGATAGAGTGAAACTGTGACTCAAAAAGAAAGAAAAAGAGTACTGCCATTACTGGGTCCTTTTGGTCTGTTTGGAAGTGCTTATTGTGCCTTTTCTAGAGGTTGGGAAGATGACATGTACATTAGAAAGCCTACACATAGCTGGAGTAGTGGTGTGGTCACCACTTAAGACTTGCTGCAGCATGTTAATTCATTTATTTTGGTTGCAATTCTTGAAATGAACCACACTGTATAAAACTATGTTTTTTTCTATGACTTTTTCTCTCAATAGAGGAAGTAGTCACATTTTTTAAAATCCAACTAGTAGAGCAAGGGGCGCCCTAAGAGCCTTCCTCTGGTGCCAGAGGTTTTCCAGCCTTCCTCTGGTGCCAGAAGGGTGGACTTTTCAGTAGAGAAAAATTCGTCATTTTGGAAGTCTTGAGATCTGTTCTGAGAAGGTAGTTTGTCTCAGTGTTCTTTAAACGGCGAAAATGTCAATTCAGAATGCAATGTGATGTTTCTTTCATTGGGGGAGGGGGGGTATAAAAACAACATGGAAGTCTCCAAAGCATGAGTTGTTATTGTCAGGTTTGTTTCTTGTTAGAATGTTTCAGTTTGGGGTTTTTGCTTTTTAATGCTGTTTCCTCCTAACAGGGACGTATTGAAGGTTTGGCATTGTGTCTAGAAAAGCCCTTACCTGTTGGCAGGATTTTCCGGAATGTTATCTTCAGTCATTCGAAGGGATGCAATTCCTTTAATGAATATGCCACCTATGGTGAATAAAGGAAAGGTGGCCCTCAGGGAAAGTGAGGAGCTGAATGCCAGGGTGAGGAGAGGATGTAAATAACCAAGTCCTATCTGGCCTTAGGTTATTCTTGAAATTAATCAAATCCCACCACGTGGTAGACTCTTGAGCAGAAGAGATGAGCAATTGCAAAGAACATAAGAGAAAAAGTCTTGGAGCTTGCGTTTTAGTACGGGATTTTAACCTCTTCTTGCGCCATGGACTCCCATGGCAGTTTCATAAAGTCTATAGATCCTTTCTTAAAACAATATTTTCACATGTGTAAAATAAAATATGTAGAATTCACAGAAAACAAATTATATTCAAATTCAGTAACTTGCCACACTGTGCTTGACCGGTGTTACTGTGCAGTGTGTTAGCAATGTTATTTTAAAGAGCATACTTCAGTAATTATTTCAACCATCAAATGTATTTGAATGTGTCTGGTTTTTATTCTTAGCCTGCACACCTATCCTTGTTGTAAAATGCCATGTGCCCTTATAGAGAATTAAGAATTCTCATTTGAATGCCCAGTCTTACTTCAGTTTAAACAAACAATAGAAACAACTCATTCCTTCAATGTATTGATAAACATTGTAAGTAGGAAATATTAAAAAGCAATGAGGTGTCTGGGTCACCAACACGATTTGGTGACTGAATGACAACCAGGCATAGAGCCGCTCTCTAATCTGCCAGCTGCACCTCGTGAGGATCTCTAAAAAGGAAAGCTGCAGTCACACGCCATCTACCTGCATGTGCCTAATGACTACCACAATTTCAAAGCAATCAGCACAAATTATATTTCAAGGTATTGTCAACAACTGTAATGTGACAATTCCTATCAGGAAACACATCTGTAACTTCTTGTTGATAACAAGTCACAGACACTGCTAAGTCATGGGGTTTTCCATCTCTTCTCATAATTAAAGGAAATGCTCAATTTCAGTTAGAAGATAGTCAAAATAATGATACGATTATTTTCCTAGCCAAAGACCTCCTGAAATCCCAGGTTAACTCCAGGTAAATGCCCCTTGTGGAAAAGCTGGTAGTAAATAAATAATGTACAAGGCGTTGGTAAATGTAATATAGGAAAATAACACAAAGGGGGATAGAGAGAGCCAAGTGTGGGGAGGGGGAGCAATAGACAGGGAGCAATTTCTTGAGCAATGTTTGTGAATGATGAGAGTACGTGGGATTCAGTACAAAGTGGAAAAATCCATCCTAGAAAAGAACGGGAATGGTTTATCCATAGTAACAGCACAAAAGTAATAGCACAGAGCAAAAAGATAGGTGAGTAGATATTTTCTCAGTCAAACTGGACTCACAGTCTTCAGCCAACAGTGACAAGCATGGGATGCATGTTAGCAAGAGAGGAAGGTATTAACTAGTTATCTAGGCTACTCCTCTTGGGGGAAAATGGTCTGGTGTGATGGCATGAGCTGCAAAGCTTGGGGAGAGAAGAATGACCAGGAAGAGGCAACAAGCAAGGAGGATATCTGTGCCCTCCAGGTCCAGCAGCTGTGAAAAAACAAGCCACATTCGAGAGGGTTGCCCAGGAAGTGGCATCCTTAAGGGAGAGTCAGTTTTCAGTTGGAGCAAGAAGGTGAAAGGACATTCAGGGAAGAGGTGGAAGATGCGGGGGCTTTGCTGAGAATGCAGCATGAGTTCCAGGGGCGCAGAAGAGTTTACGTGTAGGGGAGGGGTGGGCAGGACCCGCATGGTGAGAGCTTTTCTGCAGTTAGTCAGCTTCATATGGTGTGTCTGACAGAAACTGAGATACGGGATAGGATGCAATTAGTCCTGATGGTTCTTCAGGCTGTCGCAGTGGTGAGCTTGTTAATATTGTTGGGAGAAATTGGGGCTTGCTGGGGGCACCTATAGCTCTGTGAAAAGGGTGTGGTTTTCATTCCTGCCAGCAGCCTGGTTATCCTCTCAGCTTCTTGGTTACAAGAGCAAGTAATTTTACTTTATCTTTTTTTCAGTATTATATTATGAATCGTTTCAACGTACAGCAGTCTAAAGACGTTTTCAGTGAATACTTAGAGGCTATCTTTTATATTTTGCCATACTTTCATGATCATATATCTGTCCACATGTCCATCCTTCTCTCAATCCATCAATCCAACTTATTTTTGATACATTTCAAAGTAAATTGCATACAGTTTACCATATATAAAATGGAACCCTTCTCAGCAATAAAAAGGAATGAGCTCCATGTAACAGCGTGGATGCATCTGAAAATTATTATGCTATATGCTATTGTGCTTCAGACGGTGTGTCTGACAGGAATACTACAGCATCCACATCACTAACTAAATACTTTAGCATCCATATGATTCAGTGGAGATCAATATTTATTTATAATTTTATCTTTTGAAGTAAAATTTATATGCCACGAAATGCACAAAACTTAGTTGCAATTTGCTAATGTTCTTGTTTTTGTTTTTGAGTCAGTGTCTCTGTTGCCCAGGCTGGAGTGCAGTGGCGTGATCACAGCTCACTGCATCATTAGCCTCCCAGGCTCAAGTGATCCTCCTGCCTCAGCCTCCTGAGTAGCTGAGATTACAGGTGTGCACCATCATGGTTGGCTAATTTTTTTTTTCTTTTTTTTTTGAGACGGAGTCTTGCTCTGTCGCCCAGGCTGGAATGCAGTGGCGCAATCTCGGCTCACTGCCAGTTCTGCCTCCCAGGTTCACGCCATTCTCCTACCTCAGCCTCCCGAGTAGCTGGGACTACAGGTGCCCACCACCACGCCTGGCTAATTTTTTGTATTTTTAGTAGAGACGGGGTTTCACTGTGTTAGCCAAGATGGTCTCGATCTCCTGACCTCGTGCTCTGCCTGCCTCGGGCTCCCAAAGTGCTGGGATTAAAGGTGTGAGCCACCATGCCCGGCCCATGCTTGGCTAATTTTTTAAACTTTTTTTTGTAGAGACAGGGTCTAGTGCCCAAACTGGTCTTGAACTCCTGGGCTCAAGCAGTCCTCCCACCGTGGCTTCCCAAAGTGCTTAGATTACAGGCATGAGCCACTACACCTGGCCTACAAGTTGCTACGTTTTGACAAATGTGTACATCTATGTAACCCAAACCCCTACAAAGATACAGAACATTACCATCACCTTGGAACGTTTCCTCTTGATCATCCCCCATCCCAAACCTCCAGAGGCAACTACTTTTCTGATATTTTTCCATAGTTTTGTCTGTTCTAAAATTTCATATGTGTGGAATCACATAGTATGTATTTTTTGTGTAAGGTTTCTCTTAGCATAGTAGTTTTTAGATACATTCATTCTGTTACATGTAACTTATTCCTCTTTGTTGCTGAGAAGTATTCCATTTATGAGGAGACTACAGTTCAGCTGTTCTTCTACTGATAGATACCTGGGATGTTTCCAGTTTTTGCCTTTTATGAAGAAAACTGCTATGAAGATTCTTGTACAAGTCTTTTGTGGACATGTGTTTTTATTGCTCTTGGGTAAATACCTACAGATTAAATGGGCCAGTGGTTAAATCTTTTTATTTCTAAAGACTAGTGTGAGTTGAGTTTTCTGTTGCTTATATCCCAATACACGCTCCCAAGATGAACTACCATAATCCACACTATCCCTAAAATGGACTGGGTCTTCAGTGGGTGCCCCTAATGCCAATTCCATTATTAAGAACAGTATTTACTATGTGTTCTTGACACATTATCCTCTTAACAAATGCAGAAGGCTTTTCTTTTTCTTTCTCTTTTTTAGCCAGGCTAGCCCCAATCTGAACCACACAACTCTGCCCTTAAAATCTCCAGGGTTCTGAATTTTCCTACCACTGAAGAGGTTTCTTTAAGGTAAAAGACCTAGCTTGAAGAAACTGAATTATTTTAAATATATTTATATTTATACACATAAATCTATATGCACATATATATATACATAGTCACATATATTTATGTGAATATTTATGTGAATATATTCACATATATTTGTACATATGTAAATATACACTTACATGTATGTAAATATACACACATATCTGTGTATTTACATACACATACATATATGCACACACCAAATCCTCGAATGTCATTCCGTTCAATGTCATTTAGCTAGGATGTCAATGAGAAAATATCACATCCCAGCCAGGGCCACTGTGTGGGGTCTGTGTGGGTTTTATCCGAGCCCTCCAGTTTCCTCCCAAACCTGTGCATGTTAGCTTAAGTGGTATATCTACATAGTCCCAGTGTGAGTGAATGTGGGTGTGTGACTATGGGTGTGTGAGTGTGCCCCATGATGGGAAGGCAGCCTGTCCAGAGTGGGTTCCTGTCATTTGCTCTGAGCTGTCAGGATGGGCTCTGGCCACCCAAGACCCTCAATTGGAATAAGTGGGTAAATCATTATCTTACTTGTTTTTATGAATCTTTCCTAAATGTATGTATAACTCACATTTATTTCAATGTTTAATATCAGAGGTGTCTTGGTCTTTATTTATAAATCTGGTGATGTTTTTGCGACCAGAAATAAGCTGTAGAAACTTAATTCTTGTTTATCAATTGGCCTATGATAAAATTATATCAAGTCATTTCCTAAGAACCTATTATCAGTGATGTTAAGGGAAGACCTACCATATATTTGTTGAGACCCTTCTGTGTACCCTGCACAATGACACTGTTCTAGGCATGTGGGATTTATCAGTGAACACAGCAGACAAAAATTGCTTCTTCTATGGAGTTTACATTCTGGCATAATGGAGAAAAACAACAACATAAAAATAATTAAGTTACATTATATTTCTAAGTGCTTTGGAAAAAAGTAAGCACACCACAGTAGGGCAGTCAGGAGTGCTGGGAGGACTGGAAAGGCAGGTGGCAGTGTTAAACAGAGTCAGGGAAGGCCTCATTGAAAAGTGAGCTGTTAGAGATGAAGGAGTGGGCCATGTGGATATCTGGGGGCAGAGGGAACTGCTAAAGCAAAGGCTCTGAGGCAAGCACATCCCTGGTATGGTCAAGAAACAGCAAGGATAAGCGGGGGTACAGGGGCGGGAATCCATCGATGAGGTCAGAATGCACAAGGTCAGGAGTATTGAGCTTGAACTCCCTGTAAGGACTTTAGCTTTTACCCTGAGTGGAGTAGGAAACCATCACAGAGTCACAGAATTTAGAACCGAGAAATAACAGTGCATCTCCCCTTTGTTGACACATGCTAGGAATTTTTACCCTGTAAATTCATTCTCAGATACTGTATTTTTAAACTAAAATGCAGAGATAGCCTGAACTCATCATTGTTTCCAAAACCAGAAAAGAGAACTTGAATCTCTCCTAGAAGAATAATAACAGCAGAAAAGAAAAATGGGAGCATGAGCCAAGTCCAAGATATCAATCTTCACAACTGCAGCTCAAGAAAGGGGGACTAGACTCACCTGAAGACGTTCTTCATGTTCTTGGAAAATATTTCAAATGGACTGAAGCAACCTTGCTCCAAGATCCCTTGGGGTTTGGAATTAGCCCAGAACTGGGATTTGTAGGCCCCGAAACACTAACTGGGACTTCCCAGAATACACTTGATGTTGATTAATGGTAAGAGGCCTCCCTGTTCTCTTCCTTTGAGTATAGGAAAACCCCTGTCTCTGGAGATCTGATCTGCTGGCTGGAAGAGTTATTCTTTATTATACTGGAGACCCTCAAGTGGTAAAAGATTCCAGCTCTCATGGAGACCTAGATTGGAGAATCTAACCCAAGGGCTAGCCAATGGCACTCACGTCACCACATCCGTACTGTTTGAGTCCAGCTGTTAAATTGGAATGGTTCCTTCTCATATTGGTCACAAGACTACCGTCTTCATGATGGAATCAACTCACCCAAAGGATGGGAAACAAACTTCCCAAGAAAGGCACTCTCTACCCCTCCAACCACGTCACTCTTAATTCAGGGCCAGAAAATCCAGCACAAACTTCTTTTATATGCAGGGGAGGCAAAACCTGACATCGAAAGCAGGTTAAAAAAAAAAAAAGAGAGAGAATGTAAGTACTATTTTGGATTACTGGACTGGCAAGATGGCTGAATAGGAACAGCTCTGGTCTGTAGCTCCCAGGGAGATCAACACAGAAGGCAGGTGATTTCTGCATTTCCAACTGAGGTGCCCAGCTCATCTCACTGGGACTGGTTAGACAGTCGGTGCAGCCCACGGAGGGCGAGCTGAAGCAGGGTGGGGCATCGCCTCAGCTGGAAAGTGCAAGGGGTCGGGGAACTCCCTCTCCTAGCCAAGGGAAGCCGTGAGGGACTGCGTTGTAAGGAATGGTGCATTCCAGCCCAGATACTATGCTTTCCTCACAATCTTCGCAACCCACAGACCAGGAGATTCCCTCAGTGCCTACACCACCAGTGCCCTGGATTTCAAGCACAAAACTGGGTGGCCATTTGGGTAGACACCAAGCTAGCTGCAGGAGTTTGTTTTCATACCCCAGTGGCGCCTGGAATGCCAGCAAAACAAAACTGTTCACTCCCTTGGAAAGGAGTCGGAAGCCAGGGAGCCAAGTGGTCTAGCTCAGCGGAACCCACCCCCACGGAGCCCAGCAAGCTAAGATCCACTGGCTTGAAATTCTCGCTGCCAGCATAGCAGTTTGAAGTCAACCTGGGATGCTCGACCTTGGTGGGGGCAGGGGCGTCTGCCATTACTGAGGCTTGAGTAGGTGGTTTTCCCCTCACAGTGTAAACAAAGCCATTGGGAAGTTCGAACTGGGCAGAGCCCACCGCAGCTTGGCAAAGCTGCTGTAGCCAGACTGCCTCTCTAGATTTCTCCTCTCTGGGCAGGGCATCCCTGAGAGAAAGGCAGCAGCTCCAGTCAGGGGCTTACAGATAAAATTCCCATCTCCCTGGCACAGAGCACCTACAGGAAGAGGCAGCTCTGGGCACAGCTTCAGCAGACTTAAATGTTCCTGCCTGCCAGCTCTGAAGAAAGCAACAGATCTCCCAGCATAGCACTCAAGCTCTGCTGGGGACAGACTGCCCCCTGAAGTGGGTCCCTGACCCCCATGCTTCCTAACTTGGAGACACCGCCCAGCAGGGGTCAACGGACACCTCACACAGAAGAGCTCTGACTGGCATCTGGCAGGTGCCACTCTGGGACAAAGCTAAGCTTCCCGAGGAAGGAACAGGCAGCAATCTTTGCTGTTCTTTTTTTTTTTTTTTTTTTGAGACAGAGTCTTACTCAGTCGCCCAGGCTGGAGTGCAGTGACGCGATCTCAGCTCACTGCAAGCTCCACCTCCTGGGTTCACGCCATTCTCCTGCCTCAGCCTCCCGAGTAGCTGGGACTACAGGCACCCACCACCATACCTGGCTAATTTTTTTTTTTTTTTGTATTTTTAGTAGAGATGGGGTTTCACTGTGTTAGCCAGGATGGTCTTCATCTCCTGACCTGGTGATCCTCCTACCTTGGCCTCCCAAAGTGCTTGGATTACAGACGTGAGCCACTGCGCCTGGCCAATCTTTGCTGTTCTGCAGCTTCTGCTGGTGATACCCAGGCAAACAGGGTCTGGAGTGGACCTCCAGCAAACTCCAGCAGACCTTCAGCAGAGGGGCCTGAATGTTAGAAGGAAAATTAACAAATGGAAAGGAATAGCATCAACATCAACAAAAAGGACATCCACACAAAAACCCCATCCGAAGGTTACCAACATCAAAGACCAAAGGCAGATAAATCCATGAACATAAGGAAAAACCAGTGCAAAAAGGCTGAAAATTCCAAAAACTGGAATGGCTTTTCTCCTCCAAAGGATCACAACTCCTCGCCAGGAAGGGAACAAAACTGAGAAGAAGTTTGACAAACGGACCAAAGTAGCCTTCAGAAAGTGGTTAATAACAAACTCCTCTGAGCTAAAGGAGCATGTTCTAACCCAATGCAAGGAAGATAAAAACCTTGAAGAAAGTTTAGAGGAATTGCCAGTTTAGAGAAGAACATAAATGACCTGATAGAGCTGAAAAACACAGCGTGAGAACTCCATGAAGCATACACAAGTACCAATAGCAGAACTGATCAAGTGGAAGAAAGGGTATCAGAGATTGAAGATCAACTTAATGAAATAAAGCATGAATACATGATTAGAGAAAAAAGTATGAAAAGGAACAAACAAAGCCTCCAAGAAATATGGGACTATGTGAAAAGACCAAACCTACATTTGATTTGTGTACCTGAAAGTGACAGGGAGAATAGAACCAAGTGGGAAAACATTCTTCAGGATATTATTCAGGAGAATTTCCCCAACCTAGCAAGACAGGACAATATTCAAATTCAGGAAATACAGAGAACACCACAAAGATACTCCTCGATAAAAGCAACCCCAAAACACATAATCCTCAGATTCACCAAGGTTGAAATGACAAAAAACATGTTAAGGGCAGCCAGAAAGGTTGGGTTACCCACAAAGGGAAGCCCATCAGACTAACAGCGGATCTCTCTGCAGAAACCCTACAAGCAAGAAGAGGTGGGGACCAATATTCAACATTCATAAAAGAATTTTCGGGGGGGCGGTTCCAAGATGGCCAAATAGGAACGGCTCCAGTCTACAGCTCCCAGCATGAGCAACGCAGAAGACTGGTGATTTCTGCATTTCCAACTGAGGTACCGGGTTCATCTCGCTGGGGCTTGTTGGACAGTGGGTGCAGGACAGTGGGAGCAGCGCACCAAGCATGAGCTGAAGCAGGGTGAGGCATTGCCTCACCTGGGAAGTACAAGGGGTCAGGGAATTCCCTTTCCTAGCCAAGCAAAGCTGTGACAGAAGGCACCTGGAAAATCGGGTCCCTCCCACCCCAATACTGCACTTTTCCAATGGTCTTAGCAAACGGCACACCAGGAGATTATATCCCGTGCATGGCTTAGAGGGTCCCACACCCACAGAGCCTCGCTCATTGCTAGCACAGCAGTCTGAGATCAAACTGCAAGGTGGCAGCGAGGCTGGGGGACAGGCACCCGCCATTGCCGAGGCTTGAGTAGGTAAACAAAGTGGCCTGGAAGCTCAATCTGGGTGGAGCCCACCACAGCTCAAGGAGGCCAGCCTGCCTCTGTAGACTCCACCTCTGGGGGCAGGGCATAGCTGAGCAAAAGGCAGCAGAAACCTCTGCAGACAAATGTCCCCATCTGACAGCTTTGAAGAGAGTAGTGGTTCTCCCAGCACGGAGTTTGAGATCTGAGAACGGACAGACTGCCTCCTCAAGTGGGTCCCTGACCCCCGAGTAGCCTAACTGGGAGGCACCCCCTCAGTAGGGGCAGACTGACACCTCACACAGCTGGGTACCCCTCTGAGACGAAACTTACAGAGGAACAATCAGGCAGCAACATTCACTGTTCAGCAATATTTGCTGTACTGCAGCCTCTGCTGCTGATACCCAGCCAAACAAGGTCTGGAGTGGACCTCCAGCAAACTCCAACAGACCTACAGCTGAGGATCCTGAGTCTTAGAAGGAAAACTAACAGAAAGGACATCCACACCAAAACCCCATCTGTACGTCACCATCATCAAAGACCAAAGGTAGATAAAACCACAAAGACGGGGAAAAAACAGAACAGAAAAACTGAAAATTCTAAAAATCAGAGTGCCTCTCCTCCTCCAAAGGAACACAGCTCCTCACCAGCAATGGAACAAAGCTGGATGGAGAATGACTTTGACGAGCTGAGAGAAGAAGGTTTCAGATGATCAAACTTCTCCCAGCTAAAGGAGGAAGTTCGAACCCATAGCAAAGAAGTTAAAAACCTTGAAAAAAGATTAGACGAATGGCTAGCTAGAATACCCAATGCAGAGAAGTCCTTAAAGGACTTGATGGAGCTGAAAACCAAGGCACAAGAACTACGTGACAAATGCACAAGCCTCAGTATCCAATTTGATCAACTGGAAGAAAGGATATCAGTGATTGAAGATCAAATGAATGAAATGAAGTGAGAAGAGAAGTTTAGAGAAAAAAGAATAAAAAGAAATGAACAAAGCCTCCAAGAAATATGGGACTATGTGAAAAGACCAAATCTATGTCTGATTGGTGTACCTGAAAGTGATGGGGAGAATGGAACCAAGTTGGAAAACACTCTGCAGGATATTATCCAGGAGAACTTCCCCAACCTAGCAAGGCAGGCCAACATTCAAATTCAGGAAATACAGAGAACTCCACAGAGATACTCCTCGAGAAGAGCAACTCCAAGACACATAATTGTCAGATTCACCAAAGTTGAAATGAAGGAAAAAATGTTAAGGGCAGCCAGAGAGAAAGGTCCGGTTACCCAAAAGGGAAGCCCATCAGACTAACAGCTGATCTCTTGGCAGAAAATCTACAAGCCAGAAGAGAGTGGGGGCCAATATTCAACATTCTTAAAGAAAAGAATTTTCAACCCAGAATTTCATATCCAGCCAAACTAAGCTTTATAAGTGAAGGAGAAATAAAATCCTTTACAAACAAGCAAACGCTGAGAAATTTTGTCACCACCAGGCCTGCCCTAAAAGAGCTCCTGAAAGAAGCACTAAACATGGAAAGGAGCAACTGGTACCAGCCACTGCAAAAACATGCCAAATTGTAAAGACTATCGATGCTAGGAAAAAACTGCATCAACTAACGAGCAAAATAACCAGCTAACATCATAATGACAGGATCAAATTCACACATAACAATATTAACCTTACATGTAAATGGGCTAAATGCTCCAATTAAAAGACACAGACTGGCAAACTGGATCAAGAGTCAAGACCCATCAGTGTGCTGTATTCAGGAAACCCATCTCATGTGCAGAAACACACATAGGCTCAAAATAAAGGGATGGAGGAAGATCTACCAAGCAAATGGAGAACAAAAAAAGGCAGGGGTTGCAATCCTAGTCTCTGATAAAACAGACTTTAAATCAACAGAGATCAAAAGAGACAAAGAAGGCCATTACATAATGGTAAAGGGATCAATTCAACAAGAAGAGCCAACTATCCTAAATATATATGCACCCAATACAGGAGCACCCAGATTCATAAAGCAAGTCCTTAGAGACCTACAAAGAGACTTAGACTCCCACACAATAATAATGGGAGACTTTAACACCCTGCTGTCAACATTAGACAGATCGAGACAGAAAATTAACAAGGATATCCAGGAATTGAATTCAGCTCTGCACCAAGCAGACCTAATAGACATCTACAGAACTCTCCACCCCAAATCAACAGAGTACATACTCTTTTCAGCACCACACCATGCCTATTCCAAAATTGACCATATAGTTGGAAGTAAAGCACTCCTAAGTAAATGTAAAAGGACAGAAATTATAACAAACTGTTATAATTGCACTCAGACCACAGTGCAATCAAACTAGAACTCAGGATTAAGAAACTCACTCAAAACTGCTCAACTACATGGAAACTGAACAACCTGCTCCTGAATGACTACTGGGTACATAACAAAATGAAGGCAGAAATAAAGATGTTCTTTGAAACCAATGAGAACAAAGACACAACATACCAGAATCTCTGGGACACATTTAAGGCAGTGTGTAAAGGAAAATATATAGCACTAAATGCCCACAAGAGAAAGCAGGAAAGATGTAAAATTGACACCCTAACATCACAATTAAAAGAACTAGAGAAGCAAGAGCAAACACGTTCAAAAGCTAGCAGAAGGCAAGAAATAACTAAGATCAGAGCAGAACTGAAGGAGATGGAGACACAAAAAACCCTTCAAAAAATGAATGAATCCAGGAGCTGGTTTTTTTAAAAGATCAACAAAATTGATAGACTGCTAGCAAGACTAATAAAGAAGAAAAGAGAGAAGAATCAAATAGACACAATAAAAAATGATAAAGGGGAGATCACCACCGATCCCACAGAAATACAAACTACCATCAGAGAATACTATAAACACCTCTACACAAATAAACTAGAAAATGTAGAAATGGATAAATTCCTCAACACATACACCCTCCCAAGACTAAACCAGGAAGAAGTTGAATCTCTGAATAGACCAATAACAGGCTCTGAAATTGAGGCAATAATTAATAGCTTACCAACCAAAAAAAGTCCAGGACCAGATGGATTCACAGCCAAATTCTACCAGAGGTACAAGGAGGAGCTGGTACCATTCCTTCTGAAACTATTCCAATCAATAGAAAAAGAGGGAATCCTCCCTAACTCATTTTGTGAGGCCAGCATCATCCTGACACCAAAGCCTGGCAGAGACACAACAAAAAAAGAGAATTTTAGACCAATATCCCCGATGAACATCAGTGCAGAAATCCTCAATAAAATACTAGCAAACCGAATCCAGCAGCACATCAAGACGTGTATCCACCATGATCAAGTCAGCTTCATCCCTGGGATGCAAGGCTGGTTCAACATACACAAATGAATGAACTTAATCCATCACATAAACAGAACCAGTGACAAAAACCACATGGTTATCTCAATAGATGCATAAAAGGCCTTTGATAAAATTCAGCACCGCTTCGTGCTAAAAACTCTGAATAAAACTAGATATTGATGGAACATATCTCAAAATAATAAGAGCTATTTATGACAAATCCACAGCCAATATCATACTGAATGGGCAAAAGCTGGAAGCATTCCCTTTCAAAACTGACACAACACAAGGATACCCTCTCTCACCACTCCTATTCAACGTAGTATTGGAAGTTCTGGCCAGGGCAATCAGGCGAAAGGAGTAAATAAACGGTATTCACATAGGAAGAGAGGAAGTCAGATTGTCTCTGTTTGCACATGACATGATTGTATATTTAGAAAACCCCATCATCTCAGCCCAAAAACTCCTTAAGCTGATAAGCAAATTCAGCCAAGTCTCAGGATACAAAATCAATGTGCAAAAATCACAAGAATTGCTATACATCAATAATAGACAAACAGAGAGCCAAATCATGAGTGAACTCCCATTCACAATTGCTGCAAAGAAAATAACATGCCTAGGAATACAGCTTACAAGGGATATGAAGGACCTCTTCAAGGAGAACTACAAACCACTGCTCAAGGAAATGAGAGGACACCAACAAATGGAAAAACATTCCATGCTCATGGATAGGTATCCATGTATCATGAAAATGGCCATACTGCCCAAAGTAATTTATAGATTCAACTCTATCCCCATCAAGCTACCTTTGACTTTCTTCACAGAATTAGAAAAAATTACTTTAAATCTCATATGGAACCAAAAAAGAGCCCATATAGCCAAAATAATCCTAAGCAAAAAGAACAAAGCTGGAGGCATCATGCTACCTGACTTCAAACTATACTACAAGGCTACAGTAACCAAAACAGCATGGTACTGGTACCAAAACAGATATGTAGACTATTGGAACAGAACAGAGGCCTCAGAAATAACGCCAGACATCTACAACCATCTAATCTTTGACAAACCTGACGAAAACAAGCAATAGAGAAAGGATTCCCTATTTAATAAATGGTGCTGGGAAAACTGGCTAGCCATATGCAGAAAACTGAAGCTGGATCCCTTCCTTACACCTTATACAAAAATTAACTCAAGATGGATTAAAGACTTAAATGTAAGACCTAAAACCATAAAAACCCTAGAAGAAAACATAGGCAGTATCATTCAGGACATAGGCATGGGCAAAGACTTCATGACTAAAACACCAAAAGCAATGGCAACAAAAGCCAAAATTGACAAATGGGATCTAATTAAACTAAAGAGCTTCTGCACAGCACAAGAAACTATCATCAGAGTGAACAGGCAACCTACCGAATGAGAGAAAAGTTTTGCAATTTATCCATCTGACAAAGGGCTAATATCCAGAATCGACAAGAAAATTAAACAAATTTACAAGAAAAAAAACAACCCCATCAAAAAATGGGCAAAGGATATGAACTGACACTTCTGAAAAGAATACCTTTATGCAGCCAACAAACATGAAAAAAAAAGCTAATCGTCACTGGTGATTAGAAAAATGCAAATCAAAACCACAATGAGATACCATCTCATGCCAGTTAGAATGATGATCATTAAAAAGTCAGGAAACAACAGATGCTGGAAAGGATGTAGAGAAATAGGAACGCTTTTACACTGTTGGTGGGAGTGTAAATTAGTTGAACCATTGTTGAAGACAGTGTGGCAATTTCTGAAGGATCTAGAACCAGAAATACCATTTGACCCAGCAATCCCATTACTGGGTTTATACCCAGAGGATTATAAATCATTCTACTATAAAGACACATGCACATGTATGTTTATTGCAGCACTATTCACAATAGCAAAGACTTGGAACCAACCCAAATGCCCATCAATGATAGACTGGATAAAGAAAATGTGGCACATACACACCATGGAATTCTATGCAGCCATAAAAAAGGATGAGTTCATATCCTTTGTAGGGACATAGATGAAGCTGGAAACCATGATTCTCAGCAAAGTAACACAGGAACAGAAAACCAAACACTGCATGTTCTCACTCATAAGTGGGAGTTGAACAATGAGAACACGTGGACACAGGGAGGGGAACATCACACAGTGGGGCCTGTCAGGGGGTGGGAGGCTAGGGGAGGGATAGCATTAGGAGAAATACCTAATCTAGATGACTGATTGAAGGGTGCAACAAACCACCATAGCACATGTATACCTATGTAACAAACCTGCACGTTCTGCCCATGTATCCCAGAACTTAAAGTATAATAATTTTTAAAAAGTACTATTTGGGAAGGAGGTTGAAAAGGGATTGCCCAATACTTGGAATACATTTTAAGATCGAGTCCCATCATCTATACAGAAAATTGTATGCAGTCCATTGCCGGAGGCACTGTGATGAAATCTCCTGTGGAGTAAACAAAGAGAGAATAAGCATCAAGACTCAACAAGACTGACTCAACCGGAATCAGAAGAGGACTGGCAAGCTCACAACAAAATCATAATACTGGTCACAAAATCCTCCCTAAGGCTGCCAGTTTCCAGAAGTGTAGCCAGAGCAAATCAGCATGCTGAAAGACAAGTATGAGAGGCTCAGACAATGAGACTTTTTTTTAAGGCACGACACATTCTATAGCTCACCTAGAGAGGTGCTGCAGATGATAAGAAAAATGGAGGTCTTCTTCTGCAGAGAGAGTAAGACATCAAAAAGATTGCAAACCTCAGGGTGATTTAAAAGTACACTCGTTGTCTTTTTGATTTTTTGAAGAAGTGTTGAATTAGGCCCCTGTTAGCTAAAGACTTACAGACCCAGGCCAAATTCCAACAGTCTCAACTCCTTCCAGCCAGCTCCAGGAAGCTGCTGTACAGATTTTTGGGAAGGGAGCCTAAAGAGCTAGAACCACCTGGTTTCAGGGTTACTTGGGAGCATCGAGTTTGCTTGACCTGGTTCATTAAGGGCCATAAAATAATAACCAATTTTTCTAATCTGAGCCTTATTACTGGATAATAAGTTGCATATTTTATTCCTGCCGTGGGTAAGGAACGCTCCATTTGTCTTGTTCATCCCTGAAATGAAAATTGCCTACTTTCTGATACGATCCACTGATAAAAACATTGTCTTAACAAATTTTTCTGAGGAATTTCCCAGACCACAGTGAGGTATGAAAACCAAGGCTCTGGAAGCCAGCTGGGGTGCAACAGACCCAGGGTCCAAGGATTTCCCGAAAGTTACCTCTTTCATTCAAGTTGGTGGGAGAGTTTCAGGGCCAAGGGAAGTCATCAGGTTGCCAGACAACCAAGGAGGGCCCTGTCATCGTCTTCACCGGAGAGAGTGACAGCATCGCTCTTGGATTTGCTAGTCATTTATTGGAATCCCCCTAGAACTTAGGATAAATTGGAAAGCTGAGTGTCTTCAGAAAAACTTTGCAGATTGAAAGTCTGTAAACCAAAGTTGCTGGTTTTGATTTGAGGCCTGTGCCAAACACACACACCCTCCTAAACTGACAGGATCAACCTAGCCACCAGCCCCCAAAACACAAACACCCAAAGAAAATAAAGATTCCAGATCCTGAGAATACCTGTACATTTAACTGCAACCTCTACCACCTTTGGTAAGATAAACAACTCAGACAGGGCTTCAAGTGACCTTTTAATCACAATAAGTGGGTTGCGCAGGGCCCTCCAGAGATTGTAATTGGGCTCACTTGTAACAAAAGGCAACCTTGACCACAAGCAGAGTAAAATCAGACAGGGGCACAACCTCTGCCCTTGCTCTGTAAACTCCCAGCTTTTTATTTATGTATTTTTATTGCTGATTTAGATTTTTAGCACTTGACTCCAAGATAAGAGCTCATGCAGCCTAGTGTTATCAGTTCACTTTTTTTCAGAAAAAAAATGGCATTCTGTTTATTTTATTTAAAACTTTATATTGGCCGGGCGCAGTGGCTCATGCTTGTAATCCCAGCACTTTGGGAGGCCGAGGTGGGCAGATCACCTGAGGTCGGGAGTTCACGACCAGCCTGGACAACATGGTGAACCCCTGTCTCTACTAAATATACAAAAATCATCTGGGCATGATGGCATGCACCTGTAATCCCAGCCACTCAGGAGGCTGAGGCAGGAGAATTGCTTGAACCTGGGAGGTGGAGGTTGCAGTGAGCCGAGATCGCAATGCTGCATTCCAGCCTGGGCAACAGAGTGAGACCCTGTCTCAAAACAAAGCAAAACTTTGTATTGAAAATCAAGCAGAAGAGAGAGACGGAGCAAGAAGAGGAGAATGGAATCATCGTGAACACTTCTTAATCGCAACGAGCATCATTTATTTTCTCAACTTGTGATTCATAGGATTTCATAAGACATCTAATCCACCCTTCTCATTTTACATATGAGGAAATTGAGGGCCAAAATAACTTGTCTAAGGTCACACATGTTTATGGGTGCAAATATAATGTTAAAACTTATTCCTAGCTACTGGTTAGCTTATTATTATTCAATTTCCTGTTCATTCTTTCCATGAGAGTTGATTAGCGTCCAAAAATTTGTGTTTAAGGAAAAGCCTGGCTCGTTACTACCAAAAAGAAGGGAAGACTCAATTGGACAAGCCATTTTCTATCTGTCAAGGCCTGAGAAAGCTGTTGCTCCAAGCCCTGGTAAACAGTGCCACCTCGGGTAACCAGATAGCCCTGAGGGTCATAGTTGCAAGGCTCAGGACAGTAACCTCACTTCCACTTTACTCTCTCGGCTTGGAAAAGAAAACTCTAGAATTAGCTATCCCACTGTCTTACTAAGACTTGTATTATTTTTTTTTTTTTTTTTACCTGCAAGGATTCCTTGCTTTTGCAGAAGTTAGACATTTAAGTTAAAAAATCAGGCCCCAATGGGGAAACCCTACCTCTACTAAAAATACAAAAAAATTAGTCAGGTGCAGTGGTTCACACCTGTAATCCCAGCTGCTCTGGAGGTTGAGGTGGGAGAATCTCTTGAATCCAGGAGGTGGAGGTTGCAGTGAGCCGAGATCATACTACTGCACTCCAGCCTGGGCCACAAAGTGAGAAAAAAAAAAGTCGGTTCCCGGAATATGCAATGGTGATGTTTTAATTTCATGCAAAGAGCAGGTCTTTAGTTATCTGAGTATGTGGTTCTCATTTTCCTTGACTGGACTACTGGGAAATTCAGAGGCCACAATAACGTGAAAACAGTATTTACAAGTAGCGTATTGTTGTTATTACAGCAATTTATCAGTCTCGCTTGTAGCTGGACAAATCTTCTTTCACATTGCCTGAATTAGTGTTTTTAAAACTTTTCCTTTGGAGAAATCTCTTCAACTTCCTATTTCAATTCACCATACAGTTTCTACATGACAGAACCAACATCATGTATATTTGGTGTTTCTTACTTTAAACTGAATTTTAGATTCTATTCTTTATACGTAGATTGAAGAGAATCGTTGATTCACTTCAGAATTCCTCAGCCTCAGCACTGTTGACATTTGGGGTTGGATAATTCTTTGTTGAATGGGACTGTCCTGTGGATTGTAAGATTTTCAGTGGCATTCTTGCCCTCCACCCATTGGATGCCAGTAGCACCTCCCCTCCCACTGTGACAACCAAAAATGCCTCCAGACATTCCATGTGTCTTCTAGGGTGCAGAATCACCCCTAGTTAAGAACCACTGGCTGAGTGTGGTGGCTTATTCCTGAAATCCCAGCACTTTGGAAGGCCAAGGCAGGCAGATCGCTTGAGCTCACGAGTTTGAGACCAGCCTGGGCAACATAGTGAGACCCCATCTCTACAAAACATACCAAAACATTAGTTGGGCATGGTGGTGTGTGCCTGTAGTCCCAGCTACTCAGGAGGCTGAAGTAAGAGGATGGCTTGAGCCCAGTAAGCAGAGGTTGCAGTGAACCAAGATTATGCCACTGCACTACAGCCTGGGCGATAGAGCCAGACCCTGTCAAAAAAAAAAAAAAAAAAAAAAAAAAAAAAAGAACCACTGATGTAACTCATTCAGAAAGTGACCCCGGTAGAATGTAAGCTCCAGGAGAGCAGGAACTGTCGGCTTTGTTCATCGCTGTATCAAGCACATGTTAGATGTTTTTTAGAAAAAGCATTTGTTGATTGAAAGACACAATGTGGTGTCGAAGGGAAAGCCTTGGATTTAGAATCCTCGGACATCGACTGCCACTCCCCTAGCTGTGCTGTTTGTCAAGACCACTTTATCTCTTTGAATCTTAGCATATTGGAGAAATAATCTTAGAGTAATACGTATTGAAGACAATAATACATATTGGAGAAAATAATCTTTACCTTAACTTTACTATCTTGTGAATTTCAAACACGAATTTGTGTGACGATGTTCAGAAACTGTGAAATGACCTTCAGATCTGAAATATAATGGAGGACAAATGCCTTGGAGTAGATGCTGAATTTGAGACTAAAACCCAAGTCCACCTCAAACACGGTTCTTTCTTACTCTGTCACCAAGCGCTCTAACCCAGACTGTTTGACCTTGAAGTAAGGTAAGGACAGAGGAAGGAAATGGAGCTAGATCTAACAGCTCCAGAAAACCAGAGGGATGTGTTATGACTGAGTTGTGACACATGCCTGTTTGTGATTTCTTTGCACAACATAGACTGTTCTATAGTAACCTAGAGGAAAATAATGTGTTCCTAAGCAAGATGGCACAGTAGTAGGTAGGCATTAAGAACCTTTCACGCTACAAGACTATGGTTTCCCTACTCCTTTACCTTACAGACAAAGTGAGAGAAAAATTATGTGTATGTGTGTATGTGCATGTATAAACACAAAATTTGCCTGTATTCTCATTTTCCCTCTTAAGTAGCCAGTTTTGCTGGAGGCCTAAACACATCACCAATCCACTTCTTTTTTTTTTTTTTTTTTTTTTTTGAGACGGAGTCTTGCTCTGTCGCCCAGGCTGGAGTGCAGTGGCGCAATCTCGGCTCACTGCAAGCTCCACCTCCCAGGTTCACGCCATTCTTCTGCCTCAGCCTCCCGAGTAGCTGGGACTACAGGCACCCACCACCACGCCCAGCTAATTTTTTTTGTATTTTTTTAGTAGAGATGGGGTTTTACCATGTTAGCCAGGATGATCTCGATCTCCTGACCTCATGATGCCCGCCTCGGCCTCCCAAAGTGCTGGGATTACAGGCGTGATCCACTTCTTAGAGAGTCCAGCCACCCATCCACTTCTTAGAGAGTCCAGAATAACGATAGAGAGTAGATGAAGAACATCCAGAGGCCAGGTTTCAAGAGAAAGGAGAGAGGATATATAGGTTACACCTGCGTATGAGTGGGATGCTCTCAGAAGATGTACAGGAGCCTTCCTTAGGAAGCCCACCTCATAACACTTGGCCATTGATGCCCCCAGAGTTACCTGGAGCTAGATATTAATGAGCTGGAAGGTGATTGTGGTACCACGTTACCAGTTCTACAGGAACTAGAATCAGCTGCCCTAAGGGTTCGTACCTCAATTGTGCTATGAACAATTTTTTTTGGCTATGGGTAAGGCACTTGGCTTTTGTAGGCCTCAAGTTTCTCACCCAAAAAAGGGGAATAATATTGGTGATCCTGTCTAACTTGGAGTGAAGGGCAAATTCAGTGAAGAACTTAGCATTTTTTTTAGCACTTGTAATTGGTTGTTCTATTAGAGATCTCCAGAGAAACAGAACCAGTAGGATGTGGTTGTATGGGGTGTGTGTGTGTGTGTGTGTGTGTGTGTGTAAAGAGAGTGAGAGAGAAATTTAAGGAATTAGCTCATGTAACAGTGGGAACTGGCAATGCTGAAATCTGTGGGACAGGCTCAAAATTCTAGGAAGAGTTGTTATGGCAGTCCTGTGTTTGAAAGCAATCTAGAAGCAAAATTCCTTGTTTCTCGGAGAATCTCAGTCTTTTCTCCTAAGACCTTCAAATAATTGATTGTTGGAGGCCCACTTACATTATGGATGGTAGTTTGCTTTACTCAATGTAGATTTAAATCTACTGATTTAATTTCTTATCACATCTGACATATACCTTCACGGCAACATCTAGATGGATGTTTGACCGAACAGCTGGGCACCATAGCCTAGCCAAGTTGACACATGAGGTTAACCATCACAGTTGTGAAAATATAGTTGACCTTTGAAGAAAACAGGTTTGAGCTGCGTGGGTCCCCTTACGTGTGGATTTTCTTCCACCTCTGCTACCCCTAAGACAGCAAGACGAACTCTTCTACTTCCTCCTCAACATGAAAGCAAGGAAGATAAAGACTTTTGATGATCCACTTCCACTTAATGAATAGTAAATATATTTTCTCTTCCTTATGATTTTCTTAATAGCATTTTCTTTTGGCTAGCTTATTTATTGTAAGAATACACTATATGATACATATAACATACAAAATATATGTTAATTGTTTCTGATATCAGTAAGGCTTCCAGTCAACAGAAGGCTAGTTAAGTTTTTAGGGTAGTCAAAAGTTGTACTTGGATTTTTGACTACAGGGTGGGCTGGGACCCCAACCCCCATGTGGTTCAAGGGTCAACTATAACTAACTGTATAAACTATTTTTTAAAACTGATCATTAGCATTTTCTGTCTTACAAAAGTAATGCACACTTATAGTAAAAAGTCAAACATTACTGAAACATATCAATTCTTACTATCATTATGATTAATAGCCATTATTTGTATAATTCTAAGTATTAAATAATAATTTACTAATTTAATAGCAATCACTGTTTATTGGCTCCTTCCTACCTTACTACTGTGCTGAATGACTACTGTGAAATGTTTCATTCAATCCTTACAACACCTGTATCAGGTGGGGACTGTTACTGTCCCTATGTCAGAGACAAGAAAACTAAATGTTAGACAGGTTAATTAAGTGGCCCAAAGTCAGCCAGTTAGTAAGTAGCAGAGCTGGAATTCAATCCTGGATTGAATCCTGATCTTAGAACTCAACTCTTAACCTTTTTGATTTTTTATCTTCCTAATTTTTTCTTTAGTATTTATCTTTTAAAATTTTTCTCTCTAGACACACAATGCATTCTCACTCTAAAGAAGTCAAACGTTAGGAGGCGAACGTCCTACCTGTTCCCACCCCTAGGGTAACTACTGTGAAGAGTTCGATGCCTATATATGCAGATTCATTTCTATGCTTATATTACCATAAATTTAAAGAGCCTGAATCACCATGCAACTGCAGGTTAGCAGCTGTAGTATCCACACTGAGATTACCCAAGAGTGGTAACAAAACGGTGTCTACAAACCAGTCCTAGAGAGCAGCCTGTTCATGCCCGCATGTCATCGGAGCCTGATTGCTACCTGACTTCTGACTCAATGCTTCTCCATGTCTCTCTCTACCCCTGTAGCCAAGACCTGTCATATTCATTATTATTCAAGCCTTCCAAGTGAAACATAAGACTACTATTAAAACATATCGCTTTCCAAGTTGAACTTCTTTTTTTTGTGTGTGTGCTTTGTGGTTTTATTATTAATCTTTTTTTTTATTATACTTTAAGTTTTAGGGTACATGTGCACAACGTGCAGGTTAGTTACATATGTATACATGTGCCATGTTGGTGTGCTGCACCCATTAACTCATCATTTAACATTAGGTATATCTCCTAATGCTATCCCTCCCCCCTCCCCCCACCCCACAACAGGCCAATTTCTAATATTCCATAATCTCTCTCTGTCTCTCTCTTTGGTCTTCGTATGCTACTTCTTCTTCCTCTGAATTTTGTTGAGCTAAATGTAGTGATGCATGTATTTCTGCCATGGCGAGTATTGATTTGCGCAGCCAGAGCCTTCCTTTTGCATGATCAGCAAAATATGCCAGCCCTAGGTGTGAATAACCCGGCCAAAAAGGGAGAAACAGAAAGACGGTCTACAGTGGCATTTTATCTTCCTATGTCTCGAGTGTTTCCCAAACTTCAGTCATTTATCTATTACCTTCACTATTTTAGCCATGTTTTCATGCCACAGCTACTATTATTTACTATTTTTTAAGTCAATTCACTGTTTTAACTTAAAGTTGCCTTAAAACTTCTATCAGTGACATAAATGAAAAGCCACCATCACTTGCTATAACTAGAAGGTATTGTAAAAATAAATAATAACTATTAATTATTTAAGTGTGTTAAATAACATATTTTTCCTAGTTTGGGAAATATTGCTTTAATTGTCTAGAGATTCCACAGTGTTCAATTATTAGTGGGATCTCTGGATTCTGAAGATATCCACCAGAGAGATAAGCTTTAAAGAAAGTTGTCAAAAGTGCAGGCTTTGCTAGGCTCCCCGAACTACAGTTTGGTGGAACAGAGAAATTGACCCAACACACTGACAATGCTTGGTAGTCTGTAGATCTAGATGTGCACACATTTAGAACAGTAGACTCTTAGAGCTGTGAACACAATGTAATCTAACCTCACCATAGAACTTGAGTGCCTGGAGAAAGACAGTGTGGCCTGTTCCCCTCATAGGTAGATGGCAATAGAACAAAGTCAGTTTTACTGACCTTTGCCCTCTAGTCTTCCTATAACCTACCAGGTATGTTGGAGTCAAGCAGGCCTAGTGTTTTACTCCTCTACTGCTCTGTAACAAACCACCCCAGAACTCAGCGGCTTTAAACAGCCTCCATTTTTTTTCCTCACGATTCTATGGGTGAGGAAAGGGTGCAGGGCTTGGTGGGATGATGCTATTGCCCCACATGGAATCAACTAGAGTCATCCAGCCTCATTCAGCTAGAGACCAGGTTGGGCTGGAGGTCCATGAAAGCTTCATTCACATTCCTGGCACATGCCTGCCGCTCAACATGGCCTCTCTCTCTCCACATGGCTAGCTTAGGCTTCCTCCTAAAGAGGCTTCGTTGTCTGGGGTAAATACCCAGGACTCATGATCTTGTGCCAAGAAAATTTAGGACATGGACACACACGAGGAGTTTAGGAGTGGGGGCTTATAGACAATAGAAAGAGAAAGAAAAAGAAAGGAAAACAGCTCTCTCTCTAGTGAGAGAGAGGGGTTTCCAAGAGGAAAAGGCTGGCCTGCGACGGATGCCCTGGATTTTACAGGCAGGCTTGAGGAGGCAGTGTCTGATTTACGTAGGGCCCACAGATTGGTTCTACCACATGTGACATTTACATAGCACGTGGGGAAGGCTGGCCACCCCACCCTGATCTTATTATGCAAATGGACTTTCCGCTTTGACCAGGGCCATCTTGTTTGCTTTTTGCTGTACATGTGGCTGGCAGAGAGAGAAGGGACGATGGAGCTGCCATTTTGAACATGATTGGCATAACTGCCAGCATCTTCATCTGCAGCTTGATTTCACAGGCTGCTCTTTGTTACGGAGGACTCCAGTACCCTCACTATCTGCCTAAGTAATTTCTTCTTAACTCCTATTATCACTCCCAATATAGAAGCTTCAGGATAATCCAGCATCTCACATGGCATTAAGCTCCCTCGAGTGTGAGGGAGCATTGCTAAAGAAGAAAAAGTGGGGACTGTAGATCTCTTAAGACCTGCCTCATTCTCTTGATCAAAACTAGTCACAGAGCCAGCCAAGATTCAAGGTCGGGGAAACCTGTCCCAGCTCTCAAAGGGAGGCAAAGAATCTATAGCCCTCTGTTCCACCACCCTTGGGTTCAAACCCCAGCTCCACTACATAATAAGTATTTTGTCTTAGACAAATTGTTTAACCTCAGTTCTCTCATTAGCAAGATGCAAGTTATAATATTTACCCCTATTAGATTGTTGTAAGGATTAAATAAGATAAGCATGTAAAGTGATTAGCTCAGTGCCAGTAAGATAGTCAGTGTTCAGCAAATCCTAACCGTTTCCTTCCCTATCTCAAGAGCAGAATGTCCTCCAATGTTATGAGGCTGCATAACCTCAACCTTGAGAACCATGATCCTGGGATGGAATATTCAAGCATAATAAAACATTATCTACCAAATGTTAAGCAAAAGGGAAATGCCCTCAGATATCAGTCTTCCAGCCATCCCAGACTCAACCTGTGTCCAAGCCAAAACAGAGGCTATGAATTGAAAGGTTTATCTTTGAAAGCAAACCTTTAAACATTCTGAAGGCCTGTGTGAAAACAGAACCAAGAAGCCAGGCCATAGCTGTTTTGAATCTGACCTTCACATGGTCATTTCATTGATTGGCATGTTTATTCCAGTTCTTAAATCTGCTTTGTGTCTTAAATAGAATGAATACCAAAGATACTCTCTCTCTGCTTGCATTCAAGGCCCAGTGATTTAATTAAGCTGGGCTATTTATTAAATATTATACTAGAAATGTTTTCCTGGTAAAGAAATATGTCCTACACACTAGTAGTTCTCAACAGAAGATGATGTTTGCACACACAACCCCTCCCCTTGCAGAGGAAATTTGGCAGTGTAAAAGATTTTTGGTTGTCCCAACTGGGGAGAGGGGGTGGTACTACCAGCACTTAGTAGGTAGAGGGCAGGAATGCCACAAAGCATCTTACACTGCACAGAACAGCCCCCAACAACAGAGAATTCAGTGGCCCAAAATGTCAACAGTGCCAATGTTGAAAAACCCTAGTCTAGGACATCATGGTGATGCAATTTGCTTAGAAACTGACATAAAATTGAGTGAGGACAGGCTAACTTGGAATCCCCTCTAGCCATTTAGTGACTGAAGGACCAAATGGACTTTGCCTATCAGGCAAAATCCTTTGTGTGGACTCAGAAGCATGGGGGAGGGCATAGGAGTTGTATTGTGGGAGGTAGCTGCTTCCAATTAAGCACATACTCCAAAAGTGCTGTCTTTTCAATAATTTTAAGATGGTTTGTTAGACGATGATGAAATTTGGGGAAAACAGTGTGAAAACAAATCCAGGCAACAGGTGGAGATGGTAACCAAAGGTGGCACCCCTTTCATGAACTTGCTGCCCCCCAACCCAGCCTGATTCTGCTCCCAGGAGTGACCATCCTGCTGCATGCTAGAAGCTGAGTGTACTTCTGTAAGCACCCAAAGAAAATGCCAGAATCCTCCAGCACCTCCAAGATCCTGGCAGGAAACTGGATGGTTATTGGCTATTGAATGAATGAAAAAGCAAAGGAATAGGTTAACCAGTCACTCAGCCAAATGAGCAAGCAAATAATGTATTAATTTTTGTCATAACAAACCAGCACTTCAATTTTTAAGGGAAACCTAAAGCAAAAGCATAGAATTAAGATTTGAAATTTTGAAAAAGACTAAATATGATTTGATAAATATCTTCAAGTAAAATTCTGAAAAAAAAAAAATCCCAGCTTTTATTGGGGAAATACCTTGCAGCAATGAGAATAAATGTACTGATTCATACAACAATGTGGATGAATTTCACAGATATCATGGTGAGCAAACGGAGACAAACACAAAATAAAACACATTGCATGGGTCCCAGCACTTTGGGAAGCTGAGGCGGGTGGATCACAAGGTCAGGAGATCGAGAACATCCTGGCTAACATGGTGAAACCCCGTCTCTACTAAAAATACAAAAAATTAGCCGGGCGTGGTGGTGGGCGCCTGTAGTCCCAGCTACTCGGGAGGCTGAGGCGGAAGAATGTCGTGAACCCAGGAGGCGGAGCTTGCAGTGAGCTGAGATCTCGCCACTGCATTCCAGCCTGGGCAACAGAGTGAGACTCCATATCAACAAAAAAAAAAAAAAGAAAGAAAAGAAAGAAAGAAAACATATTGCATGGCTACATTTACGTAAAGCAGGGTTTCTTGAGGTTGGCATTAGTGGTATTTGGGATCAGAAAATTCTTTGTTGTAAAGGGCTGTCTGTGCATCGCAGTATGTTTACTGGCACTCCTGGCCTCACTAAGAGGCTAGTAGCACCCACTCTACAGTAGTGACAGCCAACACTGTCTCCAGAGATTGCCAAATGCCCAGGGGCAGGGTGAGATGACTCTGGGTTAAGTACCCCTCATACAAAATAACCTATGGTGTCAGAAGAGTGGATAGTGCCAGAGAAGGAGCCCAAGGGGAATTTCCAGAGTACTAGTAATACATTTATATCTTGGTGCTAGCTAATTTGTGTTTTCACTTAGTTAAAATTTTATTGAGTAAAATACATTCTGTGCGCTTCTCTGTGTGCATAAAGTTTATTTGGAAGAAAAAGAACAGAGCTCTAAAAACAGGGAAAAGAAATTTCAACAGCTGATGGGGCAAAGGGTTTTGGGCTGGTAAAAGAATTTGTACACTATTCCAACATTTTCCAATAATATAGGTTTATGTCTCAACACTTGTTGCTGTTTCTGAAGTTTTTGTAAGATTTTACAAAATGTAGCTTAGACAAGAAATTTCTCAGCTCATCTTTAGAGAGAAAAGTCATGGAAAAATAGAAGTGAGTGTTCTACAAAGTTCTGGACCCACACGTCCTCTGGCCAGCCCCTAAACTTGGCAGCCAGCCCCTAAGGTGGAGTTTCAAACACATTTACAGATTACATTGTTGAGATTATCATGAAAGGGTTCCGTTTGTCAAAGTCCCCTTCCTTGCTATGGTAACTGTCAGGTTTTGGGCTGCTGTTGTCCCACTGTTCTCCCAGTGAGTCATTGCTGTGACTGCACACACACACACACACACACACACACACACACACATACACACACACACATATCCTTCTCTGAAATGTCTCTAGATACACTGGGACCCTTTAAACTTGTCAGGGCCCAAAAATCCTATTGAAATGACCTCTGAGGGCCTCATTGGGTTCTTTCCTTGAGCAGGAATTTTGCTTTATCTAACATCTTTTTAAATAAATAGACCAGTGGCTGGAGCTTAGAAACATTTTAGCTCTTTGGGAATTATCTTTGCAAAGTGGTGATTGTAACTTAACCTATCTGACATCTAAGTCATTCTATTTTAACATCTCTGCTAAGGGAAAAGCAAAGACCAAAGACACGGTGCTGAATGGTTTGGAATATACTTGGGACATTATTTTTCTGGAATTCCCTAAAGGGAAATTCTCTTAACTTTCCCACCCTTTATTTTATTCATTTGCAAACTTGGTTCTGTAACTTGGTGCCTGACCCAGGATTTCAATGAGCTCCAAGATGTACATGAACAGAAATGTATGAACCAATGTACTTTGAAGGTTAACAGTTTTAATTAGTTGATGAAAAGCCACAGTATAAGTTATTCTTGCAGAGACAGAAACTAGACCGTCCATCTTCTGAACCCATTATATCTAATGTGCCCCAAGTTCTTAGCTGTGTTTCTGGAAAAGAACCATCAACATGGCCACAGTGTCTTGCTCTGGGCTTCTAGGAAGTGGTGTAAAATCTGGTCTTTTTTTTTTTTTTCTTGAGGCATAAAGCTGTCTCCCTTTTGTTAATTTCAATTGTTTTGGGGAAACAGGTGGTTTTTGGTTACATGGATGAGTTCTTTAGGTGGTAATTTCTGAGATTTTTGGTGCACCTGTCACCCGAGTGTACACAGTACCCAATGTGTAGGCTTTTATCCCTCACTCCCCTTCCCATCCTTCCCCACAAGTCCCTAAGTCCCTTATGTGTTATACGTACACCACGGAATACTACTTACCTCTTTTTTAAAGACAAAAGAGATCCAAATTTATGGAACTAGTGGGAAGTTGGGTGAAAGATTCATGCCCCAGAGTTTCTATCCCAAAGAGAAAACATGATATTTTCTGACTTAACACAAAATTGTGGCCTACAAAGAGCAGAAAAGTGATGGGAAATGTATCCCAAGACACCTTCCTCCTTTGGATCAAAAGATGCATTGCACTAGTGAGATTGCAGCTGTTAACCTATCTTTTAGCATGGGTTCGCAAACTACTGCCAAGACGGCCAAATCCATCCATGCTCATTCATTTATATATTGTCTGTGGATATTTGGTCTTGTACAGAGAAAGTTTGCCAACCCTGTGAAATTTTATTTTACCTATAAGTTGTATTAATGTTTAGTTGTCAGAATTTTGTCATCTTCACTTTTAGTTTTTACTTTTAAAGAGTAAAGTGGATGGATCACCTGAGGTCAGGAGTTCGAGACCAGCCTGGCCAACATGGTGAAACCCCGTCTCTACTAAAAATACAAAAATTAGCCAGGCGTGGTGGCAGGTGCCTGTAGTGCCAGCTACTTAGGAGGCTGAGGCGGGAGAATCACTTGAACCCGAGAGGTGGAGGTTGCAGTGAGCCGAGATCGTGCCACTGCACTCCAGTCTGGGCAACAAGAGTGAAACTCCATCTCAAAAAAAGAAAAGAATAAAACCTCCTGAGATATATCTGCTGCTGGTAAATTTCCTCATGTAATACATTTGTGGCAGTGTGGAATTTTTGTCCCCTCTCATGACTTTATCTTCCTCTCTGTCTCCCTCCCTCCCTCTTTCCCTCTGCCTCTCTTTCTTGTCCCACTTCATTCTCTCTTTTCCAATATCCTACCCCTTTCTGCCTACCACTCTACATCCCCAGTAAAGACAAAACTTTTTTTTTTCCCGAAGCAGCGTCTCACCCTGTCACCCAGGCTTGAGTGCAGTGGCATGATCTATCACTGCAACTGCCATCTCCCGGGTTCAAGTGATTCTTCCGCCTCAGCCTCCCCAGTAGCTGTGATTATAGGTGCGTGCCACCATGCCTGGCTAATTTTTGTATTTTTAACAGAGACAGGGTTTCACCATGTTGGCCAGGCTGGTCTTGAACTCCTGACTTCAAGTGATCTTCCAGCCTCAACCTCCCAAAGTGCTGGGTTTACAGGTGTGAGCCATCATGCCCAGCCAAGAGAAAGGGTTTTTTGATAAGACAGAAAAACAAAATGAAGACATGGCAACATCACAGTACATCAGCATGTTTCAGTAAAAAATGATTCTTACTGACCACAGATATATCTGTCTTAGAAGACTCAGTCTAAAGACTCTGAAAGACACAGAGCTGTGTGCATCTGGAATGTCTTGGGTGGGCCCAAGAATCTACAATTTCCACAAACCTATTATAGTTGGCACCTGCCCCAGAGGTTAAGCTAGGTCCTCAAACTCTTCTGTTCATGGACCAGCTTCTATTCCCCTCCCTCCCTGTGTGTTATGCCAGCAGGGTTTGTGCTTGGAGGGCAAAACAACTCATTCTTCCTATCAATTGCCTTGAATCTGCTCTGCCCTGGCCACTTGTTTCTCAAGGGATATAGATCTTTTACAGGGCCTGAAGTACCTTCACAGAGTTAGAACAAGTGGCCGTTCAGAATGCATGGAAATGTAATATCAAGCTTAGAAGTGCTTTCTGCTGAGCTATGCCAGGAATGGGAGGCTCAGGCACATGTTTATCATAATGGCAAAAAAATTTATGGATTGGAACCATGTGTGCAAGGATTTAATACCTGGAGGCAATTAAGACTGTGATAGTTCTAGACAAAAAGCATTAAAATTCTGCAAACCACTCACCCCTTTTTATAAGGGACAGCTCAGTGCAAACAAGCTATTTCCCCAAGATCTATCGTATAATTGAGAACTCTTTGAACAGTTTATAAAGAAATGGCCTCTACTCTGATACCAAGTTCCTTTTCTAGAATCCATAGGTGGTGCTAGCTCCTTATCTTTCTAACTTGAAAGGCAAAAGACCCTCATCTTACCAATTTCCCAGGAAAGTTAAACATAACTACCTTTCTGGTACCCTTGTTGATAATTATTTGAACATATTTTTCTTTGAGGACTTATCAAAATTGTGTTATAATTGCATGTCTACAGTCCCTGTCCCCAGCAAAACTGGGAGCTCTTTGAGGACAATCACTTCTGCAACTTTGTCACCTCACTTCACGCCATGCCTGGTACCCGTCCTGGTTGATGTTAAATGGATACATCAATGAGTTTATTATCAGAGAAAGAAGAAAAGCTGCTTTTTGTTTGGGGGAACAGGGATAGGGCCCAGGATGAAGTGGGTAAGCCAGCTAACTGGGAGAATTCTCTTGCAGCCAGGCAGGAGAGGTGGAGACCATTCTCCCAGTCGGGGGGTGGGAAGGGGTGGTGGAGGATACACAGACGCTTGGAATTTTGCTTGTGTGGCAGTGGCTTTGGGCCAAAGTATTGCACTTTTTGCAAACTCAGCCCCATAAACAGACATTTTCTGGACCAAAGCTCTCTGCTCAGATCCTTCCCGCCACTCTGGCTACATTTGTCCCAATCACGTCACTCTGTGGGTTGAAAAAAATGCAAGACCTTGGGGAAGAAGAAAGGACATCTTTAGACAAGATGGCTCACATCTCATCCTCATGAGGGCCATGAGGGTTACATGGATTTCATTTTAGACCCCCTTTTCCCCGTGAGCACCAAAACTCACGTCAAGTTATGTTGGTATAGTGCTGGTGAACTTTAAAGGACATTGTATTTTCAAATGAACAAATGGGAGAAAATGTTCTCTTCCTTTTGCAGCCTGGTCCCTTTTCCCTAGTCCCATGGCAGCGTGACTGAGCCACGGTCGTTCCCATCTGTTGTGCAGCTGCTGAGTCAAAGAAAGAGGCTGGGATGTTTTCTCGCATTGGGGCTGCATTAGGCCTGAGTTGCTTATACATTGCTTTTGGCACTCATTTTTGTAAGCACTCAAGCCTGTTTTCAAGTAAGCCCCTGAGATTTCTTTTTTCAAAGAATAACATTCTCTACATTCCCATCTTCATTTGGGCATAAAAATGGGAGCATTCCCTTTGTCTCTAAGCCTAGCGTTTTTGCACAATTTAACAAATGTCTATTGAGCACCTACCACATGGCCAGACACTGCACCATGGGATGTAGGAAGTCTGATGCTGAAGAGACCATGATCTTTGCCTTCAGAGAGTTTGTGACCCATCAAAAGGGCCGTAACAGTGAACAACTCATCATAATACAATAAAACGTGTACATATGATATCTAAGTGCCAAAGTGCTACAGAAGATAGAATAATTATATTTAGGAGTGGTAGGGAAGGCTTCTTTTTGAAGGTTAACTCAAGTTGGGATTTTAGGGGATGACTAGGAGTTTATCAAGCAAAGACAATAACAACAATATATAATTAGATGTTTTATTATATAACCTAATTTTTGTCTATATTCACTACCACTTGTGGAGCATGTATTATGTGACAAGCATTCTGCTGAAATATTTACAAACATCATCTTATTTATTTCTCAGAATAATTATTATAATAATAACAAATTTATTTCTAACACTTGCTATGCAGCAGGCCTTGACCTAAGCACTTTATAAATAGACAAAGAACAAATGAGATGAATCTCTGGAGTTTTCTTCACAACCTTGTGGATCACTGCTCTGAGAATCACCAAAAGAGAAATAGTCAGCATTTTCCCAGTGTTTATATATTTCTACAATGTTTAACTGGTTAGTACGTGGAAGGGGAGAGGGAAGGATGTCAGGCGGTGGCAAAAGAAAAATCTTTATTCCCAGGCCTAACCCTCAATTTACTCCCAAATATATAGATTTTTATTACTATGGACTTAGAAATATTTTTTTCTTTAGGAAAAAAGAATTTATGGTTAAAATATCACCCAGAAAAGTAAAATTTTAGAAAAAAAAGATGTCCTCTTTTCCATCCTTAGTAAAGATCTATAATAACCTTTCTCATGATCTTTATCCACACTTCCTAGAGTCCCTCTGGGAAGAGTCTGCTACTGTCAAGCCATATTTATGCTTGGCTCTTTGGTTCCCATCTGAAACAGAGCTTTGGAACCATCATTATTCTGTAGCTGATCTCCAAGTCCATCTATGACTTGGTTTTGGACTTAGTTCTTTGGTATATAAGTTGACTTTCACCACTAAATCTAAGAAATCTGTGTTTGTATTTGTATTGACACAAATTAGGAATACTGATTGGAATAATGAAACAATGAGGAAAGTTTTTCACATGGTGACAGTTACTGATTTCCCACATAAAACTACTCTTCCTGGTTTTCTGTCTTTTTAATCCAACTTTAGAGTATAAAAACGAAGTGAAATTAAACTGCCTTCATGCTCCAGAAATAGGACAATTCCGTGAGAGACAATAGTCACTCAACTGATAGTTTGATGTCCTACATCTGTCCATTGATTTGTCACAACTTGGGAACCATGAAGTTAAAATATTCCAATGTCCAGTGACCACCCCAACCAAAATCCTGCCAACAGGGTGCCCTTCCAAGAAACTCTGTGGTACCCTCAGAAAAGCCCTTTAAAATTCAACATGCTCCTCCTAGATGAACAAACTCTTCTTCAAACTGAGGGTGCTTTGGTCTTAGTGCCTGCCAACCAGTCTCTTCGGAGAAGCTGCAACCCACAGGACAGAAAGCTCCTAACTCATTTGCCAGAGCCCAGCATTGTGAAATGAAGTCAGAAATTTCCACAGTGCCAATAGCCACAAAAATAAGCCTTGCGCGTACAATCTGGGGTCCAGATCACCTAACCAGAGACCAAGTCACTCTTTAGAGTAAGTCAAAGTGTTTTGCTGGTGTGGTTGAATAAGAAATGGCAGTATACAGATATACCCCTGTTCTCTGTTCATCAAAGACTCTTCCCCATGTCTCTACCTAAAGGAGAAAAACAAGGGCGGGAGAAATAGATATTCAAAAGACAGAGCACACCTGACTTTAAAAAGTCATTCCCTGGCTTTGGTTTCAGCTCCCCATTTTGGTCCTTCGTGCATTACCATTTCCTCTCTTTTCTACGAGATTGTTATGTGCATCTAAATCTCAGATTAATTTAACAATCCCAACAATTTTGAGGACATCTGAGTGCTCACAGGTATGGCTTACATGAATCCTTAGCTTCATGACTCATAGTTCTGTGGTTCCCCAGGAAGTGCATCATTGAGAGAGAAAGGCTTTGGGAGCTAATGTTCTAAATATTAATTGAGGTTCTTAAATGTGAGCTCTCATTGCAGGCTCCAGACTCCCCCTGGAATGAAATTACATTGAACATTTAACATTTTTCAGAGTTCACCTTCTACTTTAAAGAAGGGGAAGAAAATTGTTTTGGCAATGCAGATGTCTATTAGTATACACATCAAGAATAATAAAACCATGGTTTTGTTTTTTTTTTTAAAAGGATGCAGAAAACAGCTCCCAGAGAAGTAATTTTTCAATTTCCTTGATTTGTTTAGTGGGAAATTGCTCTTCAATTTATTATAATTTGAAAAGACAATGAATTCTTCATTTGGAATTAAAGTAGAAATGACTGAAATGCATCTTGCTTGTCTCAGAATTTACAACCTGTTTGGATAAAGCATTTTGAGTCATGGATCATGGTTAAAACCCAAGACTTAGAAGGCTGGTAATGCATTCCACATGGTTTCTCCTAAATGATAATTATAGCTCATTCTGAACTACAAATTATATACACTAAAAATGTTAATTTAATTTAGGGTAACTGATTTTTTTCCCTAAAAGCAGGTGTAATCGGAATTACATTGTCTAAATATTGTCAGTAATGCTAGACATGATGAATTGGTGTAACCAAATTATTTCTGAATTTGACTTTATTTTGCGGATTTTCCTTGCAAATGTTCAGCCTGGTACGCATTCTCTGTGATTTATCCTGAACAGATCAAACATTAATGAAGAAAATCAAAACAAATGCCTCTCCCAGGCTCTCCAATATGGCTGTCGGAAATAGACTATCTAGGAGAGAAGAAAAGAGGATTAAAAACTGCAAACCAGCTTCCATGTGACTTCTTAGGATTTCCGAATCAGTCAGCATAAAAACAGAAACATTAATGATTATTGAAGTTGAAATTAACTGCAACCTCTGACGGAAAAGTACTTACTTATAAACTTTCAGTTAGTTTCTATAATGAAATATGGCAATGAATTAGCCATGATAACCTGGAAAAATAGGCTTAATGAGGAAAGCGGCTCATCTTTGGAAGCTGTGTTCTTCTCACATTTATTTCAGTGAATCTTCCTATTCCCACCCCACCAAAAAACACTGCCTTTTCACAAAGCCATCACTGCTTACAGGTAAAGGCAAATAGTTTGAAAAATTTTTAATTAGTCAAAACGTTCAAAGTGTCAGGAGGCTTAGAAACCATTCAAGTTCAGATACACTCAAAAGTCAGTATTCAGAAGGGAGGCAGACTATACCGTGAGTCATGGTTAGGGGCTGTGGCGCTGTGGCTCTGTGGCTCTGTAGCCCAGGGTTAGAACTGGCTTCCCAAACTTACTATGCCCAAGACCTTGAGGAATTTGTTTGATCAGTGTGAGCCTCAGTTTCTTCATCTGTCAAATGGGTATAATAATACAAGACAGGTATGAAAACAAAGAAAGCTTATCATAGAGTTTGGTGCCTAGAAATAATTTCTACATCTTTGCTGGCCTTATTGTAGCAAAAACTTAGAATGTATTTTAAAAATGTAGATCTTTGGGCTCCTACCCTGATAGATTCCAATTTGATCAGGGCACAGATAGGCATTTTGACAAACATCCAAGGTGGTCTTGGCGAGAAATATGGATGTGGTTCAACTCCCTTGTTTGAAAAATGATAAAAATAAGTCCCAGAGGGTGAAATGCCTTTCTCAAGGTCACACAGCTAGTGAACCACCTCATAGAGACCTCAGGTCTCTCATCTCCCATCCCAGCAGGCTCTCCACCACAGCTGTTTCCGTTTATTGAGCCTTTAGGATGAATTTCTTTTTTTTGAGATGGAATCTCACTCTGTCTCCCAGGCTGGAGTGCAGTGGCATGATCTCGGCTCACTGCAAGCTCCACCTCCCGGGTTCAAGCGGTTCTCCTGCTTCAGCCTCCCAGTTAGCTGGGACTACAGGCGCCCGCCACCACGCCCAACTAATTTTTTTTTGTATTTTTAGTAGAGATGGGGTTTCACCGTGTTAGCCAGGACGGTCTCGATCTCCTGACCTCGTGATCCACCCGCCTCGGCCTCCCAAAGTGCTGGGATTACAGGCATGAGCCAGCGTGCCCGGCCAAGATGAATTTCTTAACCAGAAGTTCACATTAGAAACATGTGAAGAGACTTTTCAATGACTCACACTCAACCCCCAGCATAGCTCTGCTGAATCTGAAAACAAGTGGCAGATCTCAGACCTGAACCCAACTGCCCTGGCGTTCCATAGCACCAGGCGGCTGCTCGTGTTAGCATCCCATGCTCATGTCAGACTGGAGTGCATAATGCATAATTTAACTCATCTTTGGGTCATTCTTCTCTCCTAATGGCACTGCTAGATCGTGGTACTATACTAGAGACGCGAGTTATTAAATGTATAATTCTTCTCTCCTGACGACACTGCTAGATCATGGTACTATACTAGAGACACAAGTTATTAAATGTATAATAAATATATTTTTGGTTTATTGCCCCTCTCTCAGTACAGAAATGCATTTTGTCATCCCTCCTCATTTTCCAAGAGCCTTTAATATACAGGTTAGGCTAAGATAGCAGTTCTCAACTGGGGGTGCTTTTGCCACCTGGAGAACATTTGGCAATGTCCAGAGACATTTTGGGGTGTCATGACTGGGAGGCAGTGTTACTGGCATCTTGTGAGTAAAGGCCAGGGATGCTGCTACACATCCTACAATGCACAGGACAATCCCACAACAGAATTATATGGCCCAAAATGTCACTAGTAGCAAGGTCACAAAACCATAAGCCAATCTGTGGAAGAAGGGCTCAGACTGGGGGATTTGCTTCTGAGGGAGCTGAAAGAGACTTATAGAGGGGAAAAAACTCATGTGGGAACGAACGAGGGAAGAGAAGTGTAGGCCCTACCATTTAGGAGCATCAGAGAGGTTCTGAAGAGGAAACAAAGAGTGGAGATTAGGGAGACAGAGATGGCGGGGCAGTCTTGAGGTGTGAGGGAGTCTGAAACTGAGAGAAAATGGTGCTTTAGGTTAGGAGTTGGATCCTCTTTAATACTCCTCAAGAAATGCAAGTTTAGATGGGAATTACTTATGTTTTGGTATCTTTGAATGTGACATTGCTCTGGGACTGGGCCCATGGAATGCTAGCTGATAGTACAGTTACAGAACAGTCCCTAGAATTGGATCCCTTTCCTGAAGATGATGAATAACATCTTAAAGTGTCAAAACAATTTTTCCTTTATTTAATACTGTTTAGGCCTTAGGTCAACACCATGCTTTTCAGTGAGGAGGAAAAGGGAGGTGGGAGAAGCAGAGTCAAAGACCCAGAAAGGCTCTAGAAGCAGGTTTCTGGATTGGCTTTGGTCACCAAAACCCCAATCACATTGAACAAGAGTCATTCATGGTGACCCCAGGAAACCAAATAACTATATAATCTGTAGGTAAAATTCTTAGGCTGGTAAGGGCAGAACATTCTGGAAATACTGACTGTGGGAAAGGATATCCCCTGTCACAGATTTTTACCATAATGGCCCACAACAACTCATGCCACCCCATGTCCAGGCATCTCTGCAACACAGCATCATCACTCCTTTCAACAACAGGCAGCTCCATTGTTCCACCCTCTTGAATTTGGGCTGCCCTTGCCACTTGTTTTGACCAATAGGATGTGGCAGAAGTGATGTTGTACAACTCCTGAAACCTGGGCCTTAAGAGACCTTGCAGCTTCTGCTGTCACCCTCCTGGAACCCTGATATGTCCCTGCTATCAAGAAGTCCAGTGTTGCCTATGGGAGGAAGAGAAGGCGTGTCATGGAAAGCTGAGGCATCAATTACCAGACACATAAATGAAGCCACTGGGCTCTCCAGTGTCAGTCAAGCTGTCAAATGACTGCAGCTACGTGAGTGACCCCAGGCAAGACCAGCAGAAGAACCACCCAGATTGCCAATCCAGCAAATGAGGAGACAATAATAAATGATTGCTGTTTGGGGGTGGTTTGTTTCTCAGCAATTGGTAACTAAAAAAAATTCTCTCAAAGTCCCCAGGAACAAATTGCCTTAGGCAAAAATTGCTCACACAGGTGGAGAAGGCAGCTGTGTCCTCCTCACTGTTTCTCTTTCTCCTAGGCCTACAGCTCAATCTGGGTCTCAGGTAGTCAAAACTCTGAGGTCAGTAAAATGTCTTTGGCCCATTTTTGGTTCTTGTTAAGGATTCTTCTTTTCCCTCCCAGGAGCTCCTGTCCTCCCCACAGCAACTTCTAAAATACCAGGGCCACCAGGGGAGTAGCTAGTCACCACCAACCTTCTACCAGGCAGGACACCATGTTCCAAGAAGTCCTCCTCTTCTGGCTCACAAAAACTTTTCTTCCCTAAATATCCTGCTCCCACCTCGCAGTCACAGGGGAAATGGCTCAGATCTGTTGATTTATTAAGATGTGACTGACTGAAAAAATGTTTCAACAGTATTTATTAATGATGATATTGTGAGAATCCTGTGTGCCTTAGGCATATACCACTGCTAAGTTTACACTGACCAGGTAATGGGGCACGGAAGGAAAAAGAACCAGAGCTATGAAGGGATTTGCCTGAGGGCACAGAGCTCAGAAAGACAGAGCTCAAGTCTTTCAGACTCGGAAGAGAGTGTTTTTCCAGTATTTAACATCACCTGATCTATAGGTGTGACCTGGGATACCTAATTTCAGAAACTGTGCCAGGGAAAGGAAGGTCACTGGAGCATGTTTAGTCATTCAGTAAATGTTCGTGTGCTCACTGTCTGTAGGGCACTGTCTTAGCCATAGAGCTATATATAAGAATTACTGAGGATTTCTGAGCAAGTGAGCTCACGATGATATTCTAGTCCCCTGGAAGATCACTCTTCCAGTAACATAGGTGAAGGGATTAGAATATCGGGTACGCAGCTAGGAGGCTACTTCAGTGCCTGAACAGGCAGGTTAGAAAGTTGAGAAGTTGTTGGCCAGGTGCGGTGGCTCACGCCTATAATCCCAGCACTTAAGGAGGCCAAGGCGGGCGGATCACAAGGTCGGGAGATCGAGACCATCGTGGCTAACACGGTGAAACCCCGTCTCTAATAAAAATACAAAAAAATTAGCCAGGCATGGTGGCGGGCACCTGTAGTCCCAGCTACTCAGGAGGCTGAGGCAGGAGAATGGCGTGAACCCGGGAGGCAGAGCTTGCAGTGAGCCAAGATTGCGCCACTGCACTCCAGCGTGGGCGACAGAGTGAGACTCCATCTCAAAAAAAAAAGTTGAGACGTTGTTTGGAGGCAAAAATTCACAGAATCATAGTTATGTTTTGAGAGATAGGATGTACAACCTGCTCTCCCTAATGACATGTAATAATAAGGTTATGAACAGAGTCAGGCCAAGCTCTAGAATCAGACAGAAGTGGACTTGGATTCCTGTTCCTTCAATAGCTGTATAACGTTGTCCAAAATTTTGTGCTTCCTAAATCTCAATTTCCCCATATGTAAAATGGGTCTCATAATGATACCAGCCTCGGAAGATGGTTGTGAGTATTGAACATCATCACATAGGCAAAGCACTAAGTTTGTGCCTGGCTTATAAACATCCAGCAAGTGGTAGTTATTTTCACTGTTGCTCTGCTTGTATATGAATGTTTTCCCCACTTGCAAGCTTTTGCTGTGTGTCCATGTCCTCTTTCCTTTACCTTCATTGATGTGGTGTCATTGGGGTGTGTTTGAATGATTGGTCTGGCATTGTAGGGCCTTTGAGAAAACTGCATAAATATAATCTTTGGTGCTCCCAACTTCCATGCATTTTACCTATTGGTTTGACTGTGATTTTAAGAAGTCTTACTAAGTATCCAGCATTACCCTTGGGTCTGTATGACACAAATTTTGATTTAAGAAACTCAATTATCTGGGAAACTCAGGACATCTCAGGTTCTGGAAAATTGCCTCAAGGGATTAACCGGTTTAATGGGGGAAGGTAGCAATCCTCTTCCCTCCCACTGCACACTCCTCTGAAATATCAAAGTTTTTCCCAGTGTTTGAATTGAGTCATATGTCAAGAAAAGCACATTGCATTCCGTTGACATAAGACAAATGCCATATGTTAAGTTTATTTTTAAATGGTGGATAAGAACGGGGAAACCATGTTCCAGTCTGAGAAAATATTGATGCTGTGGTGTTGGTGAGGCAGGTTATGGTTTAATTCTTACCTGTGGATTAAAGAATGAAAAATGAACCTACATCCATGGCCTGACATCTGTGTAAATGGAACGTAGGGATGGAGGCCTGTCTGCCTGCCTTATGTTCTTGGGATAAAGTAAATACTGAAAGTCTTGAAATCTTTCCTAAGCCTAACAACATTGGCACAGCTGGGGCCCAGATGCACCGCAGGGCGGGTGGAAGGTCTTGGGCAGGGGAGACAAAGCAGAATGTGAGACGATGCCTTGGAGTTTAGGGAGGTGGGAAGAAATAGTGGGAAAAGGCTGCTTTTACCCAGAATTTTCCTTATGCACAATTAGAAAGTGGATGAAGTTGGAGTTTGAGCTGTCCCTTGTTGTGCTGGACCCCTGTTAACCTCAACAAGGATGGTATCATGTTCAAGAGGCCGAAGAGACTTGGAGCCAGCAGATGAGACACAGGGTTTTATTAGTGGGAAACTTACACACAGGGACGGTCCAGTGGCGGCAGACTGGGCAGAAGAACCACAACTGCTTGCAAAAAGCATGCAGTTTATATAGCATTTTCAGTTAGCACCCTCTGCCTAACAACCTCCACCTGGCAACCTTCAATTAACCCAAAACAAAGGGCCCGGATCTCCTGTACAGCTTACATTCCACAGGATGGATCCAAGGGCTTCAAATGTGCTTCACAGACAAGGAAAAAATCTCCCAGTTGGCCGCTCCTGGATTCCTTAGCTCGGAACTCCAGACACATATTCAGGTGCCATATGGGGTCATTTTCAGGGTAGGCTTAAGCAAGTTATTGCCGTCAGGTGCATCTGCCATACATCCCTCCACCCATCCCCTTTCTGGCCATCCTACCAGCTCACTCCCCATTCTATGTTCCACCCCCACCCTTCTCAATATTTACAGTCTCTCTTAATATGATCATGAGGGAAGTCTGGAAGTATCTCTTGAATCTAAAAATGCAGATGCCCCACACCTCATCTGTTCCCATCTTGGCACCATCCTACCTGCACCTCGGCAAGGAGATTTGGTCTCATGTTTGTCACCGCAAGCAATTGAAACAACTGGCGTGTCTGGCAACAGATGAAATAAGGCATGGTAATTTTGTATTGGTTCTGAGATATCTTGTTTGTAAAATGGGACTAGTATTGGCTGCTTATTTCATGGAGTTCCTTGAAGATTAAATAATAACAGTTCTTGGCAAACAGCAGTCTATAAATTTTAGCTACCTGTATGATTATTCTACTTCTTCCTACTACATGGAATACTGTGCAGCTGTTTTTAAAAAAATGATCTATGTTCTTCTATAGTAACAATGACTTCAAGGGCAAAAGAAAGCAAATGAAAACAATAAGCACAGTGTACCATTTTTATTTTTATTCAAAACAGCACCAATTGCCTGCCAAGAACACACTTACCCAGCTTATCTCATTTTTACCAGCCTCTCAGATATTCAAGAGGAACTGGAAAATAAAAAATGTACAGGAATAGCATTTATATGTTTAAACAATTCTTTACAAAACAAAATTATACAGTTTTGGGATATACATATGTGTATAAAAACAGAAAACTCTCAGCAAAAATACAGATCAAACTCCTAAAGAAGTAAAGTGAGATCAGGCACGGTGGCTCACACCTGTAATCCCAGCACTTTGGGAGGCTGAGGCAGGTGGATCGCTTGAGGTCAGGAGTTTGAGACCAGCCTGACCAACATGGTGAAACCCTGTCTCTAACTAAAAATATAAAACTTAGCTGGGCATGGTGGCGTGCACCCATAGTCCCCGCTACATGGGAGGCTGAGGCAGGAGAATTGCTTGAACCTGGGAGACGGAGGTTGCAGTGAGCTGAGATGGCACCACTGCACTCCAGCCTGGGTGACAAAGCAAGACTCCATCTCAAAAAAAAAAAAAAAAAAAAAAAAAAAAAAAAAAAAAAAAAAGTAAAGTGGATGAAATTTGGGGCTTTTTGTGTTTCTTTAATCTCTCAAAAAATTGAGGGGGTGTAGTTTGGGGTTAGAGGAAGGAATGATTTCAGTCTCATTCTTAATGGTTTTCATTTTGTATAGGAATTTATACTCATATACCTGTTACTTGTGCCATCAAAAAATACTTTAAAGGAGAAGGAGCAACCCATGCTCAGGTGTTCACTTTTAACCAAGTCAGGTGTTTGTTCTTGAGTAAGCATGACCTGAATCTTACAATCTCAGAAGAGGAGGGCCCCACTGGGACCTTCTAGAAAAGGTGTGTGATCTACATGCGAGGGAACTGAGGCAACTAGCTTAAGGTCACATAGCAGAGGCAGTAGGGAGGGAAGAGGGGAGGGAAGGAACAGGTGGCTGGCTTTGGGGTGGGGAGGAGTCATTGGATAAAAACTAGCTAATGTTGCAGAGCAGCTAAAGTTAAGGGGGCCTGAAGGCTGGAAGAAAGGAAGATGAACTAGAAGGATGTTAAAAGGTGTACGTAGCCGAAACACACAAAAGGAAAAATGTAGCATGCAAGTTTCTCAGGCTTTCCTTTTCCCAGTGCTTACTGAGTGGCTTCTGGGTTTGCCTGCTCACCCTCTAGGGCCTTTGGTTGTGTTAATGCTGGGAATAGCAGAAAGATAATTTAAAAATATCCAGAAAATCTTGACATCTTTACATTAGAAAAGACCAAGAACCTCATGAAAGAAAATAGCATATCCAAAATGTCAAAAAATATCCAGAAAAATCTTGAAATCTTTACATTAGAAAAGACCAAGACCCTCATGAAAGAAAATACCAGTTCCAAAATGTCAAAAAATATACAGAAAAATCTTGAAATCTTTACATTAGAAAAGACCAAGACCCTCATGAAAGAAAATACCAGATCCAAAATGTCAAAAAATATACAGAAAATCTTGAAATCCTTACATTAGAAAAGACCAAGACCCTGATGAAAGAAAATACCGGATCCAAAATGTCAAGGGTCAGGAGTCAAGAAAGAACCATGCGAGAGGGAGTCTGGAAAGCGTGGAGGTTGCAGGGAGATTCAACAAGAGTTGGCTGCACTCCAGAAACAATGGGATAAAAGGCGGAAAAGAGAACTTTATAACATTTCTGTGAGTTAAAAATGCAATCCCCTTTGCTCATTGTTTCTTGAGACTTCAGTAAAAATTTAAATTGTTCTTCAATATTTTCTGGATGTCGGACTTCACGCTATATTGAATGAGACAGTAGACCAAGTTACTAATGATGGCACTAAAAATCACCACTGCTGATGGAACTGGAAGGGGATAAACAACACTCTGAAATGCCAAGTTAGTATTAAGAGTATTAGAAACAGGCCCTCTCTCCGAATTGTATCTCCCAACCATCTTCACTCCTTGCTCTCCTCCCTTTGTTTCTCAGGCAAATACAAAAGTGACACGGTGGTCATATAAAGTCCACAATTGAAACCACTTTTTTTCCAATGTGATTTTTAGAAAGGTTTTCATAACAGCACCATTTGCCTACCAGGAACACACTTTCCCAACTTTTGATTCTCATCTCCATAAGCCTTTGAGACTTTCAGTGAAACTAGAAAATGGAAATATGTAAAAACAGCACATGTCAAATCATCGCAACTTGGAAGAATAAAATATTCTCTCTCTTTGTTTCTCTCTCTCTCTCTCTCTCTCTCTCACACACACACACACACACACACACACACATAAACACACACAAACATGAGGAAGGGAAAAAAAACCAACTCATGTCCTCCATTTGTGCTGAGAGAGTACCAGGTGGGGGTGCTTAGGGACTTACTAAATTTGGTGCCCTGTTGAAAGCATAAGGTTTTTCTACTTAGTTATAAGCAGCCACTGCAGAGCGTTGGTTTATCCGCCCTTAGTGACCTTAGCCTGGTGAATGGGTTTTATGTACTGCATTTTCCAAACAGATCAGAATATGGAATATGCATTGACGTTTATGTGCCAAAAATTACCTGGGTGGCACCTTCCTAAAAGAATGGAAATGATTCTCCTGAATCCCGCACACGTTGAACGAAGAATAAACAACCTTGTTGAAAGAGTCTGCATGACCTGGAATGCTAAAAAGCCTTTGGTTTGCTTGCTGTAGTGCAAAAATATGAGAAATATTTAATCTTTAAAAATACACAATGGTATCATAATTTTGCTGCAGGTTCAAAGGCAGCACAATATAACTTAGGGTATTTAAAATGTAATGTCATTGTATATTTTCAAATGCAAACAGCAGAGAGTTTGATAAATAGCTAGAGAGCACCAGACCATATCTTATCCTTATAAAAGTGTCTCCTGTGAATGTTCAGTGTATCTCTCAGAACATTCTTAATATGCTCCATAGCTGAATGTGCAGACAGCAACTCTATAGAAATGTATACACCTACTTGGTGTGCGGTCTATGTCGATTCCAAGTGAAGCTTATATAAATTTCAGATGCCCAGCCTTTTGCTTTTGGAAACACATCTAAATGTTTATAATTTTCTAGATCTCTTCTATACCCAGGGTTTTAAAAATTTTATTTTTGACACAATATTCCTGTTTTTTAAATAATCAAACCAAGTTATTTATAATATATCTTGATCTGTTTTAATCCATGTTTGATGTTTAATTGTGTATTTAAAACTATATGAGTTTTATATCATAAAATTGATATATGGTCATTATAAAATGGATTTGGTATAGTGTATGTTTAATTCAACTACAAGTAACAAAGACGTAAATATGGGGATTTATTGGCTCTTATAAAGCCTGGAACCAGGAACCAGGCAGCAGAGCAGCACTATCTAATAGGACTTTCTGTGATGATGGAAATATTCTATTATTTGTCTTGTCCAGTTTAGTAGCCACTAGTCACAGGTAGCCACTGAGCACTTTAAATGTGGCTTAGTAGGGCTGAAGAATTAAACTTTTTATTTTATGTTATTTTAATTAATTTAAAATATTCATATGTGGCTACTGCTACTATCATAGCAGACGGCAAAAGTGGTAGCAGGTTGGTAGGAAGGAGACTCATGGTCCTTCATCCTAGTGTTCTCCCCTCCATGGCTTCTGCCCTCCAGATCTCCTCATGGTCCAAGATGGCTGCTGGGAGCATACCAGGAATCCACATCCCAAGCAGCAGAAAGCAACATAGGCAAAAGGGCAAATATCTTCCCTTTCTAGAAGCCCTTTCTAGCTGTCATATACAACACTTCTACTTGCCTAGAACTTAGTCTTATGACTACACCGAGCCATAAGGAGTCTGGAAAATATTTGGGGTTTATTTTATTTGTGTATTAATTTTGTTCTGTTTTGGTTTGATTTTGTTTTCTTTTTTGACTGAAGAAGGGATTCGAGGGCAGGTAGTTCACAGTCCCTGCCACAAAAAGTTGCACAGTTCATCATTCCCTTCCATTCCTCCGATCCCCAACCCAAACCCATTACTAGTCCTCAGAGATAACTGCCATTAATAACATTGGATGTAACCATCTGGCAAATTCATTTGTACACAAACATATACCGTTTTTACATTATGCACTATTTACAGCGTATCTTGGATGGCTTTCGATGATAGTATATATAGATCTACATAGTTCTACTTCATTCAATAGACAATAAATTCTATGAGGGCAAGAACTGGGCCTGCTGTATTCATCTTTGTGCCCTACATATAGTAGACATTGAAAGAAATCAGCACCATTGTGTCTCAATTTACGGATGTACCATAATTTATTTAATCCATTCTTTTCTCCCAACCCTCCAAATAACAAATCCTCCCGAGACAAAACAACTTTGCTTTATTCTCAGAGAACTCTGCAGCATTAACTAAATTAGCTATGCCCCTGACAATCTAATTTTCTAATTGTCTTTCCAATCAACTGCAAAAATTGATTGTCTCCACTCTTTTGTGATTTGATTCCATTGCTATAACAACTCAAAAATATGTATCCATGTATCTTTTACTCCAGCCATGAAGATATGTGTGGATTTAGAGACAGCACCGCTAAGGAAAAAATCAAACTGTTTAAAAATTCTCTTAAGAAAGGAAATAAATCACTTCTTTGTGTTTTCCAGACATGGCCTAGTACAGATATGTTCTACAACTGGAAAAAAATGGTTATGATTGAGGCTTAGAAGTGGAGTGCAGTGAAGAAACTTTAGGGAAGCCTGACAACCACACCCTCTGCTGATCCCTGTGGAATTTTACATGGATAATGAGTAAAAGGTATAGCTGAAGAAACAGAGAGACAGTTTGGCAAACAGGAAAGAAGCACGAACCCCTGACTTCATTTTCTTATCATTCAAAGGGTGACAGTGTCCCTTGCATCGTGTCCAGCATCATGGTGTGAATTCGATGAAATCATCAACGTATTCACCTACCGTATGTTGCCTGGCACATAGCAGCACTCACACAATCAGAGCTGTGTATGTGGAAAATATTCACGTGTTTCCCACATACTGGAATGGGTCCTAAGAACCACTGAGTCCATTTAAGGAGAGAGATTTTTTTTTTCCTTTTTTGAGACAGAGTCTCACTCTGTCGCCCAGGATGGCGTGCAATGGCGCGATTATCGGCTCACTACAACCTCCACCTTAGGGAAAGAGATCTTTACAACAGTCTCTACCATAGCGAGTAACTGAAACTGTTAGGGCCTGCAATGTAGCATATTTTCATTTCTGTATAAAGGCATCCTTACTGATATATAGTCCATACATATTTGGGTATCTCCTATACTAATCGATTAAGGCATTCTTGATACCTAGAGGACATAAAGACCAGCACAATATGCAGGACAGCGGCAATCCACTAGACCAGAAAGAAGCTCCATATTACAGACACCAGGAAATGTTTCTAAACCAGAGATTTCCCTCAGTCATCTGCACCAGAAATCCTTAGAGCTGCTAGTTAAAATGTAAATTCCTGGGGCCCAATTAAACATGCAGAATCAGAATTCACAGGGGTGAGGTCTACAGGCCTCCAATTTAACAAGATGACCAGGTCATTTTTGTGCATAGAAAAATTTAAAAATCATTGTCCAAGAAGGACTTAAATTGAGTAACAATAACTAAATCGAATAACTGGATGCTTTTTAGAACCTGTCTTTTTGAAGTGACACAGCTGACACAGTAGAATACAAAGAGGAGTAACACAGGTACCCTCTCCTCAAGAACACAGTGTCACGAGCAGAGTAGAGATGAGTAGGAGGAGAAACAGCAGAAAGGAAGGAGGGATTAGCTCTTTAAGACATTGCTAGGGGAAGCTTTAAAGAACAGGTGATATCTGAGCTAGGCTTTGAAGGCTGAACAAGAGTTCACCAAGTTGCCGAGCTGGCACAATACATAGTCTAGGGCAGTACTTCTCAGACGTTACTGCATATAGGAATTGCCTGGGGAGCCTGTTAAAATGCAAGCTCTATTTCAATCAGTCTGGGTTAAAGCTCGCAGATGGTGCTAATGTTCCATGGACCACATTTTGAGTAGCAAAGCTCTAGAGAAAGAAATGGAATAGTCATAATGAATCAGACAAGTGTGTATTAGTATGTTCTCATGCTACTAATAAACACATACCCAAGACTGGGTGATTTATAAAGGAAAGAGGTTTAATGGACTTACAGTTCCACATGGCTGGGGAGGCCTCACAATCATGGTGGAAGGCAAAGGAGGAGTAAAGTCAAGTCTTACATGGTGGCAGGCAAGAGAGCATGTGCAGAGGAACTCCCCTTTATGAAACCATCAGATCTCATGAGACTTATTCACTATCATGAGAACAGCACGGGAAAGACCTGCCCCCCGTGATTCAATTATCTCCCACCAGGTCCCTCCCATAACACGTGGGAATTGTGGGAGCTACAATTCAAGATGAGATTTGGGTGGGGACACAGCCAAACCATACCAGTTTCCATTCTTCTGATAGTGAGGCAGGAATTACATAGTTTGTTGCAACCTTTTTGACTTCTCTTATGGAGAACCAACTGATCTCTTCCCTTCTACTCAGGAATATCATTAACTATCATTAAATAAATACACCTCTTAGGCATCTCACCCTAGACCCTGCTACATGGAGTTACCTGAAGAAAAAGCAATTCAATCTAAAACCAATATCAGCAATTCTAAGCATTCAGTAAACTGGCCAGTACATTTTAGTGGTTATTGTTTTACATCTATTTTCCTGTATCTTTTACTGTTCTGCCCTTCACCTCAGCCACAGATTTACTTCTTTTTTTATTGTATCCTCAAATTAAGGAACAACAGAACATACTTTCTCCAATACAAATTCTCAGTGCTCCCCAAGTCCCACCTGTATACCACACCTCGGGGAAGATGCCAGAGATTGACTCTCTCATTGTCTTTGTTATGTTCTAAGAAATTCCCCCTACAATTACAGCTCTAAGCTTAACCTTTCTCCTAATCTCTAGACTGTCCTGCCAATAGAGAATACAGTGAAACGGTATGGAACATACACAGTGGAACAGAGGACACTGATGGAACAGTGTTTATAAGCACAAAGTTTGGAAGTACGGAATCCTAGATAAAATCCTGACTGTGGAATTAACTGCGTGACCTTCGGCAAATTACTTCATCTCTTTGAGCCTCAGTGTCTTCACATATAAAATGAGAATAATAAAAGCCCTTATCTCATAGTATTTCTGAAAGGGTTAAAAAAGCAAACCTAAGTAAAGGGCCCAGTACCTGGTTTGTCAGAGTTATTTTAAAAAAAAATTGTAGCTGTCATCATAATCAGACTCACTCTCCCTACTGTATAACCTCCACTGTCACCTCCATTTCAGTTCCAATCCCTGTACTGACCCAGATGCCCTATTCACACACCTGAACACCCTGCACCCATCCGCCTTCACAGTGCCTTCTATTACCCATAGATACTACTCTGTTTTTTTTGTCTGAAGCCATTTTCTGCTTGTGTATTTCTTCTGAAAGACTGAATCTTGTTTGCAGAGAAGGACAAACACACCCACATAACCCACGTTTGCTATCTCACCATGTTTTATTATAAGGCTTGTGGACAATCATGACAGGCAAGGGAAAAGGCAGCCTAGGAGAAAATGTTCCTGGATGCACTTGCCAAGCCAAGGTGTGGCCATGACAACCTGTGTACACACATGGATACCACTGAGATTTTTCTGTTTAGGATTTTGGCTTGCTTAACTACTGATCATATCTAATCTGTCTCATATATTTGAAGTAATTAACTACTGTTCTGTGTCCTGCAGTGCACTTGCATATTGCCACAATGACAGGCATTCCAAACTTTTGAAAGTTTGCTACTTACATCAAGATGGACTGAGTACACTTAAGTAGAATCTTGAAACACTTAAATAGTTAACCAATTTATTGTGAAATCAGTTCGCCCTTTCACACTTAACTCTGTAAGTGTCTCAGTTCATCATATCTGGAGATTCAATGTAGCACATGTGTTGGGAAGGAGAGTTTTTTCTTTGTGTAGTGTGTTGTCTTTTGTCCTGGAATAGGACAATGGGTAAGTAATGGATTATCAGGAGAAGTGAGAAAACTGATTTCCAATTAGTTTTCTTCCTCGAAGTGATTTAGGAGAGGTGAACTTTATTTCCTCAGCTGGCATTTTTCAAACTTTCAAAGATTGATTCATTCAAAAAAATGTTCCTGTGTGCTTCTATGTATGTGAATAGGATACACTAGGGATACACTGATCCCAGCGCACCTCCAGGATTTCTCTGTACAAAGGTCCATGGGCAGCATCTGACTGGAACGGAGAGAGCCATGGCACCTTCTACAAAGCCTTATGTGTACAGCAAGGATGTGCACCAAAGGATGCTGTTTCTCCTTTAGTTATTTATTTGAGGCAGTTTGGGGTGAAGGTCCTGATCAGCATCATTTCAAATCCATTTTCCTACTCTGAGCCTTAGAAGAGGGGCTGAAGCTACTCCTTGGCTCTGCTACTAATTGTTAAATGAAACAAACGTGATGCCTCCCATCACGGCGGTTACAGTCTAGTGAGGGGACAAACAGACAATGAATGAGGAAAGAAACAAAAAAGTTGAATGAAGATGGCAAGAAGTGTTGTTAAGGAGATGAATAAGGTAGTGTGATAGAGAATAATGAGGAAGACCAGGGCAGGTGACACGTAAGGAGAAATTTGAGAACGAAGCATCAGGCATACAAAGAACAGAGGAACAGGTCTGTGTGCCGGTAGAAGGCACATGAGCCTAGAGGTGAGAGTAGAGTTGTATCTGCAGTGTGGGATGCCGGGGATGAATAGCGCTAGATGAGGTTGGAGAGGAGGACAGAGCTACATCCCACAAACTCCATGTAAGTAATGGGTTTATGTGTTATACCAAGTGTAATAGAAAGCCACTCAAAGATTTTGCAGAGCAGGACTCCTCCCTTTTTTATTATGTGAAATCTTACTTGTAAGACCAATATTTTAAATGATTAAAGCAGACCAACTCAGATTGAAGCAAGGATGGGGAGGCAGAGCTTGCCAAAGAGGTGTTCTCCTCCCGGGCTCACTCCTGTGGCACCTCCCTGAGCCATTAGCTCTGCAGGCCACAGTTAGCTCGCCGTTCTAGGCAAAGGGGAGCCAGAGCTGATATTTAAGGCAGATAATGATTTCAACTAGGGGTGAGTGAAAAGAGTGGCATCAGGACCTAGAGTCACCCTGCTCTGGAGAAAACAGATTTGAAATGATGCTGATCAGGGCGATCACATGATTTCTGTTAGCATTGTTCAGCATCCCAAGCCAGGATTTGAGAAAGTGGACACCTGGAGTTGGGTAAGACAGTTGCAACCAGAGCTCTAAGGTGTTGGTTATAGGTCCTAGTTTGCTAGGAAAGAAGAAAATAACTCAGGGGAGGAATGGAGGAAGAAAGTCAAGGAAATAGAGCCCCCAGGAGATCAAAGGGAATATTAGCTGGGCAAGTGCAAGGAAAAAGCAGAAGAGAGTGCCAGGGGTATTGGGTAGAGATGTTCTGGGTGACAAGATCCAAAATGCAACCTGTGACTGGGAGTGGTGGCTCACACCTGTAATTGCAGAGCTTTGGGAGTCCAAGGCAGGAGGATCACTTGAGGCCAGGAGTTTCAGACCAGCTTGGGTAACATAGCAAGACCCCATCTCTATTAAAAAAACTGTAAAAATAGGTCGGTGTGGGGATGCATGCCTGTAGTCCCAGCTACTCAGGATGCTAAGGCAGGAGGATGGCTTGAGCCCAGGAGATGGAGGCTGCAGTGAGTTATGGAGCACCACTCCACTCCAGCCTGGGCAACAGAGCAAGACCTGGTCTCAAAAAATTATAATTTTAAAAATAAATAACTAAACAAGAGAGAAAAAAAGCAGGCTGGGCACGGTGGCTCATGCCTATAATTCCAGCACTTTGGGAGGCCAAGGTGGGTGGATCACTTGAGGCCAGAAGTTCGAGATCAGCCTGGCCAACATGGTGAAATGCCATCTCTACCAAAAATACAAAAATTAGATGGGCATGGTGGCATGTGCCTGTAGTCCCAGCTACTTGAGAGTCTGAGGTATGAGAATCACTTGAATCACAGAAGCTGTAGTGAGCCAAGATTGCGCCACTGCACTCCAGCCTGGGCAAAAGAGCGAGACTCTATCTCAAAAAAAGAAAAGAAAAAAAAGAAAAACAAAAAACAAATCATAGCTTGTGCATTACTAAGACAAGTGCAGTTAAAGGTTGCTGGAATGTAAGAGACCCAGGAAGTGTGAAGTCATTGGCTGGCTGAGCAGTAGGAGTGCTGAAGTCATGCAGGACGTGGTAGGAAGGATGGACAGAACTGTATACTGGGTATGGATGAGAATTCATCAATATATCATGGTGACAACAGTGGGGAGAGGGTGATAGAGCTGAGTTACAGAGTCTTAAAGAGTAAAGATTATTTGTTGTAACTTAATCAGTATTTCAGAAACCCAAAAGTGTATTTAAAAAGGTATTTATTATCCTTTGTATCTATCACTCAGCTTAAGAAAGCTTTATACCAACACTATTGCAGTCACCTGTGTAAATCCTAACGTATTTGTTCTCCTTTCTACTCTCACCAATATAACCACTGTTCTAATATGATGCTTATTATTTCCAAGCATTGCTTTACTTTTTTACTATATATAAAGTTTCCTTTAATGAAGCTTTGTTTTCCATGTCTTTAAATGTTGTGTAAATGATATACTATGTATTTGTCCACAATATGCTTTTTTTTTTTTTTTTTTTTTTTGAGACAGAATTCCGTTCTTGTTGCCCAGGCTGGAGTGCAATGGTGTGATCTCGCTTCACTGCAACCTGTGCCTCCTGGGTTCAAGCAATTCTTCTGCCTCAGCCTCCTGAGTAGCTGGGATTACAGGCATGTGCCACCGTGCCCAGCTAATTTTGTATATTTAGTAGAGACAGGATTTCTCCATGTTGGTCAGGCTGGTCTCCAACTCCCAACTTCAGGTGATCTGCCCGCCTCGGCTTCCCAAAGTGCTGGAATTACAGGCATGAGCCACTGCACCTGGCCTACAATATGCTTTTATCATTCAACAGTAAATTATATAATATATAAAATATTTACTTATATAACATGTATATATTATATATACTATAGTATATATAATATATTTATATTTATATTATATTATATATACTATATTATATACTATATATACTATATTATATATACTATATATACAGTATATATAGTATATATACTATATATACAGTATATATAGTATATATACTATATATGTGTATATATATGAAGTATATATATACTATATTATATATACAATATATACATATTAGTATATATTGTATTATAGTATATATTGTATAATATAGTATATTGTATATAATATTTTGTATATAATATTATTGTATATAATATTTGTATATAATATAGTATATTGTATATAATATATTGTATAATATAGTATATATATAATATAGTATATAGTATATTATATATACTATACTATAGTATATATAGTATATCCTGGGTCTCTTACATTCCAGCAACCTTTAACTGCACTTGTCTTAGTAATGCACAAGCTATGATTTGTTTTTTGTTTTTCTTTTTTTTCTTTTCTTTTTTTGAGATAGAGTCTCGCTCTTTTGCCCAGGCTGGAGTGCAGTGGTGCAATCTTGGCTCACTACAGCTTCTGTGATTCAAGTGATTCTCATACCTCAGACTCTCAAGTAGCTGGGACTACAGGCACATGCCACCATGCCCATCTAATTTTTGTATTTTTGGTAGAGATGGCATTTCACCATGTTGGCCAGGCTGATCTCGAACTTCTGGCCTCAAGTGATCCACCCACCTTGGCCTCCCAAAGTGCTGGAATTATAGGCATGAGCCACCGTGCCCAGCCTGCTTTTTTTCTCTCTTGTTTAGTTATTTATTTTTAAAATTATTATTTTTTGAGACCAGGTCTTGCTCTGTTGCCCAGGCTGGAGTGGAGTGGTGCTCCATAACTCACTGCAGCCTCCATCTCCTGGGCTCAAGCCATCCTCCTGCCTTAGCATCCTGAGTAGCTGGGACTACAGGTATGCTTCCCCACACCCAGCTATTTTTAAAATTTTTTAATAGAGATGGGGTCTTGCTATGTTACCCAAGCTGGTCTGAAACTCCTGGCCTCAAGTGATCCTCCTGCCTTGGGCTCCCAAAGCTCTGCAATATAGTATATACTATACTATAGTATATTATATATACTATATTATACTATAATATAATATAGTATATATAATATATATACTATATTATATTATATCATAGTATATAGTATAGTATATAGTATATTATAGTATAGTATATATATAGTATATAGTATAGTATATAGTATATTATATAGTATATACATATTATGTAATATGTATTTTTATACATTATATAGTATATATGTATCATATAATGTATAAAATATACACATTATTTTCCTGAATATATATACACATTATTTTCCCTAATATATAGAGTATATATAATGTATAAAATATGTATCCATATTATAGAATATGTATATATTATTATAAAATATGTATCCGTATTATAGAATATGTATATATTGTATCATATATAGAATATGTATATATTGTATAATATATAGAATATGTGTATATTATAGAATATGTATTCATTGTATAATATGTACATATCCTATAATAATATATACATAGCTATATATACATATTCTATAATATGTATATACAATATATACATATTCTATATGTATATACATATGTGTATATGTATATATATGTGGCAAATGCATTTTTAAACTTTTTTATAATTTTTCTTTTTGCTATCTTTTGTTGAGCCTATTTTCTTAATTATATACATATTTATAATATGTATATAAAAATACATATGTTATACATTATATGTATATATTTCATATATAAATATATATAGTATACATTAATTATAATATATATTTATATAATATAAATTATACATACTGTATATTTATATATTGTATAGTATACATATATTAAGTATGTCATATATATTAAGTGTATGTAAGTATAAATATATATTAAGTATACACAAAGTATGTATACATATATCAAGTATATAATATATAATACATATAATATATATAAAATATATGTACGGTATATCTACATACATATATAGAGAGGGAGAGTTCACGTTCACTGCTGCATAGTTTTTTATTATGTGAATATGCAATTTAGCCTTCTTCCTCTTGGAGAACATGAAGTCAGTTCTAATGTGTCTCATTTCAAACACTGCTCCAGTGAACACCTTTTACGTATCTTCATGTGCGTCTGGGTGAGAGCTGCTCTGGTCTTACCTAGCTGTGAAACTCTTGGTCATAGTGTGAGGGCTTCTTTAGCATGACTAGATACTGCCAAATTGCTCTTTCGTGTAGTCATAAACATTTATATTCTCTCCAGGAGTCTAAGTTTCCATTACTCCATATCGTCATCTCCACTTGATATTATCCAACTTTTTAATAGGGTGTGAAATGATATTTACTAAGGTTTTGGCATCTACTTCCCTAATTACTAGTGTGGTTAAGAATCTTTTCATATTTTTGTGGGTATTCATGTTTCTTGGTCTGTGAATTGCTTCAATGTATCTATTACCCATTTTCTGTAAATTGGTGTTATTTTTTAATTGGTATATAGAACCTCATTATATATTCTAGACACTAATTCTGAGTGGCAAATGCATTTTTAAACTTTTTTTAAAATTTTATTTTTGCTATCTTTTGTTGAGCCTATTTTCTTAATTTTAATATTGAAAAATGTATCAGGCTTTTCTGTGCTGTATTTAAGAAATCCTCAAAGGAAAAGTTCTAGAATGAGTGTGATCTGGAAGCATCCATGATCAGTGAGGGAAAAATCTGTCTTTTACTTTTTGTCCTGAGTTATAGAAAGTAAGAAAGGTTGAATGACCTCTACTTGAAAAAAGGATTGCTATTAAGTTTTCTAGGGAAAAGACTGCATTGTATAGTGATATTTCATGTCAAGCAAAGAGAATTCTAGAGACTTCAGTAGAAGGGGGTTGGTGGTGGACAGGCAGGACAAGGAATGAAAGAGAAAGGATGAGTAAGGCAGAGGTGAAGAAGAAAAGGAAGTGGTTGGAAGGGCTCACTTTCTGGCCAGTGATCATGCATCCCAGCAGCAAAGGGAGGCAAAGTGGAAGAGGGAACTGTTGTAGATCTCTTCAGCCCCTGGGCTCTTTGCAGACTTAAATGTACATGTGAATCACCTAGGGATCTCATTGAAATTCATATTCTAATTCAATAGGTCTGGGACCCAAGACACTGCATTCCTAACATTAAAATTAATATTCTAATTCAGTGGGTCTGGGACTTAAGATACTGCATTCGTAACAAGCTCCCAAGCGATGCTGATTCTGATGGTGCAGAGCCTATCAAGGTAGTACACCATCCTTTGCATCCTTCAACAGTGCATTTCACAATAAGCTAAGTGGTTTCAGAAAGAGTATTCACAAACAACAGATCTACAAAAATATTGTTTGACCCAGAACATTTCTAGTTTCTTCCAGAGATTTATACTTTTTTCCTTCTTCCAGTTCCCCAGGTCATCAGACTAAACATCCAAGCATGTGAATAACAAGGTCGGAGGCCATTGCTTTGATTGGACACAGCTGGTGCCTGGGCCGGGCAATGGGAACTAGGCTGGGCTGTCTAGGGGCTTTCTGGTGACTGAGGAAGCTGAAGTGACTCAGGCTGATGGCACACACTCTCTTAAAAGAAAATGGGAGGAAATGCCTGAAAACTAAGCCTAGGATCCCACAGGGAGGGCAGAAGGGCTAACCTCACTTGACACAATTTATCATATGCAGTTGTTCTAGAAGAGTCAGGCAAATATGACATCCAGGTATCAGGTTGTACAATGACTTTGCTAATTTGAGCACCTAAACTAGCCCAGTTAGTATTCCCATCCTAAGGATATGTTATCATGAATGGTGCCATCTGTTTATCTATCTGCCTATCATGGGTCCAATAATCATCTGTCAGTTTATTTTTCCCAGAAATGTATGAACCACTTTTAAGCCCAGGGCTTTAAAGAAATGGAGGAGGCTGGGCTCGGTGGTTCACACTTGTAATCCCAACACTTTGGGAGGCTGAGGTGGGAGGATACCTTGAGTCCAGGAGTTCAAGACCAGCCTGGGCAAAATAGCGAGACTCCAACTCTAAAAAAGAAGAAGAGGAAGAAGAAGAAGGAGAAAGAGGGAGGATGGAAGAAGAAAGAAGGAAGAAAAAGAAAGAGAAGGAGGAGGACAAGGAGAAGGAGAGAAAGAAAGAAGGGAAGAGGAGGAAGAGAAAAGAGAAGAGAAGAGAAGGAAATTCAAGCGCTCATTGAGAGTTTGTCATTTACTAGCTCTATAACCTGGGAGAAAAGGCCACTTTACCTCTCTGAATCTCAATTTCCTCATTCATAAAATGGAGAAAATGATGTTAATACTTTCTAAAGATTATAGTTTGTGATTTTCCTTTTATTTTGGTCATTTTTAGCTCATTTAAATCAAAATTTCTGTAGAGGAGCCATGAACATCCATGTGCTTAGCAAACGCTGAGGTCCTTTAGTCTGACTGAGAAATGAGAGAAAAAAAGAAACCATCTCTTGAAGGAACAGTGGAAATAATGTGGCTTCAACGAGATTGCTATAGATCTGTTACCTTGTGGACACAGTCCAAGGCCATTTTGGTTCGTCTTGAGAAATGCTCAATCCAAGAACTCTTAGAGCTTGTTGGAGCTCAACTGATATAATTTTAAGATGATTTTGCCTTCCTCCATGAAATTCATTATTTATTACTCTGAATGGCCTAAATCAACTGACAGTTTTTGCTGTGCTGATTGAAGAGGCACATTTCCATTTGTGAGAAATGTATTGCTTTAGCCATGAATTCTTTTCTCTGAGCTACATCGTATGTTGGTTTTCCCCCAATTTTTTTTTCTTTTTTAAAAAAATAATTTTGGGGGTTTCTATCATGTTAGGAGAAAATGGAGATCAAAAGACTTGCACATTGTCTTGAAATTCAATTACTAGGTTTTGTTGTTGTTGTTGTTTTATTTTTTTAAACACTGAATCTTGGAGTCAGGGCATCTGAGTTCCTCTTTGTTGTTGCCTCTTTTGCAAAAAGAGAAATGAAAACAAGCCCTTGGAAGACCCTGGGCCCCAGAGCATGGAAAAATTTATTGTCATGCAGGATGCATGAAGGGCTTCAGAAGTTTGAGATGAGAACAGGAATTCGAGTGGCCTCAAAAATACTCTACTTTCAGGAGGACACTTGGATTCAACTGGGAGGCAAAGGCTGTTTTAAACAATGAGGGCAACCTTTCTCTCTTGCTACCAGTGAGATGTCAGAACTGGTCCTTACCGTGGGGGAGGGGAAAATAAAAGACAGAGAAATTCCCTCCGCAAGGACCCAGTGTTAAAATGCTGAGCTGCAATTATACTTCAAGGAGATGCCCAGCTGGAAGTATTTGAAAGGATTTTGACACCCAGTGGAAAACTCCAGAAGGGGTCCTGGGGTTAGAGGTCGTGTATGTAGCCTTAACGGCTACCTAGGACAGAGTTGTTTTTCTATCAGCACTTGACAGGTGAGTCGTGGACATCACATCTGCCTCCTGAGGGAGCTGACAAAATGTCAGGGCTCCACGCCCAGCTCAGCTTAGCATCACTCACTGCAGGCCCTTGTACAAACAGTTTCCAGTCACCAGGCCCTTTCTTTCCATTCAGCCTTTTTTAAAGTTAAACAAAGTCACTGGCCATCACGAAGAAAATATTTAAAGCATTATATGGAAAAAAGGGAGTGCAAAATGGGACTGTACTTTGCTGTGTTTGGATTATAAACAAATATTCACACCTGTGTTAGGCCTCCGGCTGATGAAGCACCTAGCCAACTATTTGAAACAAACACTGTTTCATACTTTTCATAACTCCAAGTCATTTTAGCATATATTGCCAAGACTGCAAATTAAAACACGAAGAAGAGAAAGACCAGTGTATTCTGTGGGTGATTAACCATGGGAGAAAAATTGCTAAATTGGTGGAACCTCACCACCAATCTGTGATATATTCCATTTCTGCATTCAACAGTCTTGCTGGAGGTGGAATATCTTTAAAGTAGCATTTAAAGAATTGATGGTGTTGATACATTTCTCCAACACATAAAGTAAAAATTAGTGGATACCTTTCACCACAACATTCATGCCAAGCATTAAAATCAGAACAAAAATCAAAGTCAGGAAAACTAGCATGATCAATTTAGTAAAAAATGTGGTCAGGTCAGCCTCACTAAGGGCAGTTTCTTGTTTTTAACTATGATCAGCCCAGTAGCATAGTAACTCCATAGTACCCAAATATTGATTGGGTTTCCAACACTCCAAAGTTGGCTGACTACATAGAGACAGCTCCTATCAACAAACGAATGAGGCCTTTGCTGCTTCATTCTGTGCAGTTAAGTGCATCTTCTTAAGAGATCTTCAGAGGTAATTACCTGGTTATTTTTAGAGCCATGGGGAGCACTGTTCCCTTGTTCATTTCCCTCACAGATCTGTGTAAAGTTATTTGCTGGATTTGACTTTCTGGAATTCAGGGTTGGCTCAGGGACCAAGTGAACCACTTAATAGTTGCCAACTGGTAGCCGGACACTGTAGTAGACACAGCCAACGAGGTTCCTTGCGTGATGGCTGAGCTCCGTGGGTGGTCCTCGTGTTCACACAACTGACTTGCCCTTTAGAGACCCCAAGCAGCCCCAGAAGCCACTGGAATTTTTGATGAATGTTGAAAAAAATATATATGGAGAGCCATTTTCTTAGATGAAGGCTGGTAGATTTGTATTCAACTTTTAGGCTGAAAATGAGCCCCGGCCATGGGTTTTCCTTCTCCTTGTAGACACTGGGTATGCATGGTTACCAATCACAAAGCCATCTCGTGATTGGTCCTGAAGGGTATTTTCATTTTGTTTGAAATGGCTGGAATATTTATGGAGGGAGGACTGTGTGCTGGAGGAGAAATGAGGCCACACTCAGAAATGAATGAAGCGGGGATCCTGGCCTGAGGAGGGTTTTCTTCTGTCAGGGAGATGAATCAGACACAGGTGATTTTTCACACCAGAAAGAGCTGTGGAAGTTCTAAAGAGGGTGATGCCTTTCTTTGAGGCTAGCAGAAAGGAAGTTGATTGAGAAGAGAGATTAGAGTTTCTCAACCTTGGCACTCTTGATATTTTGGACGGGATAATTATTATTTGTTTTTGGGGGGCTGTCCTTTGGGTTGTAAGACATTGAACAGCATCCCTGGCCTTGACTCACCAGATTCCTGTAGCACAGACACACACAGACTCCCGCTGTGACAATCAAAAGTGTCTCCAGACATTGCCAAATGTCCCCTGAAGGGGATAGTCACCCCTGATTGAGAAGGGCTAGTCTAAGGTACTGTTTCTGAGACTTAGACCAAGGGTTAATTGCATCAGAATCACCTAGTTGCTTGTTAAAAACACCATTTCCTAGGCTCCCCCGCTGCCCACTGTCCCCCCCCCTCCCCCCAGCGGCCCCTGATGAATCAATCCATGTCTATAAGTAGGTCCCAGAAGTCTGGCTTTTAGCAAGTTTCTCAATTGAGCATAGCAGTAAAGCTGGCTGCAGGCATATGAGTTTTACCTGTTCAGTAAAGTTATCTTTCTGATCAAAGAACAGAGTATCACTAATGCTCTAAGGGAAGTTCTTGAGAACTTGAAGTAAGGTACTCTCATAGATTTGATTCAGGCCTGACTTCCCTATATTGAATTTTTTTTTTATGTCAAGCTATGCTGAAAGGAAGTTCTCCGTCTTGACTACATATTAGAATCACTCAAGGAGCTTTGAAAATTATGGATGCCTGAGCTCCACCTCCCAGAGCGTCTGATTTGATTCAACCGGGTGTGGTCTGGGCATCAAGATTTCCTAAATCTCGCTGGGAGACTCTAGTATGTTTCCAGTGTTGAAAACCACTCTCCTGGACCAGATTCTCAAACTTGAATGTGTTTAAGAATTACATGCAGTGCTTATTAAAATATAGATATCTGTCCCCCAATCCCTGCTAGGAACTGAGGTTAAGTAGTACTGAGATGGCATCCAGATATCTTCATTTTTATCAAGCTCATAACCACACACTGTCACATATACTCACACACTGTCACATATAGTCACACACATCCCCACAGACATACTCATGCACATATATAAGCTACAGAGCCATTTTGAGGACTACCAGGTTACAGTACTTGGGTATTACCTATTATGAAAACAGGAATGATCTCCCTTTTATGAAAGCAGATTGACTCCAGAAGAAGGAGATGAAGAAGCCTAGATTCCATAATGCGGGAGTCCCAGATCCTCAAAGTACGATGATTCGCCAAATCAAGAAATGAGGATTAGGTAAGAATGTGTAACTGTGGTCTATAAAGGATAATCTTCCTGCCTATGTATTTATTTTTAATACACAGACAACAAATGGAGGCCATTCCTTGTGTCTTAATAGGAAGCAGTCACCCTCGAAAGGAACTAAATCATCACCTTGGGAATTGTGGCCAGTCATGAGACATGCATGAGGAGACTGAAGGGGTACGTGCCTCTCATTCCTGCTGGAACCTGGATTCACTCATCCACGTATTCAGAATGTGAGGAGAAACCATTCTATACCCAATCCTCAAGTAGACATGGATGATACAAAGATTATTTTAAAAACACAAGTTCCCGCTCTGAAGTGGTCATCTAAGTCATCATAAATCCCTGATCAGAAGCTTGCAGAAAACAGAGACACCCCCGAAAGAAGGCAGGGTTGGCCAGCAAGTCCAGAATATGTGAGACTTGGAGTCCAATGAAATTTTTTTTCATATTTTGCAATGATAAGCTAATGAGCCAAAGTAAGCAGGTCATGGCACCCCCAAAAAGCTTTTCACAGTTTGCTTCTCTTGAGGAGATTGATTTTAAATGTGATGTTCAGCATCTACCTCCAGCGATGGAAATGAAAGGTGGCAGCCCCAAGAGAGCCAGGATCAAACACTGGCCTGGCCTTGCTCATGTGGATGCTGGGCATTCCCTATTCTCCAACAAGACCAGCTCTTTGGATGCTCACCAAAAAGTCAGCTCCCTCTCCCTCTCCAAATTTATTTCACTCAGGCTGGTTGCACCTGAAATAATAAACTCTGAGGTTACATGTCCCAAATCACCTGTCTTCTCCATTTCCCTCCCGCCTTGTGGCAGCCCACACTCAGTGTGAGTTCTTTAGAGAGGCATTTGTAAACTGGGAGCAGTCTGTGTATCGCAGGCCTGCTATGGAGAAGTGATCTAGCCCCTCTGAGTTTCATTTTCCTCCTCTGTGGAATAGGACTGATAGGATTGTCAAGAGGATTAAATTCTCCCCACTCATCCCCAATGGGGTAGCTCCTCCTTTTATTAAGATTTCAGCTTAAATATACTGCCTTCAGAGACCACCCAATCTCTTTCTATCATGTTGCCCTATTTCAGTTTTCTACATAGCACTTACTATCTTTGTTTGTTTGTTCATAAGCTCATTGATTGTCTCAGACTGGAAGCCTTCAGAAAGCAGGAACTCTGTGTAACTTGTTCACTGCTGTATCTTTAGCATGGAGAATAATGCCTGGCACATAGTAGGCTCTCAGTAAATTTTTATTGACTCATATGTGCAAAGGACCTAGTACGGTGCCAGGTACTCAATAGGTGCTCAATAAATGATAATCATAATTATTATTTATAATTATTTTTTGAGACAACACAGGATTTTGATTCAGAGAATCTTACTATATTTATGAAAGCGGTGATAGGGGCCTCATGTGAGAGGTGCCATGACTAATGAGGCTGGTTACTGATTGGGGGTCAGGGAGGTGCCAGGGCAAAACATTTTTGTTGTTATTTCTAGTACTTCTAGTATCAAATTTAATACAACCTATGCTGTTTTCTCTAATGCTACTAAAACACGATTGCTTATAATTTTTAAATGAATTCTGTCATCGACACAAATGATGTGCCTAGAGACACAAGCGTGCCCTCTTGATTTTTCTCTCTTTATCTAATTTTCTCCTACTTCACTGATCTGAGGTTACTGAAAATTGGCTTGTGTTACTTACTTCAAGCAATCCAAAACTAACCTTATTGATTTTGCTTTCATCTCACCTTGGGGCAAAGAATAGACCCATAAATCTGAGCATAAACCAGTAAGAATTTTTTCCTGAAGATGATGTTCAAAATCATATCATAAACATACAGTCTTACAAACAGCATGGTAGATTTAGGCAGAAGCAGTTATGTCTGAGGGTTTTGTTTTTTTAACTGCTTTATAATTGAAGGGTTTAAAGCAGACAGTTTTAGAGGCTTTTGTGGAAGGCTCTGGGAGTGATCCAACATGGAGTGGTAGCCCACAGGATCTGACAGGGAATGCCATTGATAAAAGTCCAACATGTCTTACTATTTCCTTGGGATAAGAAAGTTGGAACCGAGATAATAATGTGTCAAAAGCCAGAAAAATTGTGCTCCCTTTCTTCATCACAAATGAGTAAATATATCTGATCATTATCATGGCTTCCATGGAACATGTGGTCTGTGTCTCCGTTTCACAGCCATTGCACTGTATGTCTAAAGAGGATGCTTGAGTGAACTGCATTCTCTGGGTGATTAGTTGTTTCTACAACTGACAATTACAGCCAGAGTCAGAAACTTTTAGTGACTACAAATGTAGTTTTCTTCACATTTTCTGTTGTTCAGGTCACCCTATGCCGTGTTCAGGTCTTTTTCAGGAAGGACACTTGGACCAAGCAAAAGAAATAACATCAACAACAATAATAGTCACAGCTATTATTTATTGAGCACATACTATGTGCAAGGCCCTGACTAAAGACATTACAGATGTGATCACACAGTCAAATCTTCTTCCTCTTTTTTCTCCAATAGGAGTGTCAGAAGTAGAATTAATAAAGATCCTCTGCCTAGATGTGTACTTTGTGTAAAGAAGAACCACCTCACATTCATATTAAGAATATTTAGTTCAGAACATTCTCCAAAACATGCTAGGGACTGGGAAGATACACAGATTCAAAGAATATTGGAATAGGCAAGAGGTTTATGTTCAGAAACATTCATGTCACATTATTTGTATGAGCAAAAATCCAAAGTGGCTATCAAATAAGAGAATGATTTGGTACATTATGGCACATTTATGTCTGCAATACTATGAACTTATTAAAAACCATGTGGATCAATACTAATAGACAGGAAAACATGCTGAGTGAAACACAAATAGACAAACACATGATCCCTGTTTATGGAAATTTGTACACGTATGGGTAAGGTCAGAGAAACCTTGGGAGATGTTTACTAAATCATTTTATTTTATTTTATTTTATTTATTTATTTATTTATTTTTTGAGGTGGAGTCTCGATCTGTCGCCCAGGCTGTAGTGCAGTGGCTCGATGTGGGCTCACTGCAAGCTCCGCCTCCCGGGTTCACGCCATTCTCCTGCCTCAGCCTCCCGAGTAGCTGGCACTATAGGCGCCCACCACCATGCCCAGCTAATTTTTTGTATTTTTTTAGTAGAGACGGGGTTTCACCGTGTTAGCTAGGATGGTCTCGATCTCCTGACATTGTGATCCACCCGCCTCGGCCTCCCAAAGTGCTGGGATTACAGATGTGAGCCACTGCACCCAGCCGATGTTTACTAAATCATTAATCCTACTCATCTCACATTAGGGTTGGAAGAATGCTGGGTGATTTTTACCTTTCTCTTTGTATTCTCCTACAACTTTTTAAAGTTCTTATAATGAGCCTATGAATGTGTATGACATTTGAAAAATAGACTTTTTAAAGAGCAGTTTTAGGTTCACAGCAAGATTAAGCAGAGGGTAGAGAGAGTTCCCATATACCCTCTACCAAACTGCCCCATGCACAGCCTCCGCCACCGCCAGTATTCCCATTGGAGTGGTACATCTGTTTCAATCAATGAACCTACATTGACACATCATTATCACTTAAAGTCCATAGTTTACATCAGGGTCCACTCTTGGTGTTGTGCATTCTATCAGCATGTATTATTTTTAAAATATACGTTTTTAAAGGTTTTAAAGAATGGATTAATAAAATGGTCTCAGTTATTAATGAGAATTGGATGTTTAGGATATCATCTTCACTGACCCCAATCTTCCTAGGACCCTTAAATGAGGATGACTGCCTAGAAGGGAGAGTGCAGGTTTAACTTGCTGCAGCAATATTTTATTTCTGCGTCTTCTCCCTGCCTTTGGGTTGCCTGGGAAGCTGAAATAAGCAGCTACTCCCCATCTCTTTCTTAACCTATATCCCCGCAGATCAAAAGAAGCTGAACTTGGAGTTGTGGTTTTAAGGGCTCAGGAGATAAGAAAGAGCCCATGATGAGACAGAAAGAGATGTCCTGTGGAAAATCTCTAGGATAAAACTTCAAAGTGAGGGACAAGCTTCTCTCTATGTGCCATGCTGTTTGTGTTTGTATTTCAGTAGTTCTTCATCTAGCCTTCTTTGTCTTCATCAGTGGGGAAATGAGGAGGATGGTTTCAACATGGAGGCCCTAAATTCAAGATTCCAGAGAGCAAATACAGGCCATATTGTCCTGATAGTCCCAAGATCTCACATAAAGCCTGGCCTTTAGTCAGCACTCAATAAATGGGTGAATGAATGAGAAAACAGGCAACAGGGATAACAGGACAGGAGGGGCTTTATAGAAAAGCTATCAACAAGCTTTAGGTAAGAGTCAATTAATAAACATTCCTTGTCTTAAAAAATGTTTGCTTGTGTGTATGTGTGTGTGTGTGTGTGTGTGTGTGTGTTTAGAGAGAAGGTGTTGCTCTTTAGCCTAGGCTAGAGTGCAGGGGCATGATCATAGCTCACTGCAGCCTTGAATTCCTGGGCTCAAGCAATCCTCCTGCGTCAGCCTCCCAAGTAGTTTGGACTACAGGTGCACTCCTCCATGCCTGGCTTGTTATTGTTATTATCATTATTTGTAGCAACAGGTTCTCCCTATGTAGCCTAGGCTGGTCTCAAACTCCCAAGCTGAAGCAATCCTCCCACCTAAGCTTCCTGAGTAGCTAGGACTAAGGCACATGCCACCACATCTGGCTAGTTTTTCAGTTTTTTGTAGAGACAGGATCTCGCTATGTTGCCCAGGCTAGTCTCCAATGCCTGAGATGAAGCAATCCTCCTGCCTCAGCCTCCCTAAGTACGTTTGTGTTCTTAAAGGTAACTTTGACTATGCCTCACCTTCTCATTCAGATCTAGCTTATTCCTTTATAGTGCTTCTCCAGTGAAAATGAAATTTAATTTATTCTTTCTTCTATATTCTACCATCACCTTCCAAATGTCCACCATCTTCATTTTCATTTGAAATAACAACAAAAATAATTGGTCATTGCATACTAGTTAAGATTAGGTAAACCAACTTTCATTAGTAATAGGGTTCTGTACCTACTGGACTATAAGAAATGTAGAGAAATCCACCATTTCTGTAGGTAATGATCACAGAGAACTCTGTAGTCCTTATTTCCATGCCTTTCTTGGGAAGAATAGCAGAGTAGAAAGAGTATAGGTTTGGACCCTCTATCTTAATCGCTGTGTGTCCTTAGGTAAATTACTGGAACTCTGAGCATCACTTTACTCATTTGTAAAAGCGTAAAAATAACTCTATTGGATTGTGAGGATTATAGTAAATGTGTATCTGGAAACTGCTGTTTAAATGATTATCTTTCACTAAGGTCTTATTACCAGAACAGCGAAAAGGATCCCATTTTTCAGTTTTTGCATTGCAGTAACTGAAGAGAGAATGATCAAATGCTTTGGTCCCTCTTTCAAAATATTTATTTTACATGAAAAAAAAAATCAGGGCTAGGTTTTAAGAAAGTCCTAGGAGGTCTAAATGCTTGGATCCGTTGAACTCAGTGAGAGACACCTGGCTCCACATTTTTACACAGGGAGGTAACTCTTCAAACAAAAAGGCATACCACCTGCTGGTTGCTTTATTGAGAAACTGAGAATTATGTAACTCGGAATCACAAACAATCTGCATGTGAAATGAGGAGGCATACAAGGGACAAGTTTAATCAAGTTTATGGGCATTTTGAGATCTGTAACCACAAAGCAAGCACAGGTGAAGAAATCTTCAGTTATAAGGCTGCCGTATGCCAAATCAAGCCTCAATGCAAACATGAATTGATCTGATTATTTATCCAGCTCTGGCATGAGACAACAAAAGGGCAGTGGTCTGGGAAGCCTAGAGTAAAAATACTTTGACCGTTCAGTATTTCACTTATGGAAAGTTATCTCAGATCATTAGCTTAGTAGCCCTATTGCAGAAAGAGAGAACAATAACATATTGGGGTTGATGATGTAATGATATGAACTGTGGACTGCTTTTCATTGGTAGGGAAAGCAGGTGTATAAACATCAATATACCAAGCTAAATGTGAGGACTGTTTTATTTTATTTTGTTTTATTTATTTATTTATTTATTTATTTTTTGAGACAGAGTCTTGCTCTGTCGCCCAGGCTGGAGTACAGTGGCACAATCTCGACTCACTTCCACCTCTGCCTCCCAGGTTCAAGCGATTCTCCTGCCTCAGCCTCCCGAGTAGCTGGGATTACAGGCATACACCACCATGCCCGGCTAATTTTTTGTATTTAGTAGAGACGGGGTTTCACCATGTTGGTCAGGCTGGTCTTGAACTCATGACCTCAGTGAGAGACTCACTGATCTCAGGTGACCCACCCACCTCGGCATCCCAAAGTGAGGGAGGCATGAGCCACCGTGTCCAGACTTGTTTTCTTTTAAAGAATCTCATTTGGCATGAGAGGATCTTTGCTTTGGACCAAAATCAGTAAATTTCTATAGAAGTCCAGAGAGTAAATGTTTTTGGCTCTGCAGGTCATATGGTCTCTGTCACAACTATTCAAGTCTGCTGTGGCAGCACAAAAGCAGCCATAGACAATTTATAAACAAATGAACATGACTGCCTTCCGATAAAACTTTATTTACAAAAATGGGTTGTGGGCCAGTCTTGGTCCATGAGCCATAGTTTGCTGACCCTTGCTTTAGACCAATGTACTCTGTATCTTTGTCACCCCAGATTCCAGACTATTTATACTGCCAGCTGACATCGTATGAACTTAAGTTTGTCTTTGCAGTAGAATGGATTTGTGTTGTGTGTTTTAAACCTGTGATTTAGTCCAGGAAATATTCCTACCATGAAAACATCACAGTAAGACTATATCTTCCCTTCCAGCCTTACAATTTTTCCCTTAGGTGATTTTCAGGATGTCGCTGTAAACTGCCTAGTTCAACTTGTGTCTCTAGTTTTAATTCCATCTTTCAACAATTTCTCCAAGCACCAATAAATCTTCATCCTTCACACAACAGAAAGGTCTCTATTTCTGTTTTTTCTTTTTTTCCAAACACACTAGATAAGCAAAGACAAATGTGTTGAAGGCTCTGTGTTATTGATGTACACTACAGAGTGCCTTGCCAATCATAGATGTTCAATAAATATTACATGAATGAAAAAGTGAGCAAGAGAAGAATGGAGGAAAGAAAGGAAGGGATGGAAGGAAGGAGGGAAATGATTATCAAATATTGAGTCAGTGAGTCAATGTGTTTGCCACATCAATAGAGCTGGTACTTTTGGAAGAAGAGCTATAGTCACGGGCTTTCTAAGTACATGTTTTGTTTAAAAGACTCATCGATGAGGAAAGAGTAGTCCTTCATTTATTCAACAAATATTGATTAAGGATTATCTACATGCCATGCTTTAGGGTTACAGTGGTAGACAAAATCCTTGGGCTCCACGAGCTCCACGAGCTCACATTCTATTGGCAGGGGCAGATTGTAAATAAACAAATCTATATATGTATACACACACACACACACACACACACACACACATATATATATATCTATATATATATTTTTTTGAGATGGAGTCTCGCTCTGTCGCACAGACTGGAGTGCAGTGGCACAATGTCGGCTCACTGCAAGCTCCGCCTGCCGGGTTCACACCATTCTCTTGCCTCAGCCTCCTGGTAGCTGGGACTACAGGTGCCCACAACCACGCCCGGCTAATTTTTTGTATTTTTATTAGAGACAGGGTTTCACAGTGTTAGCCAGGATGGTCTTGATCTCCTGACCTCGTGATCCGCCTGCCTCGGCCTCCCAAAGTGCTGGGATTACAGATGTGAGCCACCGCGCCCGGCCACAAGCCAATATATATTAAGATTCCAAGGGATTGGCTTCTAGACTCGCTCTGCAACAGTCAGCACTTGGGATTGTTGCCCTCAGCAACTGTTCGTTGAAGGAATGATCGAAGTCTGCGAGTCTGTTCTGCTCTGCCTCCATTTCCCACCTGCAGAATAGATCTGCACGATGGTCTCTGGGTAGAGTTAAGAGCAGAGGAAAAATGAGAACCAGGATATATTTCAGGCACTGTGAGTAGCTCTCTTGCTCCAGCATCAGGCTGGGGGATAGGAGGTGCCTCTTTTAAACAATTTGAAGTTTCCCAGTCTGGTGGCTGGCAGGGAATCCACTGTAAAACATTGGTGGTAGCTTCAGTAACTAGAACCAGTAGGCTGTCCTTGACAACTTGATGTTCATGCCATCTCTGGGCCATATCAGTAACAGCACCACAAACATGGCTGGTGCCCATGGCAATGACAGTCTTGGGAACGTCTGCTTTTTCTCCCTCCAACCCCCATGCTACACTCCCAGAGCCTAGGCTCCTGAGGGGATAAACAGAAAAAGGAATTTGCAGCCAACACAGAGAGAAACAATGAGGATGCTAGCTGCTGCAGCAGCCAGACGAGCCACTGCTTGTCTAGACAAAGTTGTTCTCTGCAAAGTTTCAGTGTCAGGAGGCAGGCAGAGGAGACCTGGGAGCAGACCTCATCCTGACCTCCTCGGTGGCACAGGGACAGCATGCATGTCACTCCAGGAAAGCCAAGCTATTCCAGGAGCAGAGAATTATTTCAGGGATGCATCTAAAGCATCAGATATTTGTGAGCTATCTAGTATATGACCAAAAAGTGGCTGTGAAAAGGGAGAAGCCAACACAGCCATGTCCTCTCCAGAGAAGAAGACACAGTTTAGGGGAGCAAACACGGGTCCTGTCATTTTCTGCTAATAATCATATATCGCCCCTATACAGAGCTCTGTGCATTCCAAAATACCCTCATTTTTAAAAATAGTTTGTTGAGCACTTTCTGTCTGTCAAGTGATGTGCTAGGCTTTTCATACCTATTATTTAATCCACTTAACTACCCTGTAAAAGGTAGTTATCATTAAATCCATTTTTCACATAAGAAAACTGAGGCTCAGGGAAGTTAAATAAAGTTGTCAAGGGTCACAGAGATAGAAGGTAATGGAACTGGGATTTAAACCAAACCATCTGATTTCCTCATATGATACTATCTTTAATTTATTCATTATTTCATGTATTCCTCACCACAAGCTGTAAGATAAACAGATGGGGAATTATTTTCCTGATTTTATAGCCTAGGACTGGGCTGTCCAGTACAGTAGCCACTAGTCACATGGGTCTATTCAAATTTAAAAATTGATTAAATTAAAATAAAAATTTAAAATAAGTTCCTTAGCAGCCATTAATTCAAGCACTTAGTAGTCACCTGCGACTAGAGGTTACCATATTGGACAATGCAAATAATAAATGTTTCCATCACTGCAGAAGTTCTAGTGATCCACACTGGCCCAAGTTTCCATCCAATCGTTTTTGAGGATTCTCTACTAGGCACTGTGCTAGAAGGTACAATGATGAGAAGGGCATCATCATTTCCTTAAGAAGGTCACAAATCTTGGGGGTCATGATTGATTACATAACTTGCTGGAGGTATAGACAGGGACCACACCCCTATTCACCTCCATCTCCACCATGACATTGACATTCTGGTCTCTTACGTGGAGATGGGAAAATAGAATGAAGTCTCTCAAATATTGGGTCTTTCTAGATACGCTCTTGCACCAACATTCAGGCTTGTGGTAAACTGGGTTGTTCTCTGAGAAAATGTGTATGGGAGACAGAAATAAAAATAAAGAGGAAAGAGTTTGTCTAGGGAGAATCACATTAAGGTGGTCAAATAGAGATCGCATGTGCCTGCTGTTGAAAAAGAGCATTCTTATGTATCCATTGAGCTCACGAAGACATAATCCCAGCTCTTTTTTTGGGTCCAGTCACTGATTTGGGCAAATATTCTTGAAAGATAAATCAGAAACATGCAACCTTCCCCCAAAACAAACACTTATGAAGCTAAATACAGCTCTATGGTAAGAATAGTAGAGAAAGTAGATTTAACAACATAAATCCTTAGTTCAAATTCCAGCTACATCTTTTCCTAGCTGTGCAACTTTAGGCAAGTTACTACACGTCTCTACGTTTCAATGTCACCATCCATAAAGTGGAAGTGATAATAGTCCTTGTGTCTTACGTTTCTTGTGAGAATCAAATATGGGATTTATGTGAATTGTACAGCACTCACACATGCCACGAATAAAAATTGTAGTTTTGGATAGCTAAAAACCATTTTACCCATGTATATGAACAGATCTGATTTTTCTAGACCAGTAAGTGTTAAATTGGTTTTATGGTGGTTTTTTTTTTTTCGTTTGTTTTTTGAGACGGAGTCTTGTTCTGTCACCCAGGCTGGAGTGCAGTGACGTGATCTCGGCTCACTGCAAGCTCCGCCTCCCAGGTTCAAGCGATTCTCCTGCCTCAGCCTCGAGAGTAGCTGGGATTACAGGCGCATGCCACCACGCCCAGCTAATTTTGTATTTTTAGTAGAGACAGGGTTTCACCATGTTGGCCAGGCTGGTCTCGAACTCCTGACCTCATGATCCACCCATCTCGGCCTCCCAAAGTGCTGGTATTATAGGCGTGAGCCACTGCTCCTGGTCTTCTTTTGATTTTTTTTTTTTTTTTTTTTGCAGAGATGTCTTTATGAGAAAAATATCAAAATAGCCTTTTGAATATTGTGAGCCTTACAAAAATGTCTATGAGTTCTTCACAAATGGTGGCTTGTGACCCAAAAGGTCTATTCAAGCTATTCTCAGAAATAATATGGAAATTAAGGTAATTTAGCTTTGATGATCTAATCTCTTACCAGGTTTGCATCTCAGACACACCTTGTATTTTGTTATATGTTAAGCCTGTGTTAAAGAAAAAAAATTCAATCCCCCAAATTAGTTCTTCCAGGTGTTTCTAAAAAATAGTTTCCATATGACAGCAGCTCTTGTCAATATCCTGCTGAAAAATGAAACATTAAAAAAAGAAACTTAATACAGCTCTGACTTTGTCTAGGGACTCCTTCAGTTTCCTGTCTCCAGTGATATCATTTTAAACATTTGCTTTCTTCAAATGGCTTATGTGTGCTCTATAACTCTATTTGTGATGTGTCTTGGCGTGTTGCTGTGGAAATACTAAATAATTCCACATGCGTATGTGTTTGCCTCTCCACGTATATTCTGGGATTTACTTGAGACCTGTGATTGTGTCTCCTTCTCCTCTTCTTAATTCTCTCTTCCTTACTCTTTCTTCCCTAGGACTGCCTCAAGACAGTGTCCAACAAACAAGTACTCAATCACTCTTGACTGATTGATTGGTTTTCTAATTTTTTTAAAAAAATTACTTGGATGTATTGACTAGTATGCACCATGCATAGAATGAAGTGCTTTATATGTGTTCCTTCTGGGGTCTTCACAACAGCCCTACGAGTATTATCTCTGCTTTCCAGTTATGTGAACTGAGGCTTAGGGAGAAAAGTCGCCTTTCCGAAGATCACAGCCGATGACTGTGTGGCAGGTCTGGGAGTCAGAGCTAGGCTGTCTGACTCCAGGCTCATGTGCACTGCCTGTAGTAGCACTCTTTTGCCATCCTTTTAACTAGCTACTTCTCTAAAGTCACTACTTTGAAGATTTAGAAAGGAAAGAGTGTCCTTTGGGCTAGTGAACCTGATGTCTCTGACAAAGGATGCTAGATATGATGCTCATTGTAAAGTCTACTGAATTCCTCCCTGATCTTCATTTCTAGAAGGTTCATGTTTCCATCCTGATAGGCTTTGATTGTGTCCCCACCTGAATCTCATCTTGAATTGTAGTTCCCATTTTCCCCTTGTGTCATGGGGGGGACCCAGCTGGAGGTAATTGAATCATGGGGGCAGTTACCCCCATGCTGCTGTTCTCCTGATAGTAAGTTCTCATGAGATTGAAGGTTTTATAAGGGGCTTTTCCCACTTTGGCTTGGCACGTCTCTTGCCCGCCGCCATGTAAGATATGCCTTTGCTCCTCCTTCGCCTTCTGCCATGATTTGTGTGGCCTCCCCATCCACGTGGAACTGTGAGTCCATTAAACCTTTTTTTTTGTTTATAAATTACCCAGTCTCCACTATTTCTTCACAGCAGTATGAAAACAGACTAATACACATCCCCCTTAAAACAGCGCAGATGCCTCCTCATTGCATCGAGGCTGGTTGGTGTATGCAGCAATGTATTAACTATTCCCGCATCCTCTACCTACTTGCTGCTCAAAGCGCAGTCCTTGGACTAGGAATGTTAATATCACCTGAGATATTAGAAATGTAGACTCCGAGGTCCTGCCTCAGACTTAATGAATCATAATCTACATTTTAACAATATCCCTAGGTGGTTTGCGTGCATGTTAAAGTTTGAGAAGCACCTCCCTACTTGTCAGTTGTCACATACAGTGAAACTTCTCTCTTCCACCACTACGGGCAAAAAAGTAAGATGGGTCAGCAGATCCTGATTCAAGTGACTCTAAGCAACGTGATTACATCAGTCCAGGGGGTAGTGTTGATTTTTCCGTGAACACATAACCACTGCCATCAGATGTTCCAGGCTCCTGTCTCAACAGCAATTTTTCAAGTTAGTTGAAAATTCTCTACATAAGGAGCCAAGTGTTCGAATTAAAATACAAAACCTTGTCTACCAGTAGGTTTTTAGTTCATTGTGCTTCCCAGAGCATCACCCTAATGTCCCCCTTTACCAGATCCAAGCTTCAGCTGCTCAATTCATATGATATTTTAATCTAGCCTAATGCCAAAACATAATAACTTTGTTAAAGGAGAGGTGAGTTTAGGATTACAGTCCCTTTTAAGATCTGGACTAAGAAATGTTTATACCACCAGTCTCCAGTGTATGCCAAATCGTGTTGTTGCTGTGGGCAGTACAGTAGAATGGCCTCATTATTTCTCTGTCTAGCCTCTTTAGAGCTATAAAGCCCAACCATGCTTTGTACTTGTAGTGGTTTGAATGCAATGTTATTTTGCAAAATAGAACTAATGATTATTCTGCAAGGGCTTAACATGTTTGCATCACAATTTAGACCCTGCTTCTTTTCAATAAATATATTTAAATTTATTGTTTTTTCCCGTGCTTGTATTCAAGTACTTACCGAGTAGTCTGGCAGGTACAAAACAAGTCAGACATGAATAACTGCTCTCAAGGAGAATATATTCTGGCTGGGAGAACAAGGCTGTACACAGGAAAAAATTGAAGGGAGTATAAATTCATCTGTGGAATTGACCAAATGGTGTTGTGTTCATGGACATGAGAGAGTATGAGCTTCATCTGTGAAGGCCTCATAGCAGAGGAAAGACTTGAAGAATGGATAGGCAAAAAGTGAAGAAGAGGTTATTCCAGAAGGAAAATAATCTTAGCAAAGGGATATGTGCCAGTAAGCCTGGAACCTTCTTTACTACAGCCTTGTCTGCAGCTAACATTAATTGACTAACATATCCACGGCTGTGTGTTTCTTCAGCTAAAACTGACTAGATTCAAAGATGCATTTAAGCCGGGTGTGGTGGCTCCTGCCTGTAATCCCAGCACTTTGGGAGGCTGAGGTGGGAGGATCACTTGAGGCCAGCAGTTTGAGACCAGCCTGGCTGATATGGTGAAACCCCCTCTCTACTAAAAATACAAAACTTAGCTGGGCGTGGTGGTGTGCACCTGTAATCCCAGCTACTTGGGAGGCTGAGGCAGGAGGATTGCTTAAACCCAGGGGGTAGAAGTTGTAGTGAGCTGAGATGTTGACACCTCACTCCAGCCTGGGCAACAGAGCTAGACTCTGTCTTAAAAAAAAGCAACAAAGAAAGATGCATTTAGTCAACACATTTTTCTAGAGCTTAAACAAAGTTTACAATTATAAAATATTACAATTATAAATAATTATATATAATATACATTATATATCAATATTAATCTACATCAATAATATATTGGTTAATATTAATATAATGATTCTTCTATATAATTAATTTTACATTAATATAGTAGTAAGGTAATTATGTTACTACAGTAACAATATATAATTGTAAGATATAAATATATACTTATATGATCTAATTGTATATATAATAAATTACACAATAATTTGTAATTCACATTTTTAGGCCTCTCCATATGTCATGGCTGAGTGCTTTACATGTGATATAACAACTTTATAGGGGTATTTTGGTCTCCACTTTACTAATAAGAAAACAGACTTAGTTTAGGAACTTAACCACACAGTAAGTGGCATTGCCTGTATGTGAATTCAAAGTTTGAATGCAAAACCCACATTCTTAACATTATGCCATACTGCCAGATATTCTGTATACTATATAGCATTTTGAATATTGTTTACTCAGGCACAATACAGCATTAAGATGTTAAGACAGGGAAAATAACCCCTTGAAGCAATTTCTGATCTTTATGAGAAGAGAAAGCCTGATGTATAGAGCTGAAACTATTGAGCAACATTGTGTGGCAACAATCTCTTTCTCAAGTCCTGAGAGTACATTAAGAAAGCATGGAGGCAAGGTTAGTTTGGGTAAGACTTCTTAGAATTAATAATTTGGAGAAGATTAGCAGATCTACTATTCTAGGCCAGGCCAAAGTTCCAATTTAATTATTTACATGCTTGTGTGGTTATATATTGTTCAAATATGACTTCCCAACATGGCCAAAATTTCGAGACACGAATTGAGAAAGATTTGGGTCATTTTAGAAATAGCAACCACTGAGTTTCTGACCTGATTTCCTGGGTGTGTGTTTAAATGCCTTTCACTCACTTATTTTCGGAGCTCATGGGAGGCAGTTTATGAAAACTGATTAAAAGAATGAAAAGTCACATGCTCAAACCTGGGTTTGAGAGCTTATCCTGCCACAAATGGTCATGAGAGTTAGCTTTTCCCTTAAACTCTAGGCCAGTGCGCTCAGTGCAGCCCTGGCCGGAAGCATGGGCATAGCCTCAGAACCTGTTAGAGATGCAGAATCTCAGGTCCCACCCCAGAGAGGCTGAATCTGAATCCCTGGGGTAGGGCCAGTGATCTGCATTTTCACAAGCTCACCAGACTCAAGGAACTCTGTGCTAGGCCTCACCTTCCTCATCTCTAAAAAGGAGGTCATATAGCATAGTACCTTCTTCACGGGAGCATTGTAAAGATTAAGTAAGATAATGCACATAAAACGCTTAGCGCAGTGTCTAAAACAAGAGTGATTAATATTATCTTCCATGGCTTCTTTTCTTTTTCTTTTTTTCTTTCTTTTTTTTTTTTTTTTTGAGATAAGCACTCTCTTTGTTACCCAGGCTAGAGTACAGGTGGCACAATCTCAGCTCACTGCAGGCTCTACCTCCTGGGCCCAAGTGATCCTCCCACCTTGGCCTCCCCAGTAGCTGGGACTACAGATGTACACCACGATGCCTGGCTCGTTTATGTTTATTTTTTGTAGAGATGGGGTCTCACTATGTTGCCCAGGCTGGTCTCAAACTCCTGGGCTCAAACGATCCACCTGCCTCAGCCTCCCAAAGTGCTAGGATTACAGGCATGAGATACCACATCCAGCCATCTTCCATGGCTTTATTTTATTTATTTATTTTTTTATTAAGAAGGGATAAGAAACCACAACCCTAAGCAGATAAGTCTGTCTGCCTTAGGTTCCAGCAGAAATCAATTCTTACAGCAAGTGATTAAGACTTGTCTGACCTCTGCCTTGTGTTACTAAGAAAACCTGAACTGTATAAACAGGTTTCTGTTGTGGTCTTTCTTGGGCTCCTGTTTGAAAACCAAGGAGGTCTGTGGCTGAGTTTTTACGGTCAGTCCAGAGGCTCCATGGAGCAGCTCTAATGGATGTGTGTGTCAGATTGCAAAAACACCCAGACTGGAGCATTTAAAGTCCTATTTAGAAAACCGTCTCCAGGTTTCACATTTGAGAACATAAACACTTGTGAAGTGCAATGCTTCTTCCAGGGAGACATGGAACTGGCTCAGCTCCCTGTGAGGTGCCCATTATATATCACTGGCTGAGCAGAGTCCTCGTAAGACCCAGCTTGACCCAGTGTGCTGACTTTCAAACCATCTGAACCCATTCTAGCATCTCTGTAGCTTTTGCTTAGTGTTTACGTATGAATTTGGAGCATCTATCCCGCTTAGAACCTTCATGCTTTTCACTTGCTCTTTCCCCCTTGGACAGAAGTCAGCAAACTTTTCTGCAAAGACCCAGACAGTACGCTCTGGAGGCCATAGGATCTCTGCCAAAACTATTCAACTCTGCAGTTGTAGATCAAAAGCAGCCATAGATGATATGTAAATGAATGGGTGCAGCCGTGTCCCAATAAAACTTTACTTACAAAAAACAGGTGGCAGGCCAGATTTGGTCCACTGAGCCCGGACTTAGAATCTCAAAACATCTAATAAAAGGGACCCAGATGACTAGGCAGCAGAATAATTTGGTGTCCATGGGTAAAGTTCCAGCTTAGAAGTAGTTACTGGCCTGAACTTAGACATGCCTTGGGTCATGGAAAGTAAACAACGCTAATTGTCCCTTAAGACCAGCTGGACCAAGATCTATTCTGAAGCTGTTTTGCTTCCACCTGGTGGGAAACATCTTCTCTTGGCTTAAAACTTTTAATGAAGATATTGCCTCAGAGTTTGAGAACAACCAAAGTGAGTTCCATATCTGGAATAAGGAAGTTTTCCTCTAAATGATAAGGTAGAAAGGGAGATGCTGCTTAGATATCAATGAGTAGGATGCAGGCTCAGACCTAAAGCACAGGCGTAGAGACGGGGGCCTGTGTCTTCCTTTCCTGAAACAGCTCAGGATACATGAATCCTGGTGCTTAGAAATGACAAAACTGGCCCATCTGCAAAGAGGTAACCCAGAGGTTGTGAATGTCGTAGATTATTCTGTATCCATGTCCTAGGAATTCTGAAGAATGATAAGCATCTCTATATAAGACAGAAGCAGAAGAAACCAGTTGACAAACGTTCTAACCTGGGTTATTCTTTCCTTTGCAGGGTTTTTGCAGTGCCAGGTGTGGATTGAGATTCAGCCTTGTAAGACTTACTCACTGAAAACTGGAATTTGCTTAGTTCCAAGGTAACCTTTTGTAACAGATGTCATTGGCTACCTATCCAATAGTCATTCCACTTCCCTTTGTTTTTCCTTGGAGGAGAACAAGATTTTCTTCATTATACACAATAAAATTGGGATGTCCGTGTGTAATTAAGAAAACATTGCTTGGTTTAATTCAATTATGATTATCTCATTATACATACCAGTGATTGTTTTATAGATAAATATGTAACCCAGAGCTGCCCAAAGAGAAATAAATTCTTCTGGAGATTTCTGGAAAAGGTAAACGTTCCCTTAAAAAGAGGCATTGGGGAAATGTGTCATCTTGCGAACATTGTTGATGTAGAGGTTGCAACTATGGTGGCCACCTTGCAACCCTGGGAAAGCCAAGCTATAGATGACGAGACAGAATTAACCCTCAGCTGCCTTACCTTGAGGCTTCTTGTTATGGACAGAGTAAAAATGTTCCTTATTGTCTCAACTAACTGGTTAGTTAGTTTCTGTTTCTTGCAACCAAAATAAATCCGCAGTCTTACACATTCCTGTTTGGTCTCTACCGGACCAGTTCAGCTGTGAAGTTCTGCTTCTACCAGTTCTCAAATTTTCTGCTTTCACTATTCCCACCTTGTTTAACCACCTGGTAGAGGCCTGGGAATTGTACTTTGTTATGTTTTGTCCATCAATAGTAGCCCCTGAGGTTGAGGTCTTACCGGATAGGATCTCACCAGGAAGCCTCTGCACGGTGAAGACTTACTACTCACAGACTGAAGTGATTTCAGTTTGTTACTTTTGTTATTAGAAGGGTTGGTGATAATAACGCTGTTTCTTTTTCATTCATCCAGTACAATTGTCCTTCTCTAACAAAGCTTGTAGGCTAGTGGATATAGTCAAGTAAACTACTACATACAACATAATGATGAGCCATAGTGGGAACGGGGGCTGTGGCAGTTCAGAGGGAGGCCCTGTTTTTGACCTCCACAACAGTCTCGCATATCCTATTTCTTCCAAACTTGCAATACCTCCTTCTCTGGAAATCCCAGACTCTCACTTTCTGGCCTCCATTGCAGCTAGGACATGAACATATAAGCCCCTTCTGGCCAGAGAGATGTATGAGAAAATCTTTGAAACACTTCTGGGAAGGATTTTTCTTGAGGAGTAATATCAACACAAGTTATTTTACTTTTTTCCTAATCTTGGTTGTTTTGTCAGAGGCCATAATTTGGAACTACAGCAGCCATTTTGTGACCATGAGGCAAAAGTCAAGAGAACTGCAGAAAAGTTGAATCCAAGTCTTGATATTGTTATATCACAGAATTAATCCTAGCTCTGTGTCTCTCCATATTTCTTGTCATGTTTTAATACCATTTTAATCAGTATCTGTTACTTACAACTAATAGAATGCTAAGTGGTACAAAGGATTCTAACCTGAACTGAGAGAGTCAAAGAATGCTTCCCGGAGGAGGTGACTCATGAACTAAAGCATAAAAGATAGTACACATTATGCAATGGAAGCAGAAGTGATAAAGGAGGGTGCAAAGACTTGGAGGAGAGAATGTGGCAAATTTAAGAACTCAAAATAGGTAACTATCACTGGAGCACAGAAAATTGCATATGTACCAGCAAGAGAGAAGGCCAAAGAAGCCCATGGGAGGAATGGGGTGGTGGGGGCAAATCATACATGTCTTTGTAAGTCCTGTTTAGAAAATTTACCCATTTTCTTAAGAACATTAGGAATATTGTTAAAGCCTTTTTCATTCTCCAGGTCAAAAGTAATCACTGCTTTTACACACCCAGATTGCATTGCTGATAGTTTGCTGTTATTTCAGCTTATTAGGGATTACAGTTTGTCATTCAACTATCTGTTTCCTCCAGTAGACTGGAAGATCTTGGGGGTCAGACTATGTCTGATCTTATTTATTTTATTTTATTTTATTTTTATTTTATTTTGTTTTGAGATGAGGTCTCACTCTGTGACTCAGGCTTAAGTGCAATGGCATGATCTTGGCTCACTGCAATCTCCGCCTCCCAGGTTCAAGCGATTCTCCTGCCTCAGTCTCCTGAGTAGCTGGGATTACAGGCATGCGCCACCATGCCCAGCTAATCCTGGCCTTAGGTGATCCACCCACTTCTGCATCCCAAAGTGCTTGGATTACAGGCATAAGCCACTGCTCCCAGACATCTTATCTCATTTAGATCAACCATCTCCAACATATCTTAATCAAGGTTTGTTGAATTGAATTACCCATCCCATTACAGTATACAAAACCTGAACCATTTAATGTGTTTTACCTTCATGGATCATTTTTAATACCACATGAAGCCTGGAGAGGTAAAGAGAGGGGTCCAAGCTTCATGCAGCTTGTTAAGACAGAACCATAAGGATTAAAAATAGGTTTTAAGTCTCTTGGTCCGAAAATGCTTTCTGCTACATCATACAGTTTCATCCCACAGCAGGTATTTCCATCACTAAAATGTGTGTACTTTTGTTCATTAGCAGTGAGGTGCCAATGAGATTTAAAAAAATTTTTTTCATGTAGACATTTCCAGAAGCTTCTGTTTGTAGTGGTGGAAACATCCACTCACATTTTCTTTTCTTGGGGAGAATCTGATTGGCCCTTTGGAGTTAGCAGATGTAAGGCAAGTAAAGCCTCTTTGTAATGGCTTAAGACTAGCATTCCCCCATGTCTCCTGTTCTGTAAAGCTCCTAGAATACTAATGGAGTAGGGGATAAATTTCTGTAGGAACTGTATTAGGGCAACTACCTACCTGCCATAGCAGATAAATCTGAACATCTCAGTGGCTCAAGTCAATTGTTCTATTTCTCACTCACATAAAAATTAATGTTCAGGAGGACAGCATCAGAGATCCAAGCTCTATCTTGGATCCACCATGCCCTGTGGCTTTTGCCAGATCCTCTCAGTCTCGTAGACTCAAAGAAAAGAATTTTCACCATGGACATCACTTCTGCCCACATTACCTTGAGTAGGACTGTCACAGAGACATTTCTCTGCATGTGAGGATGGGAAAGGTAGTCAGTCCACCTTGGGTGCAGAAAGTTAGCGAAATGGTTTTGGTAGACAAGTAGTCATCTCTGACTTAAGGATCAATGGGAATCTTGGGAAAAAGCAGTGATACCTCTTACCTTCTGAGGTTCTGCTTTATATAGTATTTCTGATAGACTAGGATGGATCAGATGAGGCCAGGGAGCACAGGAGAAATTTCACCATAACTTGCTCGTTGATTCACCTCAAAGCAGGATTATGTTTTCCACGGAGGGGTAGGTTAGTTCTGAACATGATATGTGGCTGCAAGTTAGCAATCCCTCCTTATCCAAACATTGTCTTGGAGTAAGAATGTGTGAGTGCCCACATATTAAAAGAGCTGTATATTAAAGAATTACATATATTATTGGGAGCCCATACCCCAATATGAAGTGACCTATCCTTCATTCAATCCTTCAGCAAAGCCTACTAAGTACCTACCATGTGCCCAGAACATTCTAGGTGCTGGGGATACTGTTGTTCCCTACTCCCACAGGGCTTAGCTTCTAGAGAAGGAGAGACAGGATAAATAACAAATAAATATAGTTTCAACTAGTCATAAGTACCATGAAGGAAACAGGGTTAGGAGATAGAAAGTGACCAGGAAAGAAGGGTCTAGCGCTCTTCTAGTTTGTGTAGAATAGATTATGATGAATTTAACCAAGGGAGAGAAAGCCTTTATTTCCCTATTTCTTTTTTATTTATTTATTTATTTATTTATTTATTTGAGATGGAGTCTCGCTCTGTCGCTCAGGCTGGAGTGCAATGGCGCAATCTCAGCTCACTGCAACCTGTGCCTCCCTGGTTCAAGTGATTCTCCTGCCTCAACCTCCTGAGTAGCTGGGACTACAGGGGCGTGCCACCACACCCAGCTAATTTTTGTATTTTTAGTAGAGATGGGGTTTCACCATGTTTGTCCAGGATGGTCTTGATTTCTTGACCTCATGATCCGCCCACCTCAGCATCCCAAAGTGCTGGGATTACAGGCGTGAGCCACTGCACCCGGCCTATTTCCCCATTTCTAAGACCAAGCAAGATTGCTACTGGGCCAGCAATGGATACCTGGAAAATTTTTCTCTGTGGTCCAAGACTACCCCACATTTCTGGACCTTTGCTCTCAAGAGCCATACTATGTGGCAGCAATAACAACAGTAGCACAACATGAGCATCACGGATAGATCAATGATATTTTCCAAGATCTTCTTTGTAGAGGACAGTACTCACTTATGCCAGTGAACACCCCTGGGATTCTCAGACTTTGCATAGGAGGTAGAACTCCTTAGAAATAGGAGGAGAAATGATGAGAGATGGGGAGTTAAAATCGTACAATTTGATGAATAAGAGAAATGTTGCTTTAGATGAAGGAAGACGTAGCAATTCTACCTTCATTCCACAATGATTCACTAAACACTTTCTGTGGATCAGATACTGTGTTAAGACCTGGAGATAAGGTGAACAAATGCAGCACAGCCCCTGACTTGACACATTTTAGTTTAAAGGAAAACTGAGAGTTTGTGACAGAAAGTCAAAGCTACCCGTGCGCAATTTTTTGTGCTCTATGTACAAACCACTTTGCCCATTTCCATAAAGTGGGGTATAAAGGTGAAGCCTTGTGTGCATCTTTGTCTTTTCATGAATACATGAGGACATTTTTCTTCCCCGCTCACTCCTCCCAGAAGGGGCACTGGCTTTCTGTTCCTACTAATGATTCTGCAGGCGCCTCCCTCTTCTTGGGGAAATTCAGACTCCTTCTGTTTTGTGACCAGGCAGCTCTGTGGGTCCCACAGTGTGATATACTAACCTTATCCTGGGCTCCAGCTGCAACATGCATCCTCTGATCCTGACCCTCCCAGATCACACCGGGGTTGCCAGAAACCACTGGTCCCCATTGTGTGTCATTCCCCCAAAGTTAACTTTGTCATTCCACAAATGCTGCCAGAGGCCATGTCTGAAGACTATGCTGAAACAGCTCATCCAGAAGGAATATTCGGTCAATTCTTTGTCAGAAAGCCAAGAAATAAGACATTTATTTGATCGAATTCATGGAAACGTTGGTCTGTTTGATTTTTAGCAGAATTTCGTCTGGTTAGCTCATGTATATAGGCACAGTTCTTATGTCCTAGGATTACAGAGCCCATGGTGTCAAAAGCCACCACAACAAAAATGTATCTGTTTCCTCTCCCAAGATTTTCATCCTATCTCCATAACCATCCTGGAAAGCACTTGAGGGAAAGAACTATGCCATATTTTCCATTGCACAGAGTAGGTGTTGAATATTTGTGTCAGGCAGGGTCTTGCCAAGAAAGAGATGGCCTACTCACACTGAATAAGTTGAGAGTTTCACTATCCCTAGGCCTGAAAAGACATGAGAAGGAAGTGGAACTGAGACAGGGAAGGCGATAGAAACGGGAGAGAGAGTGAGAGAGAGAGAGAGAGAGAGAGAGAGAGATATTTTACCCACCATGTCCCAAATCCATAGAGAAAGAGATGAGAAAAATCCCCGACCTCACTGTCCACCTCCCCTCCGATCATCTTCCTGGGTTCCCCAGTGGCTGAAATCCCCTGGAAGCCAGAGGGCACAGGAGCCTGTTGAAGTGACCCATATGTGTCAGCCTCTCAGGACACGGAAAAATCTAAAAGGATGGAAAGTAGAACAAGCAAGAAAGACAGACAGAAGATATCCAGCCCAGTACTGTTTTTTGTTAGTTTCAGGTTTTCTTTTCTTTTCTTTTTTCTTTTTTTTTTTTTTTTTTTTTTTTGAGACAGGGTCTCACTGTGTCCCTTAGGCTGGAGTGCAGTGGTGTAATCTTGGCTCACTGCAACCTCCACCTCCCAGGCTCAAGTGATGCTCCCACCTCAGCCTCCTGAGTAGCCAGAACTACAGACGTACGCTACCATGCCCGGCTAATTTTTGTCTTTTTGTAGAGACGGGGTTCTGCCATGTTGCCCAGGCGCGTGTGTGTGTGTGCGCGCGCGCGTGTGTGTCGTTTAGATTGGATCTCACTCTATTACCCAGGCTGGTCTCAAACTCCTGGACTCAAGCAATCCTCCTGCCTCAGCCTCCCAAAGTGCTGGGATTATAGGTGTGAGTTATTCCACCTGGCCCCTACACTGTTTTAACCTATTTCCAGAAAAGGTTGATTGTATGCCCTTTCTGTGTCTGTGTCTTACTTTCCAAGTTAAGGAGTCATGTGGAATCACAGAGGCTTGAGCTTAGGAGAACTCTGAAAGCACCAACCCCTCTAGGATGCATAAAGCTTCTCTCAAGTATCCTCAGCAAGTGGCCCTCCAGCCTCCTTTCGAATGCCTCTGTTGATAGGGACATCACTACATATGAAGGCATTTGAGGGCACTTCTAATTAGAAGCCTTCACAAACCAGCTCCCTTGAATTTCCTAGTTTTATTCCTGGAGGTCACCAAAACAATTCCAAATCTCCAACTCCCCTTCACAAGCATGCTTGAGCCTGAAAACTTTCCATTTTGTGCATGGATAATCACTTTCTTAACAGGAAGGAGAGGAGAGGCTACAAAGCAAATAAAAGCCAATTTCCCAAGCAAAGATAGAAAAGAACCCAAGGTGTGAGGAGGAAACCACTTCTCTCCTCGCATCCCACCACAAACGCATCAAAAACACTCAGAACATGGATGCGCACGGTGGCTTACGCCTGTAATCCCAGCACTTTGGGAGGCCGAGGCGAGTGGATCACGAGGTCAGGAGATTAAGACCATCCTGGCTAACAAGGTGAAACCTCGTCTCTACTAAAAAAAAAACAAAATTAGCTGGGCGCGGTGGCGGCCGCCTGTAGTCCCAGATACTTGGGAGGCTGAGGTAGGAGAATGGGGTGAACCCGGAAGGCGCAGCTTGCAGTCAGCCGAGATGGTGCCACTGCACTCCAGCCTGGGTGACAGGCTCAAAAAAAAAAAAAAGAAAAAAGAAAAAAAACAACCTCAGAACATCCTAAAAATGAAAATGCAATGAGGAAATCCCTGAGAACTAGAGCTGGGACCCTGAAGAAAGATTTACTTATGTTTCAAAGCCACATGCTTTAGATTCAGAAGCTGACCCCGCTCCCCTCAGCAACACAAAAGAAACCAAGAGCCATGATGAGCAACAGCTAGTGTAATTAACTAAAACCTAGCGGCTAAAAATACTCTTTGCCCAGGCAGAGGACCACACCATCTTTTTTAAATCCCAGCCTGCAGAAAGCACTCCGCGTGAAAAGAGCCAGGTCATTTGCACGAATCAGTGTAAAACATAGACAGTAGTGTATTTGTTAGGCTGGTAACACATGAGAAATGGAGGAGAGATTTGTTTTCTGTAGCAGTAGACAGAGCATGCCAGCTGGCAGCGTGCCTGAAACAAATAACCAAGACACAACTAGATCTGTGTGAAACGGTGAGAAAGTTTAGAGTCAGTGGGGCAAGGAAGAGCTGGGGCTGGGGTACACTGAAGAACACCACGGACAAGCAGAGAGGACAGGGAGAAGGTTTGCAAACTCTCTTAGTGGTAAATTCACCGTGCAGGGAGAGTCACGTACAGATTAGTTTGCCAGTTCCCATCTCCCACCTGTTCTCAGCTGTCACCACATCAGCATTCCAGTTCCAGCCCTGGATCATGAGCCTCTTTCCTCTTCACTGCTTTTGAGAGTTGAAATTAAATTTGGTTGATTCCATTTCCTATGCTTCTATTTGGCAGTGGCAGACCTAGAAATACCAGAGTAGGAATATCAAGAAGTAGGTTTCAGTTGTTTCCCTGCTGTTTACTGTATAAACTCAAATGCCACAGCAACCTTCCAGAGAGGAGTTTTTTTTAGTCTAGTTATTTTTTTATCGGATAAATAGTTCTGAATTTACATTCAGTAAAATTCACTTTTTGTTTTTGCTGTACAGTTACTTCTGGGTTTTCCTAACTACCATGATGAACATGCGGAACCGTTGTCACCTCAGAACTTTCCTTTGTGCTAAAGATTTGTAGGCAGGCCTTCTCTCAGCCCAGCCCTGACCCTTGGAAACCTCTGATAGAGATTTTCTTCTTCTAAAATGTCATAGGAATGAAATCATAGAGTATAACCTTTTGAGTCTGTATTAGCCACATTTCACAAATAAGACATAACAAGCGCGGAGAAGTTTGGTAACTTGCCCAGGGCCATACAGCTAGAAAAGCAGAGCAAAAACTTAAGTGCGAGCCCACTGATTCCAAATCTTATCCTTTCACCCTAGTGCTAAGCAGAAACTCTGCCTGGCCTGAGTTTCCTCGTCTCCCTCATCCACATGTGAAAAAGGGGCCAGTGAAATCGTGAGTGCAGAACAACTTCAGGAAGTGCAAAGCCCTTTGTGCGAGGTGCATATTGCTCATTGTTTCTTCCAGTCTTTGTTGCCAGCCAACCATTTTGCAGGAAAACATTGTGCCTTCCAAATTGCCCTTCTGAACATGGTGGTGCACCTTTGAACCTGGCCGTAATCAGTCTGTTTAGAGAAATACACACACACACACACACACACACACACATACACACACACTCACCTTCTGCTAATGCAAGAAGTATCTCAGGAGGTTAAGGACCTGTCTGGACTGGAAAGATGAAGCACTGTTTTCCACAAAGTGGCAAAGCCACAGACTTATTTAATGGGATTTGAGGTTGTGCAGGGGTGTTTTGGTCATTGGAAGGGATTTTTCTATTCTCAGGACATAAAAGTAACTGCTATGAAATACAATTTTGACTTCACTATTTTGTCATAAGAAGTAAACATCATCTGCTGGCCTGATGGCTTGAAAGCCTGTCTCTAAACAGCTTCTGCCAAAGGCTTTGAAATGTTTGCTTTCAGACTGGATTCAACCACCAGGATATTTAGAGACACACATGTCATAGCCCCAAGAAGCAGATCCCTCTCTTGGTGAAGATAAATCTGCAAAGCTGTAGCTTTCTGGAAGCCACACAAATATGGATTTGGTCCCTTCCTCCACCCCTGCTCCCCATAAATGTTATGGAAAGCAAATGTCTGGCTGGGCGCGGTAGTTCACGCCTGTAATCTCAGCACTTTGGGAGGCTGAGGCCGGCAGATCACGAGGTCAGGAATTTAAGACCAGCCTGGCCAACATGGTGAAACCCCATCTCTACTAAAAATACAAAAATTATCCAGGCATGGTAGTGTGTGCCTGTAATCCCAGCTACTCAGGAGGCTGAGGCAGGGGAATCGCTTGAACCCAGGAGGCAGAGGTTGTGGTGAGCCGAGATTGGGCCTCCGTACTTCAGCCTGGGCAACAGAGTGAGACTCCGTCTCAAAAAAAAAAAAAGAGAAAAAGCAAATGTCTGCTGTTCTCTGTTGCTACTGTACATGGTGCAGTTTTAGAATTAGGCCCAGTGAAGGCTGGGGCAGGGCCTCAGAGCTCTTGCTCCACTCCAGTGCTGTCCAATGGGTGTATAATGCAAGCCACAGATGTAGTTTTCAATTTTTTTAGTAGCTGTGTTTTAAAAAGTAAAGGAAAAATTGTCATTTATGTTAATAATATATTTTATTTAAACCAGTATATCCAAAATATGTAATCAGTATACCATGATTAATGAAATGTTTTCATTTTTAAAATATTAAGTATTCAAAATCCAGCGCATCCCAACCAATCACATTTAAGGTGCTGTATGACACATAATCAGTGACTACTGTATTCAATAGCGCAACTCCAGGGGTAGAGGTAAATTCAAACCCCAATGGGGCTTCTTCATAGTAGTGTGACCTTGGACAAGTTACTTAAGCTCTCTGAACCTTGGTCTTCTCATCCAAAAAATGATAATGATGTCTACCCACAGAGGGGATGTGAGGATTAAATCAGTTAATCCAAGGAAAGTGACTGGCACATATTAGTGGTCAGTGAATGTGAGTTGTTCATAGAAGCATAATTATTATTGTTTTTACTGGCATCGTTATGACTGTTAACATTGCTACTGAGAAAGTCAGAGCTCATCTGGTCTATTGTCGGTTATCTCATGGAAATGGAAACTGGAATCAGATTCGCTACCTCCAAGGTACTAGGGGATTGGGAAAAGAAAACCAAAGGAATAAATCGTATTTTTACAACCGTTAAAAATTTAAAAATCCTTCCTCCATATTATTTCTTTAATAGTCAAAATTAACTTGGAATGTAGAAACTGTTTTGTCTTCTTTATGGTTAAGAAAAGTAAGAATCAGAAAAGTTAGGTAAGGTCTTCAGGCCAAGCACGGTGTTGCACACCTGTAATCCCAGCACTTTGGGAGGCCGAGACAGGTGGATCACTTGAGGTCAGGAGTTTGAGACCAGCCTGGCCAACATGGCGAAACCCCATCTCTACTAAAAATACAAAAATTAGCCAGGCATTGTGGTGCATGCCTGTAGTACCAGCTACTCAGGAGGCAAAGCAGGAGAATCACTTAGGCCTGGGAGGCGGAGGTTGCAGTGAGCTGAGACTGCACCACTGCACTCCAGCCTGGGTGACAGAGTGAGACTCTGCCTCAAAAAAAAAAAAAAAGAAAAGAAAAGTTAGGTAAGGTGTTCAAAGTAATTCACCCAGGCCAGGAGAGCCTGGACTTATATACAAGGCTATCATCTGCAATGCTGTTTCTCTGAGAACGTTCTCTAAACCTTCAGAGCCTGCCTGGCTGGAGTCCCGCAGACCTACATCAGAATGCTGGGTATTCTGCTCATTGTGCGTCCCAGGCGAGTTACCTGACCTTTCTGTGCCTTGCTTTCCTCATCAGTAAGGTGGTAATAATATGTGCTGTGTGGGGAGTTGGGAAGACTAAAGTGAAATGTGGTAGGTTTGCAGAGCGAGTAGCAGGGTGTGTCACAAATAGTGAACATCTACTATATGTTGGTTACCTAAACCAACACTCCTCACTGTACTCTTAAGGCATTTGTTGAGTTGATTGGATTGTTGGTGTGAGCTTTAGATAGAGACTGTCAATGGCCAGTGTTTTAAGGCTGCACTTACTTAGATCAGAAAATCTCTGAAGGTTGAGGGTGAATCCTGGCATCATGCCTTTGATGAATGTTGATTGATTTCAATGAGCACATCTGGCCTCACATGTGTTTCTTTTGCCATGAAGCTTTCCTCATCCCACAAGATCACGTAAAGAGGCCTCATCTTGAAGCCATCACTGCCATTCGGCTAGCAGACGTTATACTTAGCTCTTTAGGGAAGGCATAACGAGAAAAAAATTACTGAACATCAAGAGAAGTGTGGCCTAAAGTCTTGGCAGGGTACACATGGCTCCTTTCCATGGTACAGTTGAGGAGAATTTCACAAAAGTGTAGAGTTGTTTATAAAAATGTGGGTTGGGTTAAGGGAAACCAGCAATAGGTGGGTCGGAACGTTGTGCTTAGCTACAGAAGGGCTGTATCACCCCAAGCTCGAAGGGGAAAGGGGACGAAACCAGGAAGTTCCTGGAACTGGAGAGGATAGCTCTAGCTGTACTTGAGGGCTGCCTCACAGGAGTTGTGGCCTTCAGGAGAAAGACACCACCAAACTGCAGAGGAAGGAGCAAGGGAAATGAGCACTGCGGGCGTCGCTCTCACATTTCTTGACAATGCCTCTAATTGACTGCATTTAATGGAAAGTCAGAGGGCGAGGGAGCCCGCTGATGGAGTCTATGCCCAGAGCTGGTAAGGAATTATGGAGAGTGGATCTGGAGGGGCAAAAGGAAAATATCCAACACTAAAACACCATTTGGTTTGGGTCTCAGAGCCTTTCCTCAGTAACTGACGATCCAGCTCCTAATCTTGGGTGGTGTTTTGGAAGGGAGCATAATCAACCTGTTGCCCTTCAAGTTCTGCCCTCCTAAAAGCTAATGTGCTCACTAACCCACAAAGTCCTCTTCCTTTCCAAAGTCTGATGGAGGTGGGCATGGTATTTTAAGGTGAACAAGAGGAAAAATGTATTTCACAGAAACTGAAGTGTTGGTCAAAATGTCTTACTCCCAGGATCTGATTTTTTGAAGCTCTGCCTGATTATTGCAAGTCCTTAAGGTAAGGAAGGTGTTAAATATGAATAAAGAAGCAGCCCCAACAGAAGCAGCACTAAGGACCTATACAGCTGCATCTTTGTTTGTAAGCATGATAAGACCCTGAGAAACCAAAACAGCCCATAGATTCAGTGCTTTTAATGAGCAAGGTTAGAAAAGGAAAAGATGGGGAGGACTTGGTCCTTTGCCATATTGTAACCCTAACAGAATAAGTTCTTTTTTTTCACATATTTCAATTGACTGAATACAAACAACATGCTTGGCTGTAATGTCAAGAACATTCAGTTTAGTAGAAGTTGAGATTTTTGGTAATCTCTAGTTTTAAAATGGGAAACCTCTCTTCAAAAGGAACATGTTCACTGATTTACTTACTGCTTCTCTCTTAAAAATTTTTGCTGATTATATATCTAATGCCCTTTGTGGAAAATTTGAAATCACATACACACACACACACACACACACACACACACACTATAAACAATGAAATATCAGGTATCTTTTATTCTGACAAATATATCTGCTGATAACTTTTTAGTAAATCTCTGTGTATGTTTGGTATGTATGACTATTTTCCTTTAATCTTGATACATTTGGTGTTGTACTATAATTGTTCTGCTTCCTCTCAGCCTCTAATAATCTAGAAGAATAGTTCTTAATATGGGACATATATTATAATCAATTATAGATTTTATTTTTTAAAATAACTTAAAACTAAAATAGAACAAGCCTTCCCCTGGAAATGATAGTTCAATAAATACGAGGTGGATCTTGAGAATTTTTAGATATTTTAAAGCTCTTCTCATGATTTTAATATGCATCCTCAGTTGTGAATCAGTATATTCTCTTTTTTTTTTTTTTTTTTGAGACAGTCTCGCTCTGTCGCCCAGGCTGGAGTGCAGTGGCACTATCTAGGCTCACTGCAAGCTCTGCCTCCCAGATTCACGCCATTCTCCTGCCTCAGCCTCCCAAGTAGTTGGGGCTACAGGCACCCGCCACCATGCCCGGCTAATTTTTTGTATTTTTGGTAGAGACAGGGTTTCACCATGTTAGCCAGGATGGTCTCGATCTCTTCATCTGGTGATCCACCCGCCTTGGTCTCCCAAAGTGCTGGGATTACAGGCGTGAACCACTGCACCTGGCCATGAATTAGTATATTCTAATGGAAAAAAATAGCAGTGGATTCCCTTTAACATATATATAAACATTTTCATTTTTAACATAGGATCTTTTTTATTATGTGTTTTCCTACAACAAAATAATTATTTTTATATTGTGGTAAAATACACATAACATAAAAATTTACCGTTTTAACCCTTTTAAGCATACAGCTTAGAGGCATTAAGAATGTTCAAAAATGTTGTGTAACTGTCACCACTATTTCTAGAACTTTTTCATCATTTCAAACAGAAACTCTGTGTCCATTCAACAATGACACCATGTTTTTCCCATATCCCAAGCCCCTGGAGAAAAATAATATCATTTCAAATTGCCTGCAAAATATTCCTTATACAAATATACAATTATTTACTGAACTGTCATTATAACTTTGGACAATTAAGTTGTCTTAGATTTTTTTTTTCCTAAGGCTACAGCAAACATCTGTGAGTGTGTGTTTGTCTGTGTGTGTGTGTCTGTGTGTTTCTATTTGGTTCTTCTTTATATCTTCTATTTTTATGCTGAAATCTCCTTTTTTCATTTGTTTCAAATGTATGTGCAATTGTTTGTTGGATCATTCATATAGTAGTTGCAGTAAAGTTTTTATTACAGAATTCTAAACATTCATATAAAATATATAATTATGTATTATATGTATATATATACATGTATCTATGTATATATATGTGTCTGTATACATACATACATGATCACTAGCCATTCTAAAATCACATGTACTCATCACTCAGGTTCAACGTAATTATTTCATTTAAGTTTTATATTTTTAAAAAACAGCATGATTTTTGGAAATACCAAAAATGGCAAAGGTAAAATCTTTGACCTTATGTGTATGTATATACAGACACATATATATGTATATGTGTGTATATATACATACACATATAATATATAATTATATATTTTATATATGAGTATGTTTAGAATTAAGGATATATGTCATTAACTTAAGGATATAAAGTTTATCCTTAAGATAAACTCCCTGAGGAGAATTATTGGATCAAATGCTTGGTATTTTAAAGCTTTAAAGCTCTTGACAAAATAGCTTGATTAAATCTTTATCATTATTTTAAAAAACTATTTTACTGCACTTTTCATAAAACTGTCACATTTGGCAGATAAGTAATATCTAATAGGTCTAATTTCCCTTAATAGGTTATTAATGAAGAACATACTTCTTTTGCATGTTTGTTAGCCATTTCTTATTTTGTAAATTATCAAGACATTTGACTGTTTATCCGCTTGAGTCTTACTGTTCATTTTATTCATTTACATAAGTTTAGCACAGATGTAGACTGCTTACTCTTTACCAGGGATATTTGTTGCAAATAATATTCCTAGTTTGTTTTTGGATTATTGTGGCTTTTTTTATTTTCAAAATACAAAGTGTGAAATATTTGTGTGATAAAATCTTTGACCTTTTGTGATTGTTATCTTTTGTTTTTACCTTAAGAAGTTCTTCCTCAAATAGAGAGGTCAATAAAAAATCACTTAGTTTTTATATTTTTTCTTCAATTTTTTTCCACTTAATTTTTAGACATAACTAGAATTAATTTTGAGATTTTGTATTCAGTGAAAGTGAACTTTTTTTCTGCACAAATAGTTAACCCATTACAAGATATCTATTGAAAATCTTTCCTTTTCCTGCTAATTTATTATTGCATCTTCAACATATACATCAGAATTTAATGTGCTAGTTCTAGCTTCAGGACTAGCTATTCTATTTCAGGACTAGCTATTCTATTAATATTACAGGACTAGTCATTCTATTTCAATTATTGCCCTTTTATTATTATACCAGAGCTGCACTGTGTAATCATTTCTAAAAAAAAAAACAAAAACAAAAACAAACAAAAAAAACCAAAAACTTTTAACTTTCTATTATGGAGAATTTCAAGTATATACAAAATCAATAGTCATTCTAAAATCACAAGTGCTCATCACTCAGGTTCAACGTAATTATTTCATTTAAGTTTCATATTTTTAAAAATCAGCATGATTTTTGGAAATACCAAAAATGGCAAAGAATCAAAGACAGGAAACTAATAATCCCACCATTGCATCAAATTCATTTATGACTTGGTGTCTATCAATATAATAAGTATAAAATAGAAAAATCCATGTAACATAGTAGAAGAAAAACAGTTATTTCAGGAGACCTAGCTAAGGAGATCCAGTGTAATTGAACCAAGAATATATGAGGATCTGAGATTTCTGGAAGCCAGAAAAGAGAACCTAAGTCATGTAAGAAACATGAGAGTCCATAGGAAGTGATGAACCTTTTCTTTACATGAAATTCAAAGGGGAATGTTTTATTTAAACAATGCTGAACAAAATGGACAATGTCTTCCAAAGCAGTACTTTTTCTTTTCTCAACTTTGGATAAAAACCAGAGTCTGTCTTTAATCACTGTCTTGATTACATTTTAACCAAGAGCTAAAGTAATATCCAGCTATATAACTTTTTAAGGATGCTGAGAGAATCTAAGACCTTAAGTCACAATATTTAATTAATGGCACTGTGTTATGACTAAAAGGCTGATAAACATATAATTGTTCCTGTATTAGAAAAAAATGGGAGATTGAGACACACTGCTTTTGACCAGTAATTCTCAGAGTATGGTCTAAGCCTTTTTATGATGGGTGATAGGTGTTAGTGAATTTTAAATGCATGTTTTGAGGTCCCCATCCAGGTAAGATGGAGGAGGCACACTCTACTCTGGATCGCCCATTGAACACACTATAAAATCTACATAGGATGCATAGAGCAGTTGTTTGAGGACCCTGAAAAATAAATAGTAGCAGATGGATTGAGGAAGACTAGACTTTGAAGTGCCACCAAAATGGTAGTGAGTTTATCACTTTTTCCCTTCCTGTATCCCCTGGCCTGAATACAACACACCCTGAAACTCAAACAGGAGCACTGGGGTATAAACAGTACTCCAGAAGAAGCCTCGTACTACTGGCTTGGGAAGAGAGGAAAGGGAGCCTCTGACACTCAGAACACAGTATGGAAATCCCACTTTCTTTTTTTTTTTTATTTCCTTCTCTCTGTTTTCTCTCATCCTGTCCCCTGAGCAATCCAAGGTAAGCAGTGACAGAGGCTGCAGCTGGAGCTAGCAGGAGCCAAAACTCTAAGGGAAGGACATCTTCCTCTCCAATCAATAGGGTGGTGATCCCAAGAGAGTGGGACAACCCGTCCACTGCATCTTATTCTTTTTCTGTCCTCCTGCCACGTGGGCCTGGACATTTGTGCAGTTACAGATATGCATGGCAAAAGTAACTAAAGCCCCAGCTATCAGGCCAGAAGGCCAACAAGAGAAACACTAGGAAACTGAAAGTACCAGGAAGAGTTCAGAGGGGGATCTCAGGAAAGCAACCCCATAGCTATTTATGAACACTTGGGCTCACTGCAAGCTCCGCATGCATGAGTCTGATCCTAATCAGCAAACCAAAGACTTTGAGAATTGAATGAACACATAGACCGTGGGCAAGGTCTCTAACTAACCACTGAGGGACACATATGGGACACATCAGAATTGCACTGCAAAGGCTTTAAAAATGGAAATGAGGAGCTTCCAGATAGCTGAACATGTGAAGGTTCCCACAGGGTGGATGGAAGCTCTGCGCCCCTCCTCCCATATCTTGCCCTATGTATCTCTTCATCTTTATCTATCCTTTGCAATATTCCTTATAATAAACTGATAAATGTTAAGGAGGAAAAGAAGTAGAAGAAGGAGAAGGAGGGGGAAGAGGAGGAGAGGGAGGAGGAGGGAAAGAAGGAGAAGAAGAGGAAGAAGAAGAGGAGGAGGAGGAAGGGAGAAAGAAAGAGAAGAAGAAAAAGAGGAGGGGGGAAGGAGAAGAAGAGGAAGAAGAAGAAGAAGAAGAAGAAAAGAGGAGGAGGAAGGGAGAAAGAAGGAGAAGAAGAAAAAGAAGAGGTGAGGGAAGAGGAAGAAGAAAGAAAAAGGAGGAGGAGGAGGGAGGAGGAGGAAGAAGGAGGGGGAGGAGGAGGAAAAGAAAAGAAATGGAAACTACATTTGCAACAGTTCCCACAGGTAGAGGTTGGAATTTGTGGTCTTAACCTAACAGTTTGATTGCCTGCTCCAGCAAAAATTTTAACAACTTTCATCAAATTTAAAAAAGACGCAGAGTTTTATAACACTCAAAATGCTCAGAACATAATCCAAATTACTGGGCACACAAAGAATGAGAAAAATCTCAAATTGCCTCGAAAAGCAGTCAACTGACATCAACACTACAATGACATAGATACTGAAGTTATCTGACAAAGGCTTTACAGTAGCTATATACAAATGCTCCAGTAAGCATCACAAACACATTTGGAATAAATGAAAAAATAGAATATCTTGGTAATTAAATAGAAAGTATGAAACAGAACCAAATAGTAATTTTAGAACTGAAAAATACAATAACCAAAGTTAATAACTCATTGTATGGGATCAATAGCAGATTGGAGATGACAGAAGAAAGAGTTAGATAACTTAAAAATAGATCAATAGAAATTAATATGCCTAGTAAAGAGAAAAATATATATGTTTTTAATGAACAAAGCCTCAGGGGCATACAGAACACTAAGAAAAGGCCTAACATTCATGTCATCAGAGTTCCAGAAAAAGAGAAGAAGGAGTATAATGCTGAATAAATAGTTGAAGAAACAATGGCTGTAAACTTCTCAAATTTGGCAAAAGACACTTATCTACAGATTCAAGAAGCTTGGCAAACTCAAGCTGGATAAACCAAAAGAGTCACATCATCAAACATAACAAAATTACTGAACTAAAAGCTATAAAAAACTTCTTGAAAACAGCAAGAGAAACACGATGTATTTTTAGAGGAAAATAATGATTTAAGTAACTGTAGATTTCTCATCAGAATACCATGGCAGCCAGAGGAAGTAGCACAACATGCTTTCAGTGCTGAAATTAAAGAACTGTTAATGCATAATTCTATATCCAGTGAAAAACTCCACAGAAATGAAGGTGAAATAAAGATATTCTCAGTGAAGGAAAACTGAAAGAATCTACTGCCAGCAGGCCTGCTCTAAAAGAATATACAATCAGAGGTAAAGAGGGATATTGAATATTAATAAAATATTCAAATCATCAAGAAGACGTAATAATCTTAAATGTTTATGCACCTTGTAACATAGTTTCAAAATTCTTGAAACCGACACTGACAGAACTGAAAGGAGAAATAGGTATAGGCATATGCACAATTATAGTTGAAGTCTTCAACAAACTTCTTTCAGTAATAGGTAGATCTAGGAAACAAAAAAATTCCTAAGGATACAGCAGAACTCAACAACACCTTCAACCAACTACTTCGAATTGAATTTTGTAGAACATTCCACCCAGCCACATCAAGATACACATTATTTTCAACAACACAGTGAACCTTCACCAAGATAAGCTGTACTCTGACTCATAAGCCAAAGCTGAACAACTTTAATAAAAGGAACTGAAATATAAAGTTTGTTCTTGAACAATGATCAAATTAAACTAGAAATCAATAAATGATAACAAAAAGTCTTCAAACATTCAGAAATTAAACAACCCACTTCTACGCAATCCATAGGTAAAAAAGGAAGTCTCAAGAGAAGTCAGAAAATATTTTGAAATGAAAGAAAAGGAAGGTAAAACATAGAAAATTTATGGGATGCAGTTAAAGTAGTCCTTAGAGGAAAATTTGTAGCAGTTTGTAGCATAAAATACTTACATTAGGAAAGAAAAAAGGTCTCAAATCAGTTAACTCAGTTTCTACCTTAATAAACCAAAAAAAGGCAAAACACATTTACAGCAAAGGAAAGAAATAAGTAGCAGAAATCAATGAAATTGAAAACAGAAAAGCAGTAGAGAAAATCAGTAAAACCAAAAGTTGGTTCTTTCAAAAAAGTGATAAACTTAATAATTCTCTAGCAAGACTGACAAAGGAAAAAAATAGAACAAATTAGCAATATCAGGAATGAGAGGGGGGAATATCATTACAGATTCCACAAATATTTAAAGGATAACAAGGAATGCTACAAAAGAAAAACACACACAAACACACACACACAATTCCACACATACATATACATTCAACAGCTTAGAAGAAATAGACCAGTTCCTTGAAAACTGGAAACTAATAAAACTCACCCAAGATGAAATACATAATATGAATAGTGCTAAAACTATTGAAGAAATTGAATCTGTGTTTTTTAAAAATCTTCCACAAACGAAATCTCCAGGCCCAGTTTGACCAAAAATTTGAAAAAGATGCCACCAATTCTACACAATTTCTTTCAGGACATGGAAGAGGAGAGAACACTTCCTCATTCATTTAATTAGACTAGCATTAGCCTGATACCAACATCAAACAGGCAATTCTAAAAAATAAATAAATAAACAAAAAACCAGAAAACTACAGACCAAGGTCAAGAACATGAGTGCAAAAAATTTCAACAAAATATTAGCAAATAGAATACATCAGAAAAAAAATAGACTGAAAAAATATAAACAGAGCCTCAGGAATCTATGGGACTACAACATTCATGTCATCAAAGTCCTAGAAAGTGAGGAGAAAAAAGACAGGGCTGAAAAGTCTCTGAAGAATTAATGACTGAAAATTTCCCAAATTGACAAAACACATAAATTTCTGGAATTGAGAACCTGGGAAAATTGCAAACAGCATAAACCTAAAAAAATCCATAAGGCACATTATGATCAAACTTCTGAAAACTAAACATAAAAAAAAAAAATCAAGAAGCCAGCAAGAGAGAAGTGGCACCCTACCTATAAAAGGAAAACAATTCAAATGACAGTGTATCTCTCATCAGAAACCAGGGAGGCAAGAAGGAAGTGGAACAATATTTTTGAAGCACTGAAAGAAAAGAACTGTCAACTGAGAATCCCAATATCTATTCAGCGATAAACGGATCATCAAGACAATTCTCTTAGGAAAACAAAGAAAATTTGTCACTAAAAGAATGGCTAATGTTTTCTAAACAGAAATATATAGAAGGGAGGAAGGTAGAAAACTATAGGCAAAAATATGGCAAAAATAAAACAGACTTTCACTCTTTTTTGAGTTTTCTAAATTATACTTGATGGAAGCAAAAAAAAGTTATAACATTGTCTTCTGTAATTCTAAATGTGTAAAGAGGAACTATTTAAAGACAACTATATTATAAGTGAGAAAGTCTAATCAAACATGAAGACAGATAAGTTTGCAACACTTCACTAGAACTGGATAATGATACCAGTAGACTGAGAAGTTATGTATATATAATTTAATACCTAGAGAAACAGCTAAAATAGCTATCAAATCAACATGAAATTCTAAAAAAAAGTTAGAGTAACCCATAAATGGCAGGGGAAAAGATGTGAAAAACAGCGGGAACAAACAGAACAAAACATAAAATAAGACTTAAGCTCTAAGATATAAATAATCACATTAAATGTAAATGGTCTATATACAATAAAAAGATTTACAGCAAGGATTTTCATTTAAAATGGTCCAACTATATGCTATCTATACAATGATCTAAGGCAAGTTTAAAGTACAAGGATGGATAAAGATATGAAAACATTAATCAAAAGAAAGAAGAGACTTCAGGTGAAAGAAAATTACAGAGACACAGAAAAATGTTATATAGTAATAAAATGGTAAATCCACCAAAAAGACACAGCAATCCTAAGTGTGTATGCACCAAACAACAGAACTGCAAAATGCAGGAGCAAAAACTTACAGAACTGAAGGAGAAACCAATAAATCTAAAATCGTATTGTGAGATTTCAACATTCCTCCCTGAATAACAAATAGGACAAATGGACAGAAAGTCAGCAAAGATACAAAAGAAACTCAACAACGCCATCAATCAGTATGATGTTACTGACTTTTACAGAACAATGCACCCATTACCAGCAGAGTAAACATTTTGTCAAGTGCCTACAGAACATATACCAAGATGTAGTATACTTGGGCCATAAAACAAACACCAACAATTAAAATAATTAAAATAATACAAAGTATGTTCTTTGACCACAATGAAATCAAACTAGAAATCAGTAAAAGAAAGGTAATAGGGAAATCTCCAAAACTTGGAAACTAAGGAACATACTTTTAAATAATCTAATGTCAAAGTGGGAGTCTCGAGAAATTTTAAAATGCAGACAATGGAATGAAAATGAAAAATATAACATATCAAAATTTGTTAGATACAGCTAAAGCAATACTAAGAGAATTTAGAGCACTACATGTATATAAAGAAGAAACTTCTCAAATAAACAATCTAAGTTCCTACCTAAAGAACCTAGAAAAAGAGCGAAATAAACCCAAAGCAAGCAGAAGGAAGAAAATAATAAAGATAACAGCAGGAGTCAATAAAATCGAAAACAGAAAAACAATTATGTGAGAAAAATCAACAAAAAAAGAGCTTTTTTTAAGATTAATAAAACTGACAAACCTTGAGCAAGACTTGAGAAGATACAAATTACCAATACCAGGAATGAAAGGGGATATCACTACAGATTTTGCAGACATCAAAATAATAAGTAAATACTACAAACAACTCTACACACACGAATTTGACAACTTAGATAAAATGGACCCATTCCTCAAGAAACACAAACTATCACAACTCACTCAATATGAAATAGATCAGTTGAATAGCCCCAAAATTTAAAGGAATTGAATTTGTAATGGAAAAGTTTCAGAAAACATATGTGACTACCAAGTTGGGGTTTATTCCCAAGATACAAGGCTGGTTCAATATTCAAAAATCAGTCATTGTAATCTGAAATATTAATAGGCTAAAGAAGAAAAATTACATGATCATATCAATTGATGCAGAAAAGGAATCTGACAAAAGTGCCCACAGAACATATACCAAGATGTAGTATACCCTGGGCTATAAAACAAACACCAGCAATTAAAAGAATTGAAGTCTATGACCACAATGAAATGAAACTAGAAATCAATAAAGGAAAGGTCATGGGGAAATCTCCAAAACTTGGAAACTGAAGAACATACTTTGATTTGACAAATTTCGACATGTATCATGAGAAAAATTCTCAGAAAAATAGGAATAGAAGGAACCTTCTTAATTTGATAAAGAGCATCCACAAAAAAACCTACAGCCGTCATTATACTTAATGGAGAAAGACTGAATATTTTCTCCCTAAGATTGAGAACAAGACAAGGATGCTTATTCTCATCACCCTTATTCAACATGGTACTGTTAACTTCTAGCCAGTACAATAATGGGAGGAAAGGAATAAAGATTAGAAAGGAAGAAATACAGCTGTCTCTATATGCTGATGACATGATTGTCTACATAGAAAATCTCAAGGAGGCCAGGCACAATGGCTCATGCCTATAATCCTAGCCCTTTGGGAGGCCAAGGCAGGCAGATCACCTAAGGTCAGGAGTTCAAGACCAGCCTGGCCAACAAGGCAAAACCCTGTCTCTACCAAAAATACAAAAACTAGCTGGGCATGGTGGCACATGCCTGTAGTCCCAGCTACTTGGGAGACTGATGCAGGAGAATCACTTGAACCCAGGAGGCAGAAGTTGCAGTGAATTGAGACCACACAACTGCACTCCAGCCTGGGCAATAGAGCAAGACTCCATCTCAAACAAAAACAAAAACAAAAACAAAGAAACAGAAAATCTCAAGGAATCTACCAAAACACTTCTATCACTAAGAAGTGAGTTTAGCAAGGTCACAGAAGAGAAGATAAACATACAAAAAAATTGCATTTCTGTATACTAGCAGTGAACACATGAATACTGAAATTAAAAATATAATAACACTTATAATGACAAAAAATAAAAAGAGTGTATAAAATATGTATAGGACTTATATGCTGACAGTACAAATGCTGATGAAATAAACCAAAGATCTAAATAAATGAAGAGACATACTATATTCATGGATGAAAGACTCAACATAGTAAATATGCCAGTTCTTCCCAAATATTATACAGGTTTAATGCAATTCCTATCAAAATCCCAGCCCAGGCCAGGCACAGTGGCTCATGCCTGTAATCCCAACACATTGAGAGGCCAAAGCTAGGGGGTTGCTTGAGCCCAAGAGTTCAAGGCCAGCCTGGGCAACATGGTAAGACCGTGTCTCTAAAAGGAAAAAAACTTTTTAATAAGCCAGGTGTAATGGCACTTGCCTGTAGTCCTAGCTACTCAGAAGTTTGAGTTAGGAGGATCGTTTCAGCCTGGGGAGCTAAAGCTGCAGTAAGCCATGACCAATGATTGCACCACTGAACTCCAGCCTGGGCAACAGAGCAAGATCCTGTCTCAAAAAAATAAAAACCTCAGCGTAGGTTTTGTAGATATAGACAAGATTATTCTAAAATTTGTATGTGGAAACAAAGAAACTAGAATAGCTAAACTAATTTTGAAAGAGAATAGGTAAGAATAATCAATCTGCCCAATTTCAAAACGTATTAAATAGCTACAGTAATCAATACTGAGCAGTACTGGCTAAGGAATAAACATATAAATCAATGGGACAGAATACTGAACCCAGAAATAAATCCACACAGATACACCAAACTGATTTTGACAAAGGCATAAAAACAATTCCGTGGAGAAAAGATGGAGCCAGGCACAGTGGCTCACTCCTATAATCCCAGCACTTTGGAGGCTAAGGTGGGAGGATCACTTGAGCCCAGGAGTTGGAGACCAGCCTGGTCAACACAAGGAGACTTTGTCTCTACAAAAAACAAAAATAAAAATAAATTAGCTGGGCATGATGGCACACACCTGTGACTCCAGCTACTTGGGAGGCTGAGGTGAAAGGATCACTTGAGCCCAGTAGGTGAAGGCTACACTGAGTCGTGTTCACACCACTGCGCTTCAGCCTAGGCTACAGAGTGAGATCCTGTCTCAAAAAAAAAAAAAAAAAAAAAAAAGATGAACTTTTCAACAAGTGGTGCTGGAGGAGGTGGACATCCATAGGCAAAAAACTGACCTTCAACCTAAACTCTGTACCTTCTACAAAAACTAACTTGAAATGGATCACAGACTTAAATGTTGAGCTATAAAGTAATACTTCAAAAAGAGGAGAAAATCTTTGGGATCTAGGGCTAGAAAAAGAATTCTTAGACTTGACACCAAAATTATGATCCATGAATTTTTTAAATAAAGATAAATTGGACTTCACCAAAATTAAAAACTTTTACTCCGCAAAATACCTGTAAAAGATAAGCAATAGACTGAGGGAAAATATTTGCAAAGC